>NC_000009.12:132300184-132614002 GCF_000001405.40 Homo sapiens
TTCATTAAATTTAGGCTAATATTTTTGTTATTAAATTACCTAGGGAGAAACATACAACGGATGGAAGTGATGTAAGCAGATTCCTCAAGCTGCCTTACAGTGAGTTTTATGTTTGGTCATCTCATTAGTAATTGGCCACAAAACCAAGGATGAAATGTAATTTAACAAACAACAGATGGTCTGCAAATGGTCCATTTTATAGCAAACACAATGATGGATAAAGAAATGTAACAAAAGGATAGAACATTACAAAAATAAATACAAGGTCTTTTCCAGTTAAGTCTAGAAAAACTAGAAAAGAGACTCTGAATGGCCATGTAATCAACATAGCAAAAACATGTTCGGTAAATGTCTATCAAATACACTTGATATACACAATTGAGAAGTAGATTATTAGATGAGACTGTATCTGACATTTCCTGTCAATGCCTCATTATTTACTTACTGACTGACGTGCGGCGAAATTTATGAACATAACCAGAATGATATTCGTGGAGATCTTGTATGTCATTTCTCTCTGTATCTTTCTTCTCTTCATTTATTCTCTCAGGAGCTAAAAACACCAAATCGTTTTCCTTTGGATAAAGCTGTTTAGCCAGTTCACATTCTTCCAGATAAACTATGAAACAAGAAGAAGTCGGAATTCATATAACTCTAATAGAATTATTTTAAATAAGATTAACTTAAAAGAAATTAAATCCTTGTATTAAGTTCAAAAATACACAGCACTAAAGGACTCTGCATATACTTTAAAATGGTAATCTAATCCAATCAAAAACTTCAAATATTAAAAATATCAATTATAGAATATAGTTTTCTTCAAAACTGCTATAAGGCCAAAATAGACAAAACTATAATATTGAAAAGTAGCTAATAAATTTTCTTTCCTTTAGGTTTATTCTGCTTTTTTTTTTTTTTTTTTTTTTGAGATGGAGTCTCGCTGTGTTGCCCAGGCTGGAGTGCAGTGGCGCGATCTCGGGTCACTGCAAGCTCAGCCTCCCAGGTTCTCGCCATTCTCCTGCCTTAGCCTCCCAAATAGCTGGAGGCGCCCGCCACCACGCCCGGCTAATTTTTTTGTATTTTTAGTAGAGATGGGGTTTCACTGTGTTAGCCAGGATGGTCTCGATCTCCTGACCTCGTGATCCGCCCGCCTCAGCCTCCCAAAGTGCTGGGATTACAGGGGTGAGCCACTGTGCCTGGCCTATTCTGGTTTTTAACTAAATTTCTCTCATTTGTTTCCAACTTTCAAAACCCCCGAAGAAAATTCGGAAACAGATCCAAGTAGTTATACACCGCATAATGATGTTGTGGTCAGTGATGGACCGGATATATACAACAGTGGTCCCATAAGATTATAATATATTTTTACTGTATCTTTTCTATGTTTAGATACACAAATACTTCCCCATGTTACAATTACCTACAGTATTCAATACGGTAACATGCTGTACAGGTTGGCAGACTAGGTGTGTGGTAGGCTACACCGCCTAGGTTCCTCTAAGTACACTCTTACTTCTCATGATGTTGGCATGATGATGAAATCGCCTGACACATTTCTGAGAATGTATCCCCATCATTAAGTGACATGTGATTGTACATACAAGAATTTTGCAACTTCTACGCATTTCAAACAAGTGGGGAAAGACGGTTGTAAACTACATGGGACTAGGAAAACAGAGAAAGCACTGGAATAAAGTTCAGTACCAACTGCCGAATCTAGCCCTATACTCTGAAAAATACAAACCACTGCTGAGAGAAACTGAAGACAGCCTGAACAAATGAAGAAATGTACTAAGTTCAAGGCCTAAGACTTAATATTGTTAAAATGTCAGCTGTCCCCAAATTAATCTTTAGAGTCAAAGCAATCCTAGTAAAAATACCAGCAGATGGCCGCCAGGCACAGTGGCTCACGCCTGTAATCCCAGCACTCTGGGAGGCCAAGGCAGGTGGATCATGAGGTCAGGAGATCGAGAACATCCTGGCCAACACGGTGAAACCCCGTCTCTACTAAAAATACAAAAAATTAGCCGGGCATGGTGGCAGGCATCTGTAGTCCCAGCTACTCGGGAGGCCGAGGCAGGAGAATGACGTGAACCCAGGAGGCGGAGCTTGCAGTGAGCCGAGATCACACCACTGCACTCCAGCCTGGGTGACAGAGCAAGAATCCATCTCAAAAAAAAAAAAAAAAAAAAAGGCCAGGTGTGGTGGCTCACGCCTGTAATCCCAGCACTTTGGGAGGCCGAGACGGGCGGATCACCTGAGGTCAGGCGTTTGAGACCAGCCTGGCCAACATGGTGAAACCCCATCTCTACTAAAAATACAAAAATTAGCCAGGCGTCGTGGCAGGCGCCTGTAATCCCAGCTACTTGGGAGGCTGAGGCAGGAGAATCGCTTGAACCTGGGAGGTGGAGATTGCTGTGAGCCAAGATTGCGCCATTGCACTCCAGCCTGGGCAACAAGAGTGAGACTTTGTCTCAAAAAAAAAAAAAAAAAAAGCAAAAAAAAAAAAAAAAACCAGCAGGCATTTTTATAAATGTTGACAAGTTGATTCTAAAACTGATGACAATAAAAAGAAACTTTTTACAAAGAACAAAACTGAAAGGCTGACTATCCAATTTCAGTATTTTTTATAAAACAACAATAAGAGACTGTGGTATTGGTGGAAGGCAGCTATACAGATAAAGAAAACGGTGTTTAAAAGCAGACCTGCAATCAAGATCAACTGATATTCCGACAAATATGCCAAGTTATTGAATGGCAAGGTTATTCAATGAGAAAGGCTACATTTTTTTTAACAAGTAACACTAAAACTGAGCACCTATTTTTACATTGTTTTTGATTTATTTTTTTAGAGATTGGGTCTTGTTCTATCTCCCAGACTGGAATGCAGTGGTATGATCACAGCTCACTGCAGCCTTGAACACTTGGGCTCAAGAAATCCTCCTGCCTCAGCCTCCCATGTCACTGGGACTCTAGGTGTGTGCCACCATGCTCAGCTAATTTTTTTTTTTACTTTTCTGTAGAGACAGCGTCTTGCTATGTTGCCCAGACTGCTCTCAAACTCCTGGCCTGAAGTGATCTTCCTGTTTTGGCCTCCTAAAGTGCTGAGATTACAAGTATGAACCACTGCGTCTGACTTCTACCTTTAAAAAAGCAAAAAAAAAAAAAAAAACCCTTAATCCTTACATATGTCATATATAAAAATAAAATTGAAATGGTCATCAACATAAACACAAAAATTAAACCATAAAATTTAGAAAAAAAAAAATAGGAGAAAACTGTGACCGTGGGTTAGGTAAATGCTTCTTAGGATACAAAAAGCATTTTGATGGGATGCCATCAAAATCAAAACTTTTGCTCTTCAAAAGATACTGTTAGGAAAATTAAAAGGCATTCCACAGATTAGGAGTAAATATTTTCAATATATAAATATAATAAATAACTTGTCTCCAGAATATATAAAGAACTGAAAAATAAGGAAAAATAAGAGGACAAACAATCCAACTAAAAATGGAAGATACATGAAGGGGATATGTACATTGCCAGTAAGTCTGTGAAAAGATGCTCAACATTGTTAGCCATTCTAGAAAAGTAAATTAAAACCACAATGACATACTACTACACACCCGTCTGAATCACCAAAATTAAAAACACCACATGGGCGCAGTAGCTCACGTCTGTAATCCCAGCACTTTGGGAGGCCGAGGCGGGTGGTTCACCTGAGATCAGAAGTTCGAGACCAGCCTGCCCAACATGGTGAAACCCTGTTTCTACTAAAAATACAAAAATTAGTCAGGCATGGTGGGGCGCCTGTAAACCCAGCTACTTGGGAGGCTGAGGCAGGAGAATTGCTTGAACCCGGGAGGCGGAGGTTGCAGCCACTGCACTCCAGGCTGGGGCAACAGAGCAAGACTCCGTCTCAAAAAAAGAGAGCTCAGGAGCCTCAGCCAGCTCCAAATCTACCAGGAGAAGGGTAAGACGAGCTCAAGTGTGAAAACACTAATGCAGCACCCTGACAAAAATCAGAATACAGCATACAGCACAGGGTATTAATGGTCCATGGGGTTTGAACTGGCAGTACTTGAAACTCAAAGCTTCTGAGGGACAAGAGAAGAAGGGAGAAGTACCCTTTTATAACTGCATACTGTAGGTAGAACCAAAAGGGGAGAAAATTTAGGGTCCTGCAAGACCCTCAAAAGTGGAACAAACTCTGGACTTCACTACACTTGCAGAAAAGGGTGTCACTGAACTTGTAATTGTGTAAACCATCTCATTACCTCAGAAATAGAAATAAAATTAATAAATCCATATGTAAAGATTACAAAAAAAAAAAGAAAATGGAGATCCAACATACTAATGAAAATTCTCAGCCTGGGAGTTTGAGGCTGCAGTGAGCTGGGATTGCGCCACTGAACGTCAGCCTGGGCGACAGAACAAGACCCTGTTTCAAAAAAAAAAAAAAAGAAAGAAAGAAAAGAAAAAGAAAATTCTCCCCAAAACCACAACCGGGAAGGAAAAGAATACTGAATTAGGCTGGGCGCAGTGGCTCGCGCCTGTAATTTAGGCACTTTGTGGGGCCAAGGCAGGAGGATAACCTGAGGTCAGGAGTTCAAGACCAGCCTAGCCAAAATGGCAAATCCCCATCTCGATTAAAAATACAAACATTAGCCAGGCATGGTGGCACATGCCATAATCCCAGCTGCTTGGGAGGCTGAGGCAGGAGAATCGCTTGAAGCCAGGAGGCGGGATGCAGTGAGCTGAGATCACACCACTGCACTTCAGCCTGGGTAACAGAGTGAGACTCCATCTCAAAAAAAAAGAAAAAAAAGAATACTGAATTAAACATATTAGCTACTTATTTGGGGATATAAAAAACTATTTTGGGCCAGGCGCAGTGGCTCACGCCTCACCTGTAATCCCAGCACTTTGGGAGGCCGAGGCGGGCGGATCACGAGGTTAGGAGATCAAGACCATCCTGGCTAACATGGTGAAACCCCGCCATTACTGAAAATACAAAAAATTAGCCGGGCATGGTGGCGGCCGCCTGTAGTCCCAGCAACTCGGGAGGCTGAGGCAGGAGAATGGCGTGAACCCGGGAGGTGGAGCTTGCAGTGAGCTGAGATTGTGCCACTGCACTCCCGCCTGGGTGACAGAGCAAGACTCCGTCTCAAAAAAAAAAAAAAAAAACTATTTCGAACAAAAACCTCAAAAATGAAAAAAAATTTAAAAAAAATTTTTTTTTAAAAAGGACAAGAAACTGGATATTTACTCATTACAAATGAAAAAATAGTAACTTCACAGTGGAAACATGAGACGCCACCTTAACAAAGCGATGCAAGTTAGTATCACCAGCAATGAGATTTATCAACGTCATGTACCTCCCAATCTGACAGACTGAGAAGAGCACAAACTACTTCTATGTTTTTCTTGCCAAAAATGCAAAACCTGAATTTGACTCACAAGGAAATATCAGAGAAACCAAAATGGAGGGACATTCTGCAAAGTAACTGGACAGCACTCTTTAAAAACATTTAGGCCATGAAAGACAGAGAGAATGAGGACCTAAGTGTCCTAGACTGAAGGAAACTAAGAAGACATCACAACTGAATGGAATTTGTGATTCTAGATTGGACCCTGGAGCAGAAAACAGACATTTGTGGGACAAGTGGTATAATATGAATAAGGTCTAATTAGCTCTTAGTCTACACCAACATAAAACCCTGGTTTTGATCATTGTTCTGTCTTTACGTTAAGATGTTAACATTTGAGGAAACTTGGTGAAGGTTATAGGAACTCTACTAATTTTGCAATTTTTTTGAAAAATCTGCAATTATTTCAAAATAAAAAATCAATTCCTCCAAAGCAAATCCAACCCCACAGGATTCTTCATCTCCTTACTCCATCCCATGCAACTCCCTTCTCCCATAACGAGGGAACCCTGCCTCCTAACACCAGCTGTCTTATACGTTAGCTCTATTTTACAATACACAAAATCATCTAAGAATTACTAATACTAAGCCAGTTCTACTACTGACAACAAATCTCACAAATTTTGGCTGTTTTTGTCACCCAGGATGGAGTGCAATGGCGCAATCTCGGTTCACTGCAACCTCTGCCTCTTGCGTTCAAGCAATTCTCCTGCATCAGCCTCCCTAATAGCTGGGATTACAGATGTGCACCACCACACCCGGCTAATTTTGTATTTTTAGTAGAGACGAGGTTTCACCATGCTGGCCAGGATGGTCTCGAACTCCCGACCTCAGGTGATCCACCAGCCTTGGCCTCCCAAAGTGCTGGGATTGCAGGTGTGAGCCACTGTGCCCAGCCGAGTCTACTATTTCTAAAAGTACTTATATCATTTTTTTCTCTGTGGGTTATACATATGACCAATTTAAAATATAATTAGGTTCACCTACTTCAATTGTATTTCTTTTTAAGGCTTGCTTTTTAAAATTCATCTTTGTTGATTTAATTGTTCAAGTCATATATATGTAAAAAGTATACTCTAGTTCTATCAGTTTTATTTATTTATTTATTTAGAGACAGGGTCTTGTTATGTTGCCTGGGCTAGAGTGCAGTGACCATTCACATATGTGATCATAACACAGCATAGCCTCAAACTCCTGGGCTCAAGTGATCTTGCCTCAGCCTACCACGTAGCAGGGACTACAGAGGCACAGGCCACTGTGCCCAGCTCTTTATCTATTTTATTAGGTATATGCATTCAGAATTGTCATATCTTCTGTTGAACCAAAATACTCCCTTTTTATCTCAAATAATGCTTTCTGAGCTGGGCATGGTGGCTCACGCCTGTAATCCCTGCACTTTGGGAGGCCAAGGCAGGCGGGTCACCTGAGGTCAGAAGTTCAAGACCAGCCTGGCCAACATGGCAAAGCCCAGTCTCTACTAAAAATACAAAAATTAGCTGGGTGTGGTGGTGAGCACCTGTAATCCCAGCTACTGAGGAGGCTGAGGCAGGAGAATTGCTTGAACTCGGGAGACAGAAGTTGCAGTGAGCCAAGATCAGCTACTGCACTCCAGCCTGGGCGACAGAGCAAGACTCTGTCTCAAAAAAATAATAATAATAATAACAACAATAATAATGTTTTCTGCCTTAATGTCTATTTAGTTTGATATTAACAGAGCTAAATAAGTTTTTTTTTTTTAATTTGGATATGCATGGTTATCTTTTACTTACAATCTTTATGTATCCTTATATTTAGATGTATTACCCACTAACAGCATATAGCATGCCCAGATTGGTGTTGAAATACTGCTTTCAACTAAAATATAGCAAGGCTCCTTAGAAAACTGTAAGCTCAGTTATGGGATAAAAACAATATATATGATGAACTTGGAACATCTTGTCATAGCACACAGCCTCAGAGCCAACTAGAAGGAGCTGACTGAAATGGACTGAAACACAAGCACACCAATCCATGCACTCATAGTTCTTTTTTAAGCTTACCAGTCACCACTGGCACTTACTAGTGATTTTTTTTTTTTTTTTTTGAGATGGAGTCTTGCTCTGTCTCCCAGGCTGGAGTGCAGTGGCACGATCTCGGCTCACTGCAACCTCCGCCTCCAGGGTTCAAGCGATTCTCCTGCCCCGGCCTCCCTAGTAGCTGGGACTACAGGTATGCGCCACCATGCCCAGCTGATTTTTGTATTTGTAGTAGAGACGGGGTTTTGCCATGTTGGCCAGGCTGGTCTCGAACTCCTGACCTCAGGTGATCTGCCCCTCGGCCTCCCAAAGTGCTGGGATTACAGGCCTGAGCCACCGCACCCGGACTACTAGTGAATTAAACTCGTTATTCTGAAAACTGGTCAAGCAGCAAGTATTTATACTGCCTTTCCTTTATAAACTATGCTACTGAGTAACCAAATAGTAGTAGAGAATTTTCTCTCTAGAGAAGTATTCCAGCTAACATAAAATGATTAAAGTATCACCATTTTGCTCCCTTTAATGAATTAGTGACTAAGTACAAGCAGCTGTGATTATCAGAAAAAGAAACCAGATACCACGTACCTGCTGCTGCTGATGGAACATACCACCAACTATAAAATAGTTTTGCCAAAAACAAGTAACAAAAATTTACCTGAATTGGATCAATCCTCTAGTTCCAGGTATCAATATACAGGAAACACACAGAGGACAGAGACACATTCTAAACACCACCAAGGGGATGCAATATCAGCAAAATCCAGACCATGATTAACTCTATAAAACTAATTTTTCAACAAAAAAATTGCAAGGGAAGAAAATGAGAGAATTCTAGTTTAAAAAGACCTATCAACCAATGCCATTGGGTGGACTACTTTGGATCTTAAGCTGAAAAAAAGTGTTATGAGATAACTGAAAATTTGAACACTGACTGATATGAAGGGATTATTGGTAACTTTTTAGGTATGACTTATTTTTAAGCTCTTATTTTTTAGAGATAGTCACTAACATAGTCACTAACTGAAGATGACATGCAAAACCTCTCCACAGAAAACTATAAAACACTGAGAAAAATTTAACCTAAATAACTGAAGATATATACCTTATTCATGAATTAGAAAGTATTAAAAGTTGTCAATTCTTCCCAAATTTCCACTTCTTTTCCTCTAAAATTTATATGGAAATGCAAAGGGCCAAGAATAGCCAAAGCACTCAAAAAGTAGAGCAAGGTAGGAGGGGTGAGGCGCCGTGGCTCACACCAGCACTTTGGGAGGCCAAGACGGGCAGATAACTTGAGGCCAGGAGCTTCAGACCAGCCTGGCCAATAGGTGAAACCCCGTCTCCACTAAAAATACAAAAATTTGCCAGGCATAGTGGTGCACACCTGTAGTCCTAGCTACTCGGGAGGTTGAGGCAGGAGAATTGCTTGAACCCGGGAAGCAGAGGTTGCAGTGAGCCAGGATCGCGCCACTGCACTCCAGTCTGGGCGACAGAGCAAGATTCCATCTCAAAAAACAGAACAAACAAAACAAAACAAGGTAGGAGGACTTGCTCTGTGAGTTATTAAAACTTCTTATAAAGCTAGATTAAGTAAACAATGTGATATGAGCCCAAGGGTAGGCAAATGATCTCAAGAAGAACAGACTGATGCCCAGACATTAAGTGGACTCCAGACGCATGACAAACATAGCAGTGCAGTGAAGCACAAATGGTCTTTCAATAAATAGTACTGGGATAATCAGACCTCTACTTGGGGGAAAAAAAAAAAATGGAACCCAACCCACATGCCTCAGTCAGAAACAAAACAAGAAAGCTTCTAGAAAAGGGGTTCCCAAATTTCCTCTGTAAAGGGCCAGATAGGCTTGTGGGGCCACACATAATGCCTGTTACATACTCTTTTTTATAGAGCTTTAAAAACGTAAAAACCAGCTGGGCGAGGTGGTTCACACCTGTAATCCCAGCACTTCAGAAGGCTGATGACACAGGAGGATCACTTGAGACCAGGAGTTTGAGATCAGCCTGGGCAACGGCACAAGACCCCATCTCTATATTTAAGAAAGAAAAAAAAAAGGGGGAACATAAAAAATGTACCCTAGGGCAATACAAAATCAATACATGGGGTAGGTGGATCTGCGAGCTGTAGTTTGCTAACCTTTGTTCTAGAAGGTAAGAGAGATCCTGATCCATGGGTGATGGGGGTGGGGGCAAAGGAAGGCAAGAGAATGTAATTTGCAACCTGTAGCAGAGAAAGATTTCTTACTCTTCATTTAAGAAACGGGACACAGAGCACTGACAATAAAAGACTGATGTATTTACTATGTTCAAATAAGCAATTCTCAATAAGAATGAAAAAGAAATTTTTAAGACATCACTAAAAAGAGTCAGTATGTAAGTCAAAGTGAGGAAATGACTTCTACCCAGATTATATAAAGAACTCCTACAAATCAACTGAAAAAAAGACAACAGAAAATGACCAAAAGCCTTGAACAGGCACTTTCCAAAAGAGGTTACTGAGACAGCTACTAAATATGTGAAAAGATGCTCAATCTCCCTAATGAGGACATTACAAAAGCCCACAAAACACCATCAATACACACAGCCCAACAGCTAAAAATCTCAAAACAATCTATACAAATGTGTTGCTGAAGACACAGAAAAATGCAACTTCTCATATACTGCTGGTGGAATATAATTTTGTACAATAGGCTTGGCATTATTTACTGAAGTTGAACTTATACACACCCTAATATTCCACAATCTACTTCTGGATATAAACTTAACAAAAATGCATTCAGAAGAACACTAAGAGATACATGGGTGATCATAGTAGCATTATTCATAACATGCTGTGCAGAAAAGAGTTAACATAGCAGGCATGCTATCCTTCAAAAGACCTGCTTGCGAGGCTGCCCCTTGGCTGGTATCTAGGAACTTAGATTTTAGGACAGTTCTCATCATTCCCTAATAAAAATGGCTCACTGTTACTAAACCATGTGTGAAAATGATAAGTTCCTGCCAAACATCCGCTTTCTTTCTGCTTTGTGGCTATTGCATCTCAATGTACAGCTGACAATTGAACATGAGTTTGAAGTGCACAGGTCCACTAATTCATAGATTCTTCTCCATCTCTGCCACTCCTGAGAGAGCAAGACAAATCCCTCCTCCTCTTCATCTATCTACTGAGTGTGACGATGATAAAGATGTAGACCTTTATGATGATCCGTTTCACTTAATGAATAAATATATCTTCTCTTCCTTATGATTTTAGTTTCTTTTCTTTAGCTTTATTGTAAGAATACAGTACATAATACATGTAACATATAATTGTAGTTGTTGTTTTTTGTTTTTGTTTTGTTTTGTTTTTGAGACAGTCTCTGTGCCAGGCTGGAGTGCAGTGGCGCTATTTCGGCTCACTGCAAACTCCACCTCCCTGGTTCAAGTGATTCTCCTGCCTCAGCCTCCCAAGTAGCAGGGACTACAGGCACCCGCCACCATGCCTGGCTAATGTTTGCATTTTTAGTAGAAACGGGGTTTCACCATGTTGGCCAGGACGGTCTCGATCTCTTGACCTGGTGATCCCCGCCCGCCTCGGCCTCCCAAAGTGCTGGGATTACAGGCATGAGCCACCGCACCCAGCCTCATTTTTTTTTAAGCACATCTACAGAGGAGGATGGATGGGGGTTGGGGGTAAAAAGAGGACTTATTCATTTTATTTTAAAGAGTTCTGAATGTTTGGTGTATTTATAACTAGTATATAAAAGTGGTATGTGGTTCGGATCAATCATGAAATGAAAAGACAGATGCCAGGAAGATTTACTCAGAATCTGTAAAGACTATTATGCAACACCCCCACCAAATCCCTCCACTCACCCTCTCTCCCATTCCCAGCCCCCACTGACAATTCAGCCTGTAGTATTCTAACTACAGAGTGGGGAAAAAAATCATAAATTTTACATTCATAATTGTTCCAGTAACTATCCTCATTAAGACTTTAAGCATATTCTAAGAAGTCACAAATTTAGCTTAGAAAATTTGTGTCCCCCTAAATTCAAATAATGCTATCTCCTCTTAATTAGAAATCTCCAATTATTATATCATATATTCCAAGTTGCGTAAGAAAAAACTTACCTGCAAACTCCCAGTATTTTATATAATCGGCAGGAAATTTTCGTACTTGCAACTGATAGAAATTCTCTCTATTTGGAGAGTTGAGCCATTCTTGTGCCACCTATACAAAGCACAAAAGCAAATTAAGAAAGCAACATTCTGGAAAGTGATGCTAAATAGTAACATTTTCCAAAGTTAAGCAACAGTAAAATCCAGAAGCTAGAATCTAGGTGACAAAAACTAAAAATTGATTCACGGCAGGTTAATACAATTATCTGGAACTGTCCTGCCCAATTCAGTAGCCACTAGCTACATCTGGTTATTTACATTTAATAAAAATGTTAAAAAATAAAAATTCTGTTCTTCAAACTAGTCACACTTGCAGTGCTCAACAGCCACCTGTGGCTGCTCCGCTGTGGGCAGATGTGGAGCATTTCCAGCAGTGCATAACGTACTGCTGGACAGCTCCGGTAGAATGCTACTTCCCAACCAGATCAGCTAGCTCACAAGTCCAAAAGGACCTAGATTTGTGGCAGACCTTAGGGATTTCTCACCAACATGTCATCCTGCCAGTTTATAAAATGCTCTATACCCATCTCCCAGTCTGTCAAAGCTCCAAACTCAGAAGTACCCTTAAGGATCTTCTGAGAAATAAGACTATTCCCAATCCCAAATTTAGGAAGACTACTAGTATAAAAAAGTCATATTAGCTTTCACTTTTTAAAAAACTAACAAATATATTACCTTTTGGGCCCTAAGGAGGGTTTTGTCTAAATGTAACAGTTAGTCATTAAGTATTTAAATCAACAAATAGTCTTTCAGTTCCTCTGAAGAAACTTATCCTCAAAGACTATTGGTGTTGAACTGCTTCTGCACTGGTTAACCAACCAAGACTCCACAAGGGTTATGCTATGGACAGGGGAACAAAACAATACTGAATCTGTGTTATCTGCTAGTAAGGTCAGACTCTGGACCATGATAGTCATGATCAGTTTGTATCACCCAGAATACCCTACAGTAAGGCAACTCCATAGAATCATCATCAAAAGTGCATTTTATGTTCACAGCATTATTTACAATCACCAAAATGTGGAAACAACCCAAATGTCCATCAGTTGGTGAATGCATAAACAAATGTAATATATCCATACAATAGAATCTCATTTGGCAATAAAAAGCCATGGCCTATTAATACATGCTACAAGGATAGGCCTCAAAAAGATTACATGGAGTGAAAGGAGCCAGATTCAAGAGACCACATATGTACACTTCTATATACATGACATTTCCAGAAGAGGCAGATTTATAGACAGACGAGAGATTAGTGTTTGACTCGGGCTAGTGGTAGGAATGAAGAATGACTACCAATGGGCAGAAAGGATTGTTTTAGGTCAACAGAAATGTTCTAAAACTGGGTTGTGGTGATGGCTATACAACTATAAATTTACTTAAAAAAACCATTCAATTATACACCTTAAAAGGGTATATTTTATGGTATAGTATACCTTAATAAAGCTGTTAAAATGCATCCTAGTGTGTACAACAAAGATAAAAAAAATGGATCACTAAAATTTTATCACAAGAGATTTACCTGAGAGTACCTAGAAGATCCTAGATAGTTCCCATCTTGGAAAAAGGAGGGCAGATACTTTTAGTTTGAAATTATTTGGGCCTAATATTAACTTCTACAGCAACCCCAGGAGCCAGAGATTAAGTGGATCTCTTATAGTCAAGCTACAATGACCGATTAATGATAGCTGAAATTCTGGAGCTATCAAAGAGAAACTTAGCTAGGTAAAAAGTCCTAATTAACATATACTCAATATACTACATAATTCACAGGTTTGTGTATTTGATGCAGTTACAGGTTTATCTGTTTCATAACTCATGTGGCCTTGGGAAATTAAGAAATCATAAATTGCATGAGCTAGTAGTTTCACACTAAATGAAATAACTTCAAAGTACAAACAAGTGTATGTTTGTGGTCCATCAGAGCATTATCAAAGTTAAAAGTAATCAACCAGGTTCAGAGGATGAAAAATCATGCAGATGGTTAGAAAACATACTCCTTTCAAAAGGTGTCAGCTGCTGTAAAAAAAAAAACAATAAAAAGAAAACAAGCTCCCTGAACATAAGAACATTTAGAATACACTGAACAGAGATGAATATACAATGTGGCCTTCCAAGTTTTTTGGTTTTTTTTTTTGTTTTTTGAGATGCAGTTTCAGTCCTATTGCTCTGGCTGGAGTGCAATGGCACCATTTCCGCTCACTGCAACCTCCGCCTCGTGGGTTCAAGCGATTCTCCCGCCTCCGCCTCCCATTAGCTGGGAATACAGGCATGCGCCACCATGCCCAGCTCACTTTTTTTTTTGGAGACAGAGTTTCGGTCTTGTTGCCCAGGCGGGAGTGCAATGGTGCGATCTCGGCTCACCACAACCTCCACCTCCCAGGTTCAAGTGATTCTCCTGCCTCAGCCTCCCAAGTAGCTGGGATTACAGGCGCCCACCACCACGCCTGGCTAATTTTGTATTTTTAGTAGAGACAGAGTTTCTCCATGGTCAGGCTGGTCTTGAACTCCTGACCTCAGGTGATCCACCTGCCTCAGCCTCCCAAAGTGCTGGGATTACAGGCATGAGCCACCGTGCCCGGCCCACATTTTGTATTTTTAGTAGAGACAGCGTTTCACCATGCTGGCCAGCTGGTCTCAAACTCCTGACCTGAGGTGATCTACCCACCTCGGCCTCCCAAAGTGCTGGGATTACAGATGTGAGCCACCAAGCCCGGCTAGCTTTCCAAGTATTAAAGGTCAGTGGTAATAATGTAACAATCTCATAAAGCACTATCACTTCAAAGAAGCAAACTATGTTCCTTTTCTTCCCACTCCAGACATGAACGACAGATATCCAGTTAGGCCTCATCTTCAAAGGAGGTCTGAGTTCTCTTTTTTCCCAGTAACTAAGAATAGATTATTCTACAAAACTGGAGGTTCCTAATAATTTAGTAATTTAACATTTTTCAGATCAAATAGTTGAATATTATGTTTTGATAAAAATACTTCCACATAGACTAAATACACTGTTTGGTTATAATGAGGTTTCTTTTTTGTGTGTGTGACCCCAAGAAAATTCTCTTTAAAAAAAATTATTATTATTATTATTATTTTATTGTGTTTTTTTTTTTTTTTTTTTTTTTGGAGACAGGGTCTTGCTCTGTTGCCCAGGCTGGAGTACAGTGGCACGATCTCAGCTCACTGCAACCGCCACCTCCCGGGTTCAAGCAATTCTCCTGCCTCAGCCTCCTGAGTAGCTGGGATTACAGGCACGTGCCACCACGCCCGGCTAATTTTTGTATTTTTAGTAGAGACAGGGTTTCACCAAAGTTGGCCAGGCTGGTCTCAAACTCCTGACCTCAAGTGATGATCCGCCTACTGTGGCCTTCCCAAGTGTTGGGATTACAGGCGTGAGCCACTGTGCCTGGCCAAAATATTACATTATTAAAACAACAGCTGTTTCACTGGGGAAAAGAAGTTCCTGCAGCACTGGCTCCCAATAACCAAGACTGTCCTTGACTTACATAAGACAGCCAAACACAAACCCCAAAACAGACAAAGCAACTGACATTCATCTCCATGTCCTGTCCCCTTTCAATACAAAAGTCTAAGGCAAACTCACTGATTTCTGTCCTGGAGCCCTCTTCCTTTGAGGACTTAAACTCCTAGAGTTATCCATTTTCTTGCATCAATTTCTTCCTGCCCATTGCTCATTCCCATCAGCATACACACTGAATTCGCTCTAAGAACACTCTGCCACCAATAAACAAAACCCTTCCTTGTCTCCAAATGACCATTCAGCTTAGTGCCCCCTTTTTCCTGCTCCCAATCAATATGTATGTTTTCAAAACACTCCTTCCACTCACTTCTTTGTACATCTGGTTTCCAACTTAACCACTGCTGCACAAAAATTGTCCACCCATCAAACTCAATGATGACCTCCTTGCTGTTATTCTTCCTTACCCATCTCAGGTAGAGCTAATCCAAATCTCCGGTTCGTGATGCAGTGTCAGGAGTCTATGCAAGGCCCTCATCATTTGATTTCTCCTTCGTCCCTGATTCCACTTCCATGACAACCTCCACCCTAGGTATCCACTACAGCTGTGTTAGTATAACCGAAAAATCCAGAAGGGGGGTGTGTGAGAGATTTAGACAAATGGTAATCTACCATAAACTAGGTGTTTTGTTTTTTCAACCAACTTTTAAGTCTTCTGGGACTGACTCACATAGTACTCTTTAGTATGTAATGGCTTCATTTTACTCATCCATCCTTTTAACCAGCTCCAACTCTATATCCTATAAATGACATCCTAAGACATAGAACCCTCATAGACAGGCGTGTATATGTTCTTCTGACGAGGCTACGCAGGAATAAGACTGCTAGATCATAAAGGATCACAAACTTTTGCTCACCTGTTATTTTAACTTCCTTTCCTCCTTTCAGTAACACTTCATATACTTATTACCACCAAGTTTTCTGCAAACTATTTGTTGTCCATCTTCTACTGATTTCCCTGTTTTTTGCTGTCGATTTACAAAAGTGCTTTGTGGGTTTTAGCTACTAATCTCTTGCCAGTTTAGGAATGTTTTAAAACTCTCTTCTTCACATCTGTTAACTCCAAATATAGAGTCCTTCACTAAAAAGACATTAACTTTGACAGAATAAAATCCATTAATATTCATTAATCCATTAATGTGGCTAATGCTTTTTATGTTTTTATGATTACCTTCATCACCTAAACTGACATTTTGATATTTTCTTCGTTTAGTTTTACTTTCCAAACATATGTGATTTAACCAAAGTTTATGTGCTATAAAGTACGAATCTTAGCCTAATTTGCTTTTTCCCCAATGAAGCAGGCCAGTTTCCTCTAACGATCCATCCTTTCCCCACTGATTTGTGATGTCCTATTTATCTCGTTTTATCTAAGATTGACACATATGCAAGAAGGAGTTCCTTCTTAGGAGCCAAAGGGTCTCCCACTGTTTCTCCGGGTATCCGCCTGCCCCGTGCCACTCTCGTATGTGTCTATTACTATGGCTTTGAAACAGCTTCGTAGCAGATAAAGCAACTATCATTCCCCCCATGCCCTAGTTATGCTGTTCTTTTCAAAGTGACTTTATTATAATAGATTTTGCTTTTCCTTACAAATTATAAAATAAGCCTATCAATCACCTCAAAACAATCCTGCTGGGATTTTAACTTGAACTACATCAAATTTATAAATGAATTCAGAAAGAAGTCACATCTTTACAATGTGAAGCTATCACATCCATGAACATAGCGCTCTCCATTTTGAACAAGACTAAACATCTTCCTTTATCACCTTTAAAATAGTTGTAAAGTGTTTTCCATAAGTGTCTCATGCATTCATCATTAGACTAGTTACTAACAGGTGTGCAGTTCCAGTTCCTGTGCTATCTTCTTCCATGTTTCCTAACTGGCTACTGCTGCCACAGGGACACTACGTATTTTTTTGCACATCCATCTTGTGCCCAAATATGGATGCTGCTGGGGTTTCTGTGTAGGTCATCTGCAAATGATCAGAATCGTGTCTCCTCCAATTATTTCATTGCTCCATTTTTGTCATTTTAATGAACTGTATCACTGAATATCTGTAGCAGCTGTCATCTACAACTGTTCCATCAATTGTTGCTTCGTACATTTTGAAATTATTATATACATACATGTTCACAATCAATTATATACGCTTGGGTAACTGTTCCTTTCACTGATATCTAGTGTCTTTGCCCCTCTGAATTGTTCTCATGTTAAAGTAAATGTTGATTGTAAAAGTGCAACTCCAGCTTTCTTTGGTTCATGTTTGTTTGCCGTATCATTTTCCTTTTTTTTTTTAAAGGGACAGGGTCTCACTTTGTTGTCCAGGCTGGTCTCAAGCTCCCAGGCTCAAACGATCCTCTGGCCTCTGCCTCCCAAAATGCTGGTATTACAGGCATGAGCCACTGTACCTGGCCATCTTTTTCCATTCTTTCATCTTAAACCTTTCTAGCTTTTTTTTATTTCTGGCAGGTAACATTGTTCCTGGAACTTATGATTTTAAATACATTCTAAAGGTCTCAATATAACTGCTTATGTATACACTTATTCAGTTATATTCCCTTGGCATTAAAAGCCCTCTCAATCTCAACTCTCAACTCCTTCTCCATTTCTAAGAAAATCTTGGTCTTAATTTATCACTTTTTTCTCTCCGAGATCCTTATTACACATATATTAACACTTCTCTATCCACTTTATTGCTTTTTCTTGTCTATTTTCTGCTTCTATCCTTTCGTGATAACTTGTGGGAGATCTGAGTGGACATTCTAGCTTGCCTACACGTTCTTCAGTTGTATCCACATACTATCCACTCCATTTCCTGAGTTCTCTAATGATTGTGTCCTCTATCCCCAACTAGCTCCTGTTTGTTGTTCTTTATGGTTTCTCCTTCTTGCTTCATGTTTCTAGCATGCTCTATTTTTTCGAGAATATTTAATATGCTTATAGCTAAATTTTATTCTGACTATTCCAATAATTTTGCTTTACCTGCTCCATGTTGTTCGGTTTGTTACTTTTCTCTTATAGTGACTACACTCCAGACAGGAAATGCAGATGTTCCCCTCTGAATTCATACTCCCCAGGGAGACCAGGCACATCAGCTACAAAGGAACACTGCAGGAACAAGGGGCTACAGCCTAGCATCACCTAGCTTTTGTATCTCTACTGATGAGTAGGGTAGAGAGTCATGGGGATACAACTCTGGGAGTAAGCATTTCAGTATTACAATCTCTAAGTCTACCCTGATACTTACCTTTCTGAATTCTCACTTCCTTGGTTACAATAATTCAGCCCTAGGGATGGGAGGGAACAAGTGAACTTTCAAGAACCAAGCAATCCAACTATATCCACTGTTAGTTATTCCTCACAGGAGCTGGGATACAATGCCACTCTAATGCTACCCACTGCAGACATGAGCTAGTTCCAACTTTTCTGCCCTGCACCACAAGGTAACATAAGGGTAGTACTCTAGCCCAGGGTAATGAGGGGAAGAAAAAAGGGGGAAAACCTAAGAAATTCTTTTCTACTTTAATTCCCATCTATAGGAATTCTAGTCTGCTCTACTTACTATTTCCTTCCCATCCCAAGAACCCAATCACATCCTAGGCTGCCGCACAGTTTCTCACAATATGTATCAGTTTAACATCTTCAACTACACTCCCTGGCTTCAGCAATGTCACTCCCAAAAGAGAGGGCCATTAGCCCGTGATCATTTGACATCAAGTAAACAGCATCACAATCTAACCAGATGCTTAAGCCAAAAACTTCAGAATCATCCTCCCTTCTTAACTCCCACATCAGTTCTATCACCAAGTCTTCTAAGTACTCTCTCCAAAATTTACCCCCAATATATTGAATTCCTCTCCATTTCTACAGCTCCCACCCAAATCAAGCCACCATCACCTTTCTCCTGGGCTACTATAGTAGCCCCTTGACTGGTCAACTGCATTTATGCTTACCTTTCTAAAGATTACTCTCCACAGCAACAGCAAATGGTGTGTAAAAAACGTAAACTGGTTACTATTACTATTCCCCCAGTCTAAATGACCAACCAAATAAAAATCTTTCAGTACCTTCTCACTGAACTGAGAATGAAATATCAACCTGCAGCTTACAGCGCTGTATCTGGCTCTCATTTCTCCAATCTTATTTCATTTCTCTTTACCCCTTATCAGCTACTTCACTTCGGCCATACCAGCCTAATCTCTTTCTTCGTTAAGACTCAGTTCCCATCTCATGGCATTACATTCTTGACATTCCACCCCACCTCCTGAACAATACTTTCTTCTTCTGGATGTCAGCCAGGTCTCAAGAGCAGCCTCCCAATATTGCCACTCACAACAATTCATCATTTCTGCCTATTTGTTTCCTTCACAGAACTGATTACAATCTGAAATTAGCCAAAGCATCCATAGCCATACCACCCTAAATTCACCCAATCTTGTCTGAAATTAGCCACAGAAATAGAGCCATCTCCCTACTGGGCACTGAGAATCCAAGTTAGTGCCTAATGGTACTAAGTTAGTGTCTAAGGGTACTCCTTGCCTGCCTGCTCCCTGTCCATGCAACCTACAATGACCTCTACACAGGAGAGGCAACAGTAGAGGACTGCAGATAACAGAAAGCATATCTAAGTTTTAAAATAAAAGAGCATTTGCCACAACTGACTGCAAAAAATTGGCCCCTGGCAAAACAGTGCACATGTATCCAATTAACACTTTTATGTGTTAAATACAAGGATTAAAAAAAAAATTCTTCTTCCCGTCACATCAATATACAAAAGACTCATTTCTAAAAGTTGAATCTGTTCTCATTTGTCTTTCGTAAGAGATAATTCTACGTAATGTCACTACATTCCACTTGCAATAAAACATAACCAAATAATTAAATCTATGTTTCAGGTTCTAAATAGGATATAAACCAAATTTGGTAACCCCAAAAAAAAAGTCTAGGCCGGGCGCAGTGGCTCACGCCTGTAATCCCAGCACTTTGGGAGGCTGAGGCGAGCAGATCACAAGGTCAGAAGATTGAGACCATCCTGGCTAACACAGTGAAACCCCGTCGCTACTAAAAATACAAAAACAAAAATTAGCCAGACGTGGTGCCGGACGCCTGATGGCGGGCGCCTGTAATCCCAGCTACTCGGGAGGTTGAGGAGGGAAAATGGTGTGAACCCGGGAGGCAGAGCTTGCAGTGAGCCAAGATCGCACCACTGCACTCCAGCCTGAGCAACAGAGCGAGACTCCAACTCAAAAAAAAAAAAAAAAAAAAAAAAACTAAACAAGGCACCTTAATACCACCAATAATTATTGGCCTGTATAAACCAGAAATGCTTAAATAAGACGGTTGAAATCGTATGGTTAAAAAGAAAGGTGTAACTTCAAAGTAGATTGAACACACACCATTTCCTTCCCTCCTGAAACCCCACTAAAACACCAAAGAGATTTTAAAAAACAGCATTGACCAATTAGAACAAAAAGGACAGAAGAGGAGACAACAGTAACCACACTTTGGAAGCTGCAAAGCAGAGGGATGAATGGAACTAACTCAGCAAGCCCAAGAACGTGAACTCCAACTGGGAAGCAACAGCTCTCTCTAGAAGGATGGCTGGAGGGCAACTGTTCCTCCCTGGTCCCAGCAAAAAATGACAAGAGATTTTGTCTCTAGAGAGGATAAGCAGTCTCTGACCTTGAGGACAGCAAGGATGAGGATGAGATAGTAGTAAATGTTTACACACTGAATGCTCCAACACCTCTCCTCCGTCCCCCACTCCTACCCAGCCCTCTTCCCACACTCAGCTCCCTGCCACGCCTACATTTCCCAGGTAAAATATGTGACGATTCTTTTTTGGGAACTGAGACCTGACAGGAAAAATAAAGACTAAAGACATTGGGAGGCCGGGCGCGGTGGCTCACGCCTGTAATCCCAGCACTTTGGGAGGCCAAGGCGGGTGGATCACCTGAGGTCAGGAGTTTGAGACCAGCCTGACCAATATGGCAAAACCCCACCTCTACTAAAAACACAAAACTTAGGGCTGGGCGCGGTAGCTCACACCTGTAATCCCAGCACTTTGGAAGGCCGAGGTGGGTGGATCAAGATGTCAGGAGATCGAGACCATCCTGGCCAACATGGTGAAACCCCGTCTCTACTAAAAAATACAAAAAATTAGCCAGGCATGGTGGCAGGCACCTATAGTCCCAGCTACTTGGGAGGCTGAGGCAGGAGAATGGCATGAACCCAGGAGGCGGAGCTTGCAGTGAGCTGAGATCATGCCACTGCACTCCAGCCTGGGCAACAGAGCGATACTGTCTCAAAAAAAAAAAAAAAAAAACTACAAAAAAAAAAACCCACAAAAATTAGCCGGGTGTGGTGGTGTGCACCTGTAGTCCCAGCTACTCAGGAGGCTGAGACAGGAGAAATGCTTGAACCCAAGAGGCAGAGGTTGCGGTGAGCCGAGATCGTGCCACTGCACTCCAGCCTGGGCAACAGAGTGAGACTCCGTCTGAAGAAAAAAGAAAAAGAAAAAGAAAAAAAGACATTGATTGACATAATGGTGGGGTGGGGCTTCCTAATGAAGTGCCAATGGTCAACAAGCCCACCCTTTCACTCAGAGCTTCTGGTGTTTTCATCTTTTATATATATAACAAAATACAGATTATAACTGCACCTAAGCACAAAACCTTACCATGAAGAATGAAACTAATGCTGGGTTTTACCCTGCTATGGCGCCCTTCAGATCACGTTTGCCTTCCAGAGTGCAACCATAAAGAGGCTCGTTTTTGTAAAAGTATCTGAAGATTTCATGTTTTCCTAGGCATCTTTTTTAACCTATTGCTAATCAAATTTATTCTCTTTTTAAAGTAATATTTTTTAAATGGAGACGGTATTTCATACAACATAAAACTCACCATTTTAAAGTGTACGTCTCAGTGGTTTTTAGTACTATGGTTTTATTTACTATGCTGTGCAACCATCACCACTACCTAATTCCGCACCATTTCCATCACCCCAAAAGAAACACTGTACCTATCAGCAATCCCAATTCCCCCCTCCTTCCTTCCCCTGACTACTACTCATCTTTCTGTCTCTACAGATTTGCCTATTCTGGACAATACATATGAACGGAATCATATAATATGTGACCTTCTGTCCCTGACTTATTTCACTTAGCACAATGTTTTCAAGGTTCATTAGTGAACACAGATCTTCACTTCTTTTTATGGCTGAATAATATTCCATTCATTGTATGAACAGACCTGTTTATCCATTCATCAACTGACACACATTTGGGTTGTTTCCACTTTTTGGCTACCATGAATAATGTTCCAATCTACTCTTTAGTTTCCTGTTCTTAAATGTGAGTAGACCACCAGAAATCATTACCACCTGAAAAAAGGAATTAACAGAAAGGACTATAAACACTAAAATGAACAGGAAAAACCAACTGGGGAAACACGAACCATGCAAAAAGAGAAAAACTTTTAGCTAACTTTAAAATTATCATAAACTTTAGCTAATAAAAAATACCACATCCATGAAATAGAATAAAGGACTATTCAGAGAACAAGAGTTCCAGGAAACTAAAAATACGCTAAAAAGGATTCAACGGACTTAGGAGAAAAGTTGAGGTGGCCTCCAAGAAAGGATAACAAAAAGAAAATGAGATGAAAGATAGAAAAAATTAAAGAAAATGAGAAGATTAAAGAAATTCTAAGACATGCAAGATTTCAAAAATGTACCTCTCATATATCCTCTTCTCTGGAAGCCTGAAGGACAGGCCTCGCTAACATGAGTAACCAAGAAAGATGACGGGGGTGGAGGAGATACAGACCCAACCCAAGGATAAGGACTACTATTTCAGGAATATCATCATGCACCACACACAGAACAAATTTATAGATTAACTAACGTACCTGATCATGAGCGATTTAAACATTCAAGAAAAGACATCCTGGCATTAATTTAGTGATAAGTAGAAAATTAAATAAACATATAAAACAATAAATCCAAGGAAAACACAGAGTTTGGAAGGAAATGGAAAGGCAATTACAGCATACTACATGGCTTAGCTGAAGATATCTTTCACATAGTCAAAATAACAAAAATGGATCTAAAAATTTCAAGACAATCCCATAATGAGGGTGAGGGAACAGGAAGAGTGTGTGCAAGGGTTGGGCTGGAAATGGGGGTAGTTCCTGAAGCAGGAAACAGAAACGCCTAAAACTGAAAAATCAAGGAGTTACAATATGGACATGTTATTCAGAAATATGGAAGGAAGGCCAGGCGGGATGGCTCACGCCTGTAATCGTAGCACTTTGAGAGGCAAAGGCAGGTGGATCACTTGAGCCCAGTAGTTTGAGACCAGCCTAGGCAACATGGGAAAAACTCTGCCTCTACTAAAAATACAAAAATTAGCTGGACATTATGGTGTGAGCCTGTAGTCCCAGTTATTCAAGAGGCTGTGGTGGAAGGACTACCAGAGGCCAAGAGGTTGAGGCTGCAGTGAGCCATAATTGTGCCACTGTACTCCAGCCTGGGGGACAGGAGTGAGACCCTGTCTCCAAAAAAGAAAAAAAAAAGATAAAAATGGAAAGAAATTTCCAAAGGACTCATTAAGAATAGAAAATAGTTACTTGAGGGGATGAGGGGTGCCTGATGTTCTTTATAATGGGCCAGATAGAAATCTTTGACTATTTTAAACTCTGTATATGTACAAATGGAACTTGTGCTCATTCTGTTTTTAAAAAGCTGAGACTACAAAAATGTCCTGAAGGAAATAAATCTTAATAAATATCTTTTAACTCAGGAAATGAAAGTAAGTGTCTACCCTTCATAGGGTTATGAATGGCTTCTAAGCAATTTAGTGCTTTCCAGCGAAAATAAAGCAACTCCTGCTAAAACAAAAGTACCTTAGGAAAAAAAAATAATAAAGCAACTCTCAAAAATGGCTAAAATTTGAGGTACGAATTGATCAAAAGATTTAACATAAAGTACATTGATGAAGATACGTTCACTCAAGCTTTATAAAAGCCATTTATCTTGCCATGTACAGTGTTAACAACTCACTTCTCTTCTTTTGTAGTAGACTTGTCCCTTTGTACATTACACTTCCTTCCCCAACACTCCAATCTTGTTACCAGACTGTCTTTGCACTCCACTCTGCCTGTAACATACTTCCCACAGTTAACTCCTAGTCACTTGGGTCTCAGTGTAAATATCATCTGCTCATAGAGGTTATCTGATCTCTCCAGAAAGTGCCCTGTCCCCTTTGTTCTAGATCATACTAGAGTCCTTATCTCAATCCCAAATGGTCACTTCCAGAGAGCAGAGACCTCACACCTGTCTTGTTCACCACTTTATCTCCCATGCTTGTAAGAGCACTTGGCACATACTAGGCACTCAAATATCTATCAAGCTAATGAACCATGACTATTTACCTCAACATTGTTGGTTTTAAGAGTATTACTGTATACACGAAAGTTTCTTTTGAGGATTAACTAAAAATTTGCTCCCACTTCTTACCTGCCTTGAAAACACACACACAAAAATCCTTCTAAACGCAGTTGAATGCTTACACTAAAGAATTATTTGATGTTTTTCTCAAATTTTAACGGGAATCTTATCGTTTGTCAACTCTACTTGAGTAAGGAGGAGAGAAGAACCAGAATAGGATGTGCTGGGGTTGGGGAGGCTGTTACACAGAGCAGCTGCTGTGATGAGTAAGAAACTGGCGGCCAGACGCAGTGGCTCACGCCTGTAATCCCAGCACTTTGGGAGGCCAAGGCGGGCAGATCACAAGGTCAGGAGATTGAGACCATCCTGGCTAACATGGTGAAACCCCATCTCTACTAAAAATACAAAAAATTAGCCGGCCGTGGTGGCGAGAGCCTATAGTCTCAGCTACTCGGGAGGCTGAGGCAGGAGAACAGCCTGAACCCGGGAGGCAGAGCTTGCAGTGAGCCGAGATTGCACCACTGCACTCCAGCCTGGGCGACAGAGCGAGACTCGTCTCAAAAAAAAGAAAAAAGAAAAAAGAAAGAAAGAAACTGGGAAGTCTGACGTGTAGGGAAATTTAGGATTCATTACTTTGTGTTCAATGTAATTCACCCTTTGCCACCTCCTCAAGAAAACTACAGCAGAGGTCTCTTACTTAAAAACAAAACAAATGCACATGGGAAACTATCTCCTCTGAGAAGTCTTCCTTTACCCGTGCGTCAATAAACATTTCCTTCTGTGTTACCTCTGCACTTGGTATATTAGCACCCTGAGTTGTGTCTATCAGCTCCAAGGAGCAGAGTTTCCAGCCAGGCACAGTGGCTCATGCCCGTAATCCCAGCACTTTGGGAGGCCGAGGCTGGTGGATCACCTGAGGTCAGAATCAGAAGTTCAAGACCAGCCTGACCAACATGGTGAAACCCCTTCTCTACTAAAAATACAAAATTAGTGAGGCCTGGTGGCGCAGGCCTGTAATCTCAGCTACTTGGGAGGCTGAGGCAGGAGAATCACTTGAACCTGGGAGGCAGAAGGTTGCAGTGAGCAAAGATCGCACCATTGCACTCCAGCCTGGGCAGCAAGAGCAAAACTCCACCTAAAAAAAAAAAAAAAAAAAAGTGTTTCCTCTGTATTGCCAGTATCTAAAACAGTGGCTGGCACAAATGTCTGTTCAACATGAAATCTAAAACCAGTATCTAAATCGAAACGGTCAATTTTAATTTAACTATACTTTTTTTTGTTTTTTCTTTTGAGACAGAGTCTCACTCTGCCGCCCAGGTTGGAGTGCAGTGGCGCGACCTCGGCTCACTGCAACCTCCGCCTCCTGGGTTTAAGCAATTCTCTGCCTCAGCCTCCCGAGTAGCTGGGATTACAGGTGCCCGCAACCACGCCTGGCTGATTTTTTGAACTATACTCTCATTTTCACTCAGCAAGGTAAAGAGGTAACTTGAAAAGTTTGGAGAGGCATACAAATGAAACACATACTTACTGTTTCAAAAGTATTCAATACCATCAAAGGGAAAAAAACATTAAAATAATCTCCATAATTGTGAAATCTGACAGGCACAGGTCTTGAGATGGACTGACAAAGACTTGCAGGGGGCCCACACTGACCAAAGTTCAAAAACATTTCATATTTCCATTTTAAGACCTCTTTAACGAAGGTGTCAGAGACAGACTGTGATGACAAAAGAATGTTTACTGGAGAGGAAGATGGAAAATATTTGCTTTCACCAAATGGAACTTTGCAACCTTGCCTGTTGGAATTATTCGGAGACTGAGGATGAAGAACATTGCACGAATTCTTCATTTCACCAACTGGCTTCTGAGCTATGAGGGGAACTGGCTGTGGTACTTTCAAAATCGACTGTATCCCCTTTGACTTATTTTTTAGAGACGGTGAAAGTGCTGAAGAAGTTTCCAAAGATTTAGAAAGACCAGCAATTCGTGAAGTACTCTTTGAGCTAAAAATCTTAGTGGTAGGTCTCAAAGGTTTAGATGCAGGAGGAGGCAAGCCAGGTTTACGAAATACATCTTCATCTGCTGCTTTCACTTCAGAGTGTTTTGGGCAGTATTCACCCTGGTTTTTTGTGGTTTCAAGACAATCTTTGTACTTACACTTTGTGCCACTCAAAGATTCCAACTGAGGCCGACTTACAGAATCTTCTTCAACCTCAACTGTATCTTTTCCATGAATTAGTTCAATGAGTTTATAATTGTCATTCTCCATTTGTGAACATAAATCCATATCTTCAGGATCATTTTGGGTTAAAAATAAGTTATCTTCCTCTGCATCACTGCTGGAGTCAGGCTCTCCTTCTTTCAAAGCTGCCATCTCTATATGACGTGCTGTTGGATCACCTCCACCCAGAGGGTCTTCTGAAGTGGAGACAATTACTTCATTTGTTGGTACTGTTCCATTTAACACTACAGAATCACACTGGTTCAAAGGGCAAGCATCATCAGTTGCTGGAGACCCATGTTTTGCTTTTATGGTTTCTGGTTCAGAAGGCATGCATTTTATTAACTGTTTTCTGTTACTGTTGGCAAGTACCTCAGTTCCTCCTGTACAATTATAATCTGACCTATCAGATTCTGGTACAAATATGTCAGAATTCTGTGCTGTATGTGACCCTGCTCTTTTAACATCTGTACTTTCACAATCAGAAAGTCTTCGTCTATTTTTTTGTGATTTGGGTCTGATCTGCCTTTGCATCTGAAGTTCTTGACTAGTCAGAAGTTTCTTATTATTTCTGACAGACAGGTTCTGAGGAGAAATTAATTTAGTCTTTTTTCGGGTATCAACTACTCCAACAGTTTTGCCATGATCACGTAATTGAGCTACATAATCCAAAGACCGCTGGGACAACTCATATGCCTTACGAGGACCCTTTTTCAGGCCAAGTTTCTCAGCTGTTGAAGTTGGCTCAGGACACTGACGAAATTTCTTTGGCGGCACTATAGCAGGAGTTGTTCTACAACTTAGGTAATTTGAACTTCTATTCTGTCCTTTTTTGGCATCTGAATGAGTTTTCTTAGGGGTCTTAGAAACTGGAACTTTCCTGATGGGTTCTGTACAAGTACAAAGCTTTGAAGACTTCTTTTGTGAAACCGTAGTGGCTCTCTGAATACGTGAATTGGGAGTTGAAGTCCTTCTATCAATACTTTTAAAATCATTTCCCACAAGATCTCTCTTATTAGTATCAGACTGGCCCTCATTTCTGACAGAAGATGAAGGCCTCACAGGATCTTCAGCCATTGGTTTTTCAGATCGTTTTCTCTTAGGCTTTTTTACTTCAATTTCACAAAATTCTTCAACAGAAATACTCCGTGGTCTTGTGTGTTCTTCAATGCCCTCTGCTCCTTTTTTAACAACTTCAGATACATAATCTGTACAACCCTGACCATTTGTAGTATTGGCTATAGGAGCCAAACATTTTTTCTCACCATCTTGAACTGAATTATTATCGTCTGGATGATCTTGCCAAACTGAAAACACTTCAGATGAACTTTCAAACTCAAAACACTGAGAATCAGATTCCTCAAACTGAAAAAGAGTCTCTGTCTTTTCTTCCTTTACTGGATTCTTTTCCTCCTTACTATTAACTGTTGAAACGTGCTGCTCTGGATGTTCCCTCTCAAGGCATATTTTGTCCTGTTTAGTGAGTTTCTCAAGACTCAGGATTCTTTCATCATCATCATCATCAGAATCTGAAATAATAATAACCTGTCCACGGGAGGTATCTCCAACATTATTTTGGTTAGCTGTGAAACATCTTTTATCTTCTTTTACTTTCCTTTGCAGCTGCGATGAGTTCTGAGGTGAATCGGATGGGAACGTAATAACACTGGCTTGAGCTAGTAAAGATAATTTGTGAAGGTCTCTGTCTATCTGAGAATCCGTTAAGGTGTCAGATTTAGGACTGATGTCAGGGGCCTGTTCTCTTGTCAAGTTAGAATAAATCACACTGGTACTATTACTCATCTCCTCATCTCTTGATTCAGGTACAGTCATAAGATCTTTAAAGGGAGATGATTTCTTCTCTGAAGCATTGGTCATTTCTGTAAAAGGGATCAATTCTTTACCATCAACATGAAATTCCTGTATTTTACAATTGTTTTCATGGAAAGAGAAAATAACTAATTCTTCATTCTTTAATTGTTTCTCTTTTGGCAATACATTGTTTTGAGATTTTTGTTCTCCATTCTTATCATCCAGAACACCACTAGGGTCTAAAGAAAGATTGTGTATGAAACCATCTCCTTTCTGAACTCCTGTATCTTTCCTTGAATAGAAACTCTCAATGTTAGATACAGTCAAATTTTCATCTAAATTGATAGTATTATCGACCAAAGTACTCTTCCTGTGTTGCTTCTTTATTACATGTGATAACTTTGCACAGATTTCATCTTTCTGTACCTTAGTTTTTCGTTTTGAGGTTTTAGCAAGAGCATCATCCTTTAAAGAGAAATCTTCATTCGATGTGGACACTTTTTCCAAAGCATCAGTGCTAGAATCAGTCAACAAACGTGTTGATACTATTATTCCTCTGTCACATCCCCTTTCTGGACCATTTCTTGAAGTACAGTCCTTTGGTGTATATGAAGAGATCTCTTTTACAGACTTCTGCTTCCTTGTACTTATTTTAATTTGATCTTCAGCTCTTTCAGTAAAAATGTTTTTACTACTCTGCTTTAAGCATGACCCAGCTAAGAGATGGTCCTCTAGTTTCACATCCTTTATATAATTTTGCTCATTATTGTCACCTTCTATAGTGTTATCTGCTTTGATCAATACACTGTCTTGCACTTTCATTGGTTCTTTAGAAAATGTTGGGCTGGAAGCTTCCAAACAATGCATATCTTTTCTAGACGTCTTCCCCATTTGTTCACTTTCTTCTTTATTATAAGATGCAGGAGAGATTTTACATGCAGAAGTCAGATCCACAAAAGTGTTACATGGAGGTGCTTTGAATTTTATGTTTCTAATAATTTGCTTTAAGCAACTTTGTAGCTCATGGGTTTCCTGACTAGTCAACTGCCAACCTAGAGATAAATTTCCTCTAAGGAATAAGTTGAGCTTATCCCAGAATCGCTTGCAAAGAGACTGCTGCCCAAGCTGATAACCTTCTTTAAGGAGACTTCTAATCAGCTGCACATAAGCAAGTTGTACAGAGTTAGATGGCATGGAATGCAATGACAGTGAAGATATCATTGCTGTTCCTTTGGAGCAATTTCCAGATGATTTCTCAGAACTCCGTGTAAACGCAGTGGTAGGAAGCTTGGCACATTTGACGACGGCTTCCACCCATTGCTGGGAACTTACCCACAGCAAATGCAAACATTTTTTATTTCTATGCAGTTCAATCACTGATACCAAAATTAGAAGAAAAAATTCAGTGACTTTGTCACACACAGCATCTGTTTGGTTGAGGACTTCTTTGACTTCAGAGTACAGATGATTAACAACCTGTGCTATGTAAGCCACACCCAAATCCTTAAGATCCATGAGGGACTGGACAAAAGGGATGAACCATAGAAATGTGCTGTTATGAACACGCATGTCTTGACCAATATCTGACTGAAGTACACTGGCTAATGTTTCCATTTCTTCATACATGTTAGGACAATAATCTGGGCAAATGGCTGTTCTCCATCCAGAATCCTAAAATGAAAGAAATGCTGATGTTCAGATAAATAAGCACCACTTATGACAGGTTCAACACCCAAGTCGTTAAGAAAAATACGTTTCTCAACTCTCTTATTTTGGTTTACCACATCATTATTATGCTATACAATGGTATAATTGTGGCATATAATTATATCACAATCGTAATACACCTAACTCCCAAGAAAGTGAAAATATAAATTGAATTTTGAGTTTTCATAAAAAGACAAATTGGTAACACCTTTATGTACTCTCACCTTCTGTCCACTAGCTAGTTTTGATTTCTAGTCATGCCATGTATGTCCCCATAAACTTTCCATCTTCCCTAAATGTACTTATAAGTTAATTTTCCAAAGTATGCATACTGTAGTTAGAGTCCATCTTCCCCAACACACAATACATCTGCTGTTCAATGAGAAGGGCTTTTACATAGCAGTAGATTGAGAACAGCTACATATCACAAAATCTGCAACTCAACAAATTATACAAAATAGTCTACACAATATAAAGGCAATAAAATAGCATCTGAATTTTCAAAGTGTTTTATACCTTTTTGGTCTTTTCAGGATTATAATTGTATACGATCTGGCTGCAAGTCACCATATCATCCAAATAGGACTCCGGTTCTAACTTGGTCCTTAAATATTAAGAATAAATAGAAATTACTGAAACGAAGGGGGAAAAAAAGGAAGAAACACCTCTTGTTAAGTAATCTAGCTGGAACACACTTTCTTATAGAGATGATGTTTAAATCCTGACATTAGCTGAACTAACCTTACAGAGCTGTTCCGTATATGTCGGATCTCTCTATTGTAGCTTGCGTTGTTGATAATGGTTTGAAATGCCACAATAGGATCCATAAGTTGACCCCAGACCTTAGATCCAAGGCGATCCAGAATCACCATAAAACAGTGTAACGCTGGCCAGAAAGGATCCACACTATCATCTGAAATACAATGGCACAATCGTTGAATTACTAAACAGTTAGAAAAACATACTACAATATATTGAGAATTAAGCATATTCTTTATCTGGTGAGTAGCAACCCAACTAAAAGCCAAGGAGCAAATAATTTAAAGCAGTGCCGCCACCAGTCCTCAGACACACAGAGGGTTTCAAAAGCAGCCACATTTTCAAGATTTTTTGCAAGCAATACTATGATACGTCTGTAAAAAAAAAAAAAAATTTAGTGGCAAACAAATTACTTAATGGGCAAGAAAACAGTCTAGGTAAGCACAATCTTTTCACACCCTGTTTGCCATACCAGAAACAACCTTTTCTAATTCAGCTCCTCAACCCCTGCCAAAACTTTGTAGTCCCATCCTCCAATAACTAACAGAAAAGAAGAGGAAAAAAATAAAGGAAAGAGAAAGAAACTTGGTATTTACAGATCTACATGAAGCCCATAATACAAGAAATTCTCTTTCAGCATCATCCTGAATTTTGTGTCACGCATCTAGTGTAAATGACTAAATTCTTTAGCTAAGGAATAAGGCAAAGATACACTCTTCATCCATCTGTATCTCAACATGGCTTTGCTGTTCTCTACTTTTCATCCAACCTCCTGCTTCTCTATCAAATATGCAGTAGCAAGATACCGCCCTACTCAAAGACCTTCAATGGATACTTAATGTCTTCCAAGAAAATTCAAAATCCTCAGTCAAGAACTTAAAAGATATTGATCTACTGTTTATTTCCATTTTTATTTTTCATATTCCTATAATCATACACTATCTACAGCACAAATAGATCACTGGCTTTTTCCAAAATAAGCACTAGAATGCCCTCAATTCTAGCACAACATATCAAAATCCTATCCATCCTTAAAAGTCCAGCTTAAATGCCTCCTCCTATATTAAACATTCCCCCACTTCAGTCATCTACAGTACTCTTCTGAGGCAAGTGCTTGAATTCACGCAGTCACTGCTATTGCTACGTCATCCTAGAACTTGTGACTTTACTTCCCTCATACTTCTCAGACTTTACCACAGTCATTTGAACTTTCTTATATATGTTTGTATCCTCCACTGCATCTGAAACAGTGCCTGTGTCTAATAAGCTCACAAGAAACAAAGTAGTTAGATGAAGACAATTATGAAAAGTTTCTCAAAGAGGTAATTAAAATTTTGAAGACAAGGCTGGGTTCAGTGGCTCACACCAGTAAATCCCAACACTTTGGGAGGCCGAGGCAGGAGGACTGCTTGAGGTCAGGAGTTCAAGACCAGCCTACACCCATAGTGAGACTTTGTCTCTAGCAAAAATTTAAAAATTAGCTGGGTAAGATGGCACATGCCTGTGGCCCCAGTTACTAGGGAGTCAGAGGCAGGAGGATGACTTGAGCCTGGGAGGTTAAGGCTGCAGTGAGACCTGATTGAGCCACTCCAGGGTGGGTGATAGTGAGATCCTGTCTCAAAAGAAAAAAAAAAAAAAAGGTGTTTGTTTTTTTTTAAGATGGTTAAGGGAGCTAGCTTAACAGAAAGGACAGAATTATACATGTAGTTAGGCACAGGGAAAGAAATGAACAATTTATGCAGTAAATGTTGGCAAAAGAGTAATAGCCTCAGACATAATCTAGCAAGAAAATATATGCCAAAGGCCGGGCGTGGTGGCTCATGCTTGTAATCCCAACACTTTGAGAGGCCAAGGCAGGCGGATCACATGAGACCAGGAGTTCAAGACCAGCCTGGAAAACATAGTGAAACACCATCTCTACTAAAAATACAAAAATTAGCCAGGTATGGTGGTGCATACCTGTAATCCCAGCTACTTGGGAGGCTAAGGCAGGAGAATCGCTTGAACCCAGAGGCAGAGGCTGCAGTTAGCCAAGATCGCACCACTGCACTCCAGCCTGGGTGAGAGAGAAAGACTTGGTCTCAAAAAGAAAAAAAAAAAAAAGAAAAAAAAAAATATATATACACACACACACACACACACACACACACACACACACACACACGCCCTATCAACAAAAGAATAACATTAATATATTTATATTAGAATCTCCCACAAATGAGTTTATATACAACATTCAAGTTGCATGAAGAGAATGAGGGGAAAAAATTATACTCATTATGTTTTCTCATAGGATCTGGTATACTTGGTCTTTATTAATTCATTACTTCCTAAAGATTAGAAGCACTTATTTAATTACAGATCCTTCATGATTAGCATGATACAAGCATCAGCAAAAGGAGGTCAGGATCTAATAATAAACATGACTACAAGTTTTAGGCCTCATTATCTAGACTATCTGGAGCAGCATATCCAAGAGAATGTTCTGTGATGATGGAAATCTTCTGTCTCTGCATTGTTCAATACAGTACAGGATAGAGTACAGGCACGTGTGGCCATTGAGCCTTGAAATATGACTAGTGGGACCAAATAACTGCATTTTTAATTTTAATTGACTTAAATTTATTTTAATAATCACATGTGGCTGGCAGTTACTGTATTAGAGAACCACAGAGAAACAAAGAGGCAGGCAAAGGGAGGCCATGGGACAGAGAAGGCTTACCCCACAATGTTAACCACAATGTCATTACAAATGGGTCTCCCAGAGGTTCTGATGTTCATCCTACCACCAACTTTTTCATCATGAAAAAGTAGATTAACTTCCCTTCTTCTATGAAAGGAAGGTATTGAATTAAATTATAAAGGTCCTTTCTGATTTAAAAGTCTCATGCCTGTAATCCCAGCACTTTGGGAGGCCAAGGCAGGCAGATCACCTGAGATCAAGAGTTCAAGACCAGCCTGACCAACGTGGTGAAACCCCGTCTCTACTAAAAATACAAAAAAATTAGCTGGGCGTGGTGGTGCACGCCTGTAGTCCCAGCTACTTGGGAGGCTGAGACAGGGGAATTTCTTGAACCCAGGAGGTGGAGGTTGCAGTGAGCTGACATCGCACCATTGCACTCCAGCCTGGGCAACAAGAGTATGACTTCGTATCAAAAAACAAAACAAAACAAAATAAAAAGTCTGAATCTATTACTAAACCAGAAAAATTCTTTTCTCCACAACATACACCAATTCCTGCAGTGACACTATCATTTTTAAAGTGCATCATCATCACTATATTCAACAACATTCAGCAAGTAAAGTTTATTACCATCTGCTTCCCTCTCCATAGTGTGAAGTATCGATTGCATAAAATCATTTTGTTTGTCTGAGCCCAACAACAGGGAATCCATGGCTTGTTCCTCAAGAATGGTCAGCAACATGCAAATACCTGTAAGATCATTTAGAGTTATCTTGAATTGATGAAATAATACTATACTAATGCCTGGTTTAGTTTGCAAAAGAATAACAAGGCAGGAAGATGAAGCAAGATAGTATTTAGTTTCTCAAACATTTAAGTCTCAGATATTCATACACAACTGCTCCCAAGTAATAGAACTCTAGACTAATTCAAGTGTGAAAGTACAAGATGGTTAGAAAACAATTTCTAACATAACTACCATGTAACTTGTATCTCACCAATATAAGATGCCTTCAATTTTAAGATGTACCATATTCCATATACCACTAAGAAAGAAAAAAAAAATCACTGCCATTTATGACACGTGACCTTAAGATTTGGAATCAAGGAAATGGTATAGAAGTATTTTGAGGCCGGGCGTGGTGGCTCACACCTGTAATCCCAGCACTTTGGGAGGCCAAGGCGGGCAGATCACAAAGTCAGGAGATCGAGACCATCCTGGCTAACATGGTGAAACCCCGTCTCTACTAAAAATACAAAAAAATTAGCCAGGCGTGGTGGCAGGCGCCTGTGGTCCCAGCTACTCGGGAGGCTGAGGCAGGAGAATGGCGTGAACCCAGGAGGCGGATCTTGCAGTGAGCCGAGATCGCGCGACTGCACTCCAGCCTGGGCGACAGAGCAAGACTCCGTCTCAAAAAAAAAAAAAAAAAAAAAAAAAAGTATTTTGAGCCACAATAGGACTTGTAAACAATGCTGTCAACTCTTTCTACCAGGAAAATTTAATTTTTTTTTTTTTAGGAGACAGGATCTCCCTCTGTCACCCAGGCTGGAGTGCAGTAGCACAATCCTAGCTCACTGCAGCTTCAAATTCCTGGGCTTAAATGTTCCTCCTGCCTCAGCCTCCCAAGATGCTGGGACTACAGGCGTGCACCACCATGCCCAGTTCTACCAGGAAATATTTTACACACTGAAAAAGGAGTATTAACAATCAAATCCTATTTAAAGCCAACTATTACACTAATATTTTGTTAATAAAATGTGGCCGTAAACAAGATTCGATTCATTTGCCAGTGCTTGAAAATGTACTGCTTACTACAGAAAAGTTTCTAGGATATAAATACTGTTTAATAACAAGATATGTAATAGTTAAGTCAACTTAATGACAGAATAAGAACTGAGAACTATAAAATCCTATCTTCAGTAAGTTTCATCAGATCACCAAAGAGAACACTTCCCTTTTAGGACCCTCATAGGAACTACAGGGCCGGGCGCGGTAGCTCACGCCTGTAATCCCAGCACTTTAGGAGGCCAGGGTGGGCAGATCACTTGATGTCAGGAGTTCAAGACCAGCCTGGCCAACATGGTGAAACCCCGTCTCTACTAAAAATACAAAAAATTAGCCAGGTGTGGTGGCGTTTGCCTGTAATCACAGCTACTCGGGAGGCTAAGGCAGGAGAATTGCTTGAACCTGGGAGGTGGAGCTTGCGGTGAGTGGAGATGGTGCCACTGCACTCCAGCCTGGGCAACAGAGTGAGACTGTCTCAAAAAACAGAACTATACGAAAATACCAATTATATTAGTGTAGGAATAATACTCACCTAACCAATAGCTTTTGTAGTTGGTAGTATCATACATGTGTGAGGGCAGAAGAATCAGTTTACCCTTCTCTAGGACAGAAGAAGTATAAATGTCTGGACTCTCTAAAAGCCCCAACTCAATGACTTTAAAAAGGCAAAGTAAAACTTCTTGTAAGTCATAATAATCATCTCTGTCCACTTTCCCCAAGTTTCTTGCAGTCAAGATAGCCCAACGCCGAACCTAAATGCAGAATATATTTATTACTTAATTCAATAAACAATGGTCTACAAACAGCAAGAACACAGAAAAGAAAACAGGATTCTCTGCATATTTTAAAAGACATGTGACATATTAATTAATGCAATGTGTGGACCTTATTTGATCCTGATTTGAACATACTAACCCCTAATAAACAGTTTTAGACAATCATTTCCATTCATTCAAACACTGACTGGCAAGACAACATTAAGTAATTATTCTTTTAGATGCAATAATAGTATTTTTCTGGCTGGGTGCAGTGGCTCACACCTGTAATTTCAGTACTTTGGGAGGCTGAGGCGGGCAGATCACCTGAGGTCAGGAGTTCAAGACCAGCCTCGCCAACTTGGCAAAACCTTGTCTCTACTAAAAATACAAAAAAATTAGCTGGACTTGGTGGTGCACTCCTGTAGTCCCAGCTACTTGGGAGGCTGAGGCAGGAGAATTGTTTGAACCTGGTGGGGAAAGGTTGCAGTGAGCCAAGATCCTACCACTGCACTCCAGCCTGGGCGACAAGAGTAAGACTCCATCTCAAAAAATATATATATAATAATATTTTTCGTTTTTTTTAAGTCTTTATCTTTTAGAAATACATACTGAAATATTTTGTGGATGAAATGCTCTGATATCTAAGATTTGCTCTAAACTAATCTAAAGGGGAGTGGAATGTTGACCATGTATTGATAAAGCTAACTGATGGATTATGGGGGATTCATTACACCATTCTTGCTACTTTTATGTTTATCATTTTCCATAACAGAATGTCCAAAAAAGGAAAGAAAACACAAAATGAGGAATCTCAAAAGAAATCAAAGGGCATTTCTAAATGGCAGAATAGCATAAAGAAGTGATTTTAAATTTCTTGGAGACTATGAATTAAATTTAGTGCTCACAACCAACCTTAAAAAAAAAAAACAAGAACAGAAAAATATCAAGAGTGCATCCTTCATAGTAAAAGTATTATTTTACAAAATACATTATATAGGCATATGCATACACAAGGAAAACATTTTTTACTACAGATTGTAATCAAAAAGTTGGAAAAACACAGACCCCACAGGTAAAAGCATGAGCTCTATGCCAACATAAGCAACAAATTATAAACTACTGAAAAAGTTTTGGAATCCATGAGACCTTACTGATAATAAGTGGTAGAAGGGGAAAAGACTCTTGATTACTGTACAATCAATGTCAAGTGGTAAATAGTAAACATGGAGAGTGCTGGAGTTAGGAAATGACCATCTTGCAATCACCATAGTTCAGGCAAGACACATTAATGAATGCTAAATTTAGGAGATCTTGATGAAATGCATAGTATTTACATGGTCTTAAAGTATCTAAACAATAGAAATTACACAGCAGAGAAATGGGACAGCACCTTCACCGAATGCTCAAAATTAACATCACCATGAGTTGCAAAGGATATGGCGTGCCTCTGTCTACATATGACAAGCTGAGAAGGACAGTAACATCACTTACATGGTACTCCAGCTGGGAATGTGTAACCTGAATCTATGCATGAGGAAACATCAGACAAACCCAAAGTGAGGAACACTCTTTTTTTTTTTTTTTTTTTGAGACAGAGTCTTACTCTATCGCCCAGGCTGGCATGCAGTGGCACCATCTCGGCTCACTGCAACCTCTGCCTCCTGGGGTCAAGTCATTGTCCTACCTGAGCCTCCTAAGTAGCTGGGATTACAAGGGTGCACCACCACGCCCGGCTAACTTTTGTTATTTTTAGTAGAGACGGGGTTTCACCATGCTGGCCAGGCTGGTCTCGAACTCCTGACCTCATGATCCACCCACCTCGGCCTCCCATAGTGCTGGGATTACAGGCATGAGCCACCGTGCCCAGCCTCACTTATTTTTTTAAAAAGAGGCAGAGCAGGAATGACTGTATTCTTCAGAAAAGTAATTTTCATGTAAGACAATGAAATGTTCCAGATTAAAGAGGACTAAATGGACGTGACAGCTAAATAAGACCTTTTACCAGCAATAACTAGAGGTTTTGCAAATGCATGACCTCTCCAAAATTGTATTCTCAGGCTATCACACAAAAATAAAATGGTATATCATTGTGGTCTTATTATTTCCCTGATCATTAAATAGAAAACATTCCTTCATATATTTATTAGCTATTGGTAGTTCCTCTTCTGTTCTGGGACATGCCTGTTCAGATCTTCATCCATATTTTTTGTATTGTTAGTAATATGATTATCTTCAATTTTTTACTTTATTTTTTTGAGAAAGAGTCTCACTCTGTTGCCCAGGTTGGAGTGCACTGGCAGATCAGGGTTCACTGCAGCCTCAACCTCCTGGGCTCAAGTGATCCTCCCACCTTAGCCTCCTGAGTAGCTAGGGCTACAGGTGTGCAACGTTATGCCAAGCTAATTAAAAAAAAAATTTTTTTGTAGGGATAGGTTCTTGCTATGTTGCTCAGGCTGGTCTTGAATTCTTGGCTTCAAACAATCCTCCAACCCTGGCTTCCCAAAGGCCTGGGCTTTCGAGCATGAGCGACCATGCCCAGCCCTTTTCCCAATTTTTAACTAGTATTTTCACTCTCTTTATGGTATTTTTTGATAAACAATAACTTTTCATTTTAATATAGTCAAGTTCATCAACTTTCCTTTCATAATCAATGCTTTCGTTTCTATAAAACCCTTCCTCAGGCCAGGCATGGTGGCTCATGCATGTAATCTCAACACTTTGGGAGGCTGAGGTATGGGGGCACTTGAGCCCAGGAGTTCGAACCCAGCCTGGGCAACACAGTGAAACCCCATCTCTACAAAAAATTAGCTGGGCATGGTGACCGAGGAAGGAGATTTTGGTGAAATGCCTGAGCCTGGGAGGCAGAGATTACAGTGAGCTGTCATCACGCCACTGCACTCCAGCCTGGGTGACAGAGCAAGACCCTGTCTCAAAAAAATAAAACAAATCTTTCCTCACCTTACAATCTAAATGCTGTACACCTCTATTTCCTGCAAAGAGTTTGAAAACTGAACCTAACTATGGTTTTTTAGATAGATTTTGTCATTATGAATGATAATAAGGTAGGGATCTAACCTCTCTTTCCATATAGTACAACTTTCCTTTTGTGAGATGGAGTTTTGCTCTTGTTGCCCAGGCTGGAGTTCAATGTTGCAATCTCGGCTCACTGCAACCCCTGCATCCCGGGTTCAAGCAATTCTCCTGCCTCAGCCTCCCAGGTAGCTGGGACTACAGGCACACACCACCACACCTGCCTAATTTTTTTGTATTATTAGTAGAGACAGGGTTTCATCATGTTGGCCAGGCTGGTCTCAAACTCCTGGCCTCAGGTGATCCGCCCACCTCAGCCTCCCAAAGTGCTGGGATTACAGGAATGAGTCACCGTGCCCAGCCATATCTCCGGTATTTCTTTGTCCTGATTTTTATTTTTCTCTTTCTGGGACGTCTTACATCTTTGTTAACACTACTACTTCTACCCTCCATTTATCTTTTAGCTTTTCTTTTTATATTTTCTATTTCTCTTTTTCTTCTTAGGGATTTGCTCATTCTGGTCTTCTAATACAGTCACTCATTCTCTTGGCTGTACCCACTGTATTATCTATCCCATCTTCTGAAGCCTTTATTTTAAATATCTCATTTTTCAATGTTACAACAACTTGGCTTGGTTCTCACATTTTCTTTCTTTTTTTTAATTATACTTTAAGTTCTAGGGTCCATGTGCACAATGTGTAGGTTTGTTGGTTCTCACGTTTTCTAGTTCTCATTTCACATTAGTATCTTCCCGTATTTCTTCTAGCATGTTTACTATAATAATTTTAAATTTACTGGACAAGTGTCCTAATATATCTGCTTCTACTGAAATCTTCATGTTTCTCATATGTCTATTATTTTTAGTTTGTGAATTCCTTTTCACTCTGGGGTACTGGCTCCTATCAGGCGGTGCCTATGGAAGGCCAGACTCCAGACTGGCTTATGCCCAATCAATTCAGGGCTGAGTGATGGATAAAATCCAAGCCAGAAAAACGTACTCACTCACTGCCACGCATTTTAGTTTTCTAAGTCAGGTCGTCACCCTTTACTCCCGGGCAGAAGCAGCATTAGAAGACACTACTGGGCTGTAATCCCCCAAGTCCTGGGGTTAAGAGGGGATGATAATGAAGCAATTATCAGTGGTTAATTGGTCTCCACCTGCTTGTCTCAGTGCCTCACAAATATTAGGGGTTATCCACTGTGCTGATTTCATTCCTACCTTCACCTGGATCAGATCTTTTAGTTGAGAACAGATTTGGATGCAGGTTTTATTCATCTAAGGCAATGATGAGGGAGAACTGGAAGCAGAACCTTAACAGTTCCTTTTCTACTTTATTCTCCCACAGCCCATTTTATTCTCTGGCTGTGGGAGAATGCTCTGAGAGGTAATTCCATAGTGCCTCCCACAGGCACTGCCAGATAGGACCCAATACCCCAGAGTGAAAAGGAATTCACAAACTAAGGATGTTCTCCTCCCCATCTCCCACATTCACCTTTCAAAACAGCCCTTGTCGGCTGGACGTGGTGGCTCACACCTGTTATCTCAGCACTTTGGGAGGCCGGGGTGGGTGCATCATTTGAGGTTAGGAGTTTGAGACCAGCCTGGCCAACCTGGTGAAACCCTGTCTCTACTTCCGGCGTGGGCAACAGAGCAAGACTCTGTCTCAAAAAATAAAATATAATAATAAAAAAAATTTTTTTTAATAAACCAGCCCTTGTCAACTCAGAGTTTCTCTCAATGTTCTCCATTTTCTCTTTCAAGTTCCTCTAGAGTTAAACCTAGAGAAAGGACCAACAGTGCTGGTCTTTGTTCTGTCAGAGCATGCGCTTTCCTCGTGTGTTTCAGGGATTTGGTTTGCAAGCTCATCCGACAGGGAGGAATTCTGTGTCCCTCCTACCACTACCCCTCCCCTTCCTAAATATAAATTTGGGCTGCTTTCTATCCATCCTTGAGAGTCCTGCTCCAGAACTAGGTCTACTATCAGCAGCTCAGGGCTCCCAACCTTTGGTTACATAAGGGCTAGGCAGACTCAGTCACCAAGGCTGCAAGTGCTTCGCCCAGGCACTGGTTACAAGACCAGACCTGCTTCCTCCATATGTAAACAGCTTTTAAAAAGCCAGTGAACCTTTTTAATACTTTGGCAACCTTCTTTCACAGGCAAAGAAGCACCCCCATCCGCCCCTTGTTTGGAGTGCAGAGTTTGGCTTTGGTTCTTTGCCTTGCCTGGAGTATACTTCTAATTCCTGTTGTCCTGCACAAGCTGAATCCCGAGCTACCCACCGCCACCCAGGCCAGGTTTCCACTCATTTATTACTTCATGTTTCTGTTCCATTGCTGGTCCACAGAAATAAGTTTTCCTTTGGAGGAATGTGATTATACCCCTTTAATTTCCTCCTTTTGCTTTTTTTTAATATCATTGGTATGTGTTTGGCCCAGAGGAAACTGAAATTCACCATCATCTTGACTGGCAATCCCATTACCATGCTTTTTTTAAAAAACGTAATTTTTCTTGCCTTACATTGGCAGAGTAGCCCTTCCTGGCTACTGGCTTAATGTAGTCACTCAGTTCTAGGTGGCATTAGGCATGAGACCTGAAGCACAGACTGTCTTACCACAAAAGGTGACAAGATCTCAAACCTTAGCCAAAGGGCTATGTCAGGTTTCAATGCTATCTGCTTCTGTTCCTGCTCACTGTTCTGGATTTTGTCCTTCTTCATCTCTAGCACCAGAATTTCCCAGTCTCCCTCCCTACCTTCCCTTGTTTTAATTCTAATCTATCAGCAAAATAACTTTTCAAATGTTTTAACCGGTATCTCCATGTGTCTGCAGTGGGTCAAGCAGGTGAGAAAGTCAAGAGAAGAGGTCTTCTTGAGTTCAATTCAACATACTGAAAGGACATCAAGTTATTCCCGTTTGTCTTTTAAGATCAAGCATCACCTGTCGGTAAGTATCCCCTACCCTCTGAGATCCCCTCTTCTTTGACCCCAGAGCGCCCTCTACTTAACTGTAGTAAATTTTAAAGCAAGAAAAATTTTAGCAAACATTTTAAACAAAATCCACACCAAAAACCGCTATTATAGCTATCTATAGGTACAAAAGCACAATATACCCTTCTATCGCCCAACACTCACACTCACCATTTCATTGGGATGGACTAAAAACAAATAGATCCCTGGATGTTTATCAAACACCTGAAAGGAGCAATTGGCTTGTTCCATCCGACAAAGTGCTTCAACACATAACTCGTCTAAAAAGAAAAAAATAAGTAAAATACATAAATCTTATCACCTTATCAAGATTCCCTAAATTAGGCTCCTTGGGCTATTCTGTAAATAAATAAAAATTTGCTTTTTATTTTTCCAAATTGAGGCATAAAAATGCTTATATTGTAAATGCAGGAACAATATTTACCTGACAGGCTAAATCCGTTGATCACAGGGTGTTCTTAGAAATTATTCTGACCTTATTAGAATAGATCCCTTTTTTGCCGGGCGCGGTGGCTCACACCTGTAATCCCAGCACTTTGGGAGGCCGAGGCGGGCGGATCACAAGGTCAGGAGATCGAGAACATCCTGGCTAACACGGTGAAACCCCGTCTCTACTAAAAATACAAAAAATTAGCCGGGCGTGGTGGTGGGCACCTGTAGTCCCAGCTACTCGGAAGGCTGAGGCAGGAGAATCGCTTGAACCCAGGAGGTGGAGGTTGCAGTGAGCTGAGATCATGCCATTACACTCCAGCCTAGGCAACAAGAGCAAAACTCCATCTCAAAACAACAACAAAAAAAAGAATGTAGCTCTTTATTCACACTTAGGATAATTATCTCCATAGGGAATGTATAAAGGACCTGTAACCATATGGTTATAGGTCCAACTCCATTTGTATCTTATGTTTTGATCCACCTAGACTTTATCTGATACAAAAACAAGGAATAAAGTCAGCTTTACCCCTAAGTTACTAGCTATCCCACTCCCATTTATTGAACAATCCATTTACCCTTTCAGATGAATCAACTTTAGCTGTAAAATTTCAAAAAATATTGTCGTTTTTTCATATTACATTTTCAATATCATAGTTTTTTCATTAGTGACAGTGGTTGGCTTTAGGGATGGGGAGGCATAATGAGTAGAAAAGCATGAAGGGCACTCCTAGGATGTTGATAATGTTTCGATTTTTGATCTGGATGCTGGCTACACAAATCTGTTTGACTTGCAAAAAAACATCAGGCTTATATACTTTTACGGATAGATTATTCTTTAATACTTGAAGAAGTCTTAGAATTTTCAAATCTAGTTACTTTGAATTTATTGGTTTAGACAAACAGTACAGGAAATAAATCAGAAAAATCCATAAAGTATGTTATCCTACAGGGCAAATATATGGCCTCCCTCAACAAGTCAAACTCATGGCCAAAAAAAAGATGAGGGCACATGTTGGTTTCCGTACGAACATAGTTGGCACGTGCAGGGGTTTGGTTCCAGGATACCAAAATCCACACACAGCTGAGTCCTGCAGTTGGCCCTGAGAAATCAGCGTATACCTAAAGTCGACCCTCCAGAGAAGCGGGTTTTGCAACCCATAAATATGGTATTTTTGATTCCACTTTGGTTGAAAAAAGATCCATGTATGACTGGATCTGCACAGTTCAAGGGTCAACTTAAGATGGTTTTTGGGTTTTTTAGAGACAGGGTCTTGCGCTGTTGCCCAGAATGAAGTACAGTGGTGTGCTCATGGCTCACCTCAGGCTCAACCTCCTGGGCTCGAATGATCCTCCCACCTCAGCCTCCTGAGTACCTAGGAATACAGGCACATGCCACTATATCCAGTTAAATTTTCTTTTTTGTAGAGATGGGGGAGGGAGGGTGTTGCTACACTGCCGAGGGTGAGAAGACTGTTTTGAATTAAAAGAGCTGGAAGAACTATGTACCAAATGCAATGTGTGGTCCCTGACTAGATTCTAATTTAAGCAAATCAGCCAAAAACACATTTTGCAACTATTGGGAAAATATGAAAATGAACTAGATTTTAGTATCGTTATTTTGGGCCAGGCACGCTGGCTTACACCTGTAATCTCAGCACTTTAGGAGGCCGAGGTGGGCGGATCACTTGAGGTCAGGAGCTTGAGACTAGCCTGGCCAACATGGCAAAACCTGTCTCTACTAAAAATACAAAAAATTAGCCAGGTGTAGTGGCAGGCGCCTGTAATCCCAGCTACTCAGGAGGCTGAGGCAGGAGAATCGCTTGAACCCAGGAGGCAGAGGGTGCAGTGAGCCAAGATCCTGCCACTGCACTCCAGCCTGGGCGACAGTGAGACTCTTTAAAAAAAAAAAAAAAAAAAGGTATTGTTAGATTTGATAGGTTAGGGAAATGCCTTTACTTTCAAGAGATTCGTATTATGAAATGCAAATATCAACAACCAAAATCTAGACAGCTATAATAAGCCATGCCATAGTGGTTAATGAAAATTACTACAGAATAGCATTTCCCAACCAGGGGTGATTTTATACCTCACCCCCCAAAAGGGGTATTCAGCAATGTCTGGAGACATTTTTGGTTGTCACAAAGGAGATAGGGAGTGCTAGCGGCATTTAGTAGACAAAGGCCAGGGATGCTGCTACACATCCTACAATGGACGGCACAGCCCACAGCAAAGGATTATCCAAAATGTCACCAATGCAAGGCTGAGAAACCCTGCCACAGACATACTACAAGAATGAAAATTATTATTATTACTATTTTTTAAGACAGAGTCTCTGTCTGTCACCCAGGCTGGAGTGCAGTGGCACAATCTTGGTTCACTGCAACCTCCGCCTTCCAGGTTCAAGTGATTCTCCTGCCTCAGCCTCCTGAGTAGCTGGGATTACAGGTGCCTGCCACCACACCTGGCTAATTTTTGTATTTTTAGTAGAGACAGGGTTTCACTATGTTAGCAAGGCTGGTCTTGAACTCCTGACCTCAGGTGCTCTGCCTGCCTCAGCCTCCCAAAATGATGGGATTACAGGCGTGAGCCACCATGCCCGGCGAGAATGAAAATTATTAATAATTGAACAAAGAGGTGAACAGATACGTAATAAAGCAAATATAGCAAAATGTTAACAACCGTATAAACTATGTGATGGGTATATCATGTTCACTGTATAATTTACTTTTCTATGTTAAAAAATTTTCACAATAAAATGTTGAGAGCCAGGCATAGTGGCTCGTGCCTATAATCCCAGCAATTTGGGAAGCTGAGGTGGGAGGACTGCTTGAGCCCAGGAGTTCAACACCAGCCTGGGCAACAGTGAAACTTCATCTCTACAATAAACACAACATAAAATTAGCTGGACGCAATGGCACACGCCTGTACTCCCAGCTACCCACAAGGCTCAGGCAGGAGTATTACTTGAGCCCAGGAGGTAGAGGCTGCAGTGGGCCATGACTGCGCCACTGCACTTCGGCCTAGGAGACACAGCAAGACCCTGTCTCTAAAAAAAAATAAAAACAATCTTCAGTTACCCTCTGAACAAGATAAGTTTGAACTGTGCCCCAAAAATAGGTATTTTGTGTTTGAACTCAAAAAATAAAAAACGTTGGAAAAAAAATGAAGTCCTAATTATATATCCTAATTATATGTTTAGCAAACAAATTTGCAATATAGATAAGCCTAAATTCTTATGGTACTAAAATAATAAAACTGATATAACTTGAGGAACCATCAAGATACTCACTAACACGTTCATGTAGAAGCAAGTAAGGATATTTCAGTATTTCAAGAAGAGGAACTCGAAGCTTATTTTCAAAGTCTTGCCCAGTGATGTCAAACAGTGGCATCTCTCCATTATTGTCTACTATATATAACTCATCATCATCTCCAATTTCTGCCTTCATGGATTTTTCAAAGTGATTTATGAGACGTAAGGTTTCTAATTCCCATAAAACCTAGAGGAAAATAAAATGGGCAGTGTGCGTTATGTCTTATCATCAACAAAATACACTGAATGTGACGACCTAGAAAGCCTTTTCCTAAGTACAAAAATTCTGAAATGTAAAGTATTAGAGCTTGTATTTTAGATTTAAAGAAAACTATTCAAATGTGGCCACTTTTATGAAAAGTGAGTACACAGAGTATGAGATATTGGCTAGGCACAGTGGCTCACAGCTGTAATCCCAGCATTTTGGAAGGCTGAGGTAGGAGGACTGTTTCAGGTCAGGAGTTCGAGACCAGCCTGGGTAGCAAAGCAAGACCCTGTCACTAAAAAAAAAAAAAATAGAAAAATTAGCTAGGTGTGGTGCATGCCTACAGTCCTAGCTTCTCTGGAGGCTGAAGCAAAAGGATCACTTGAGCCCAAGAATCTGAAGCTACAGTGAGCTATGATTGTGCCACTGTACTCCAGTCTGGATGACATAGGGAAACCCTGCCTCTAAGAGAAAAAGAAAACAGGCCAGGCACACTGGCTCCTGCCTGTAATCCCAGCACTTTGAGAGGCTGAGGTGGGCGGATCACCTGAGGTCGGGAGTTCAGAACCACCCTGACCAACACGGAGGAACCTCGTCTCTACTAAAAATACAAAAATAGCCAGGCGTAGTGGTGCATGCCTGTAATCCCATATTCGGGAGGCTGAAGCAGGAGAATCGCTTGAACCCAGGAGGCGGAGGTTGCAGTGAGCCAAGATCACGCCACTGCACTCCAGCCTGGGCAACAACAGGGAAACTCCATCTCAAACAAAAAACCAAACAAACGAAAAAAAACAAGAAAACAAAAAATAGTATGCTATGTTTAAACACTTTTTATTTTTTTTTGAGACAGAATCTCGCTGTCGCCCAGGCTGGAGTGCAATGGCGTGGTCTCAGCTCACCGCAACCTTGGCCTCCCAGGTTCAAGCGATTCTCCTGCCTCAGCCTCCTGAGTAGCTGGGATTACAGGCGCCCACCACCACGCCTGGCTAATTTTTGTATTTTAGTAGAGACGGACTTTCACCATGATGGCCAGGCTGGTCTCAAACTGCTGACCTCGTAATCCACCTGCCTCAGCATCCCAAAGTGCTGGGATTACAGGTGTAAGCTACAGCACTCAGCCTTAAACACTTCTCTTGTAGAAGTTTTCTATAAATATCTCAACATCCCTATCAACTACATTCAAAAAAAAAAAAAAGAGAAGCTGGAGCCTCTCTGTCAAATGCAAAACCGAGGCCCTTCTATGTCTTCCCTTCTATGTTCTAGCCATAGCTAACTACCTTAGTGCAGCTTGTGGTATAAAAGACGCTGGATAGCTTCATAATTAGAAAACTTTATAAAGTGCACGTTTCTCAACACAAGTCCATTACTAATCATCCTCTCCTCTATATACTGTATATATCTCTATGGTCTACGTTCTGTTTTTCATCAATAAATAAACCAAATATTCAAAGCCAAATATTTAGAATTATATCTTTCACTTTTGTTATCATGACTGGAAAATATGCTTGCCCTTAAAGGTTTATGCCATTTGCCCATTAAAAAAAGAAAAAAAGAAGTTATTATTACCAATTAAAAAAAAAAAACCCTGGCCAGGCGCAGTGGCTCACAGCTGTAATCCCAGCACTTTGGGAGGCCGAGGTGGGCAGATCACCTGACGTCAGGAGTTTTGAGACCAGCTGGGCCAACATGGTAAAACCCCATCTCTACTAAAAATAAAAAATTAGCCGGGTGTGGTGGCACGTGCCTTTAGTCCCAGCTACTTGGGAGGCTGAGGCAGGAGAATCGCTTGAACCCACCTGGGAGGCAGAGGTTGAAGTGAGCCAAGATCACGCCACTGCACTCCAGCCTGGACAAGAGAGTGAGACTCTGTCTCAAAAAAAAAACAAAACAAAAAAAAAACAACCCACTAACAAAAACCCAGGCCATTCAGATACTCAGATACATGCATGTATTATAGCACTGACCAAAAAATTATGAAACAAATCCCCTCCCAATGACTTTATTTCATTAAATTATTTTATACCAATGTGACTAAAAGCAACAGATCATAAAATTCTGATCCAGGTTTCAATTCCATCCGTGATAAACATTTACTCAGCACCTAGTATATACCAGGCAATGAGTTAGGTACTTGACTTATATTAGCCTTCAAAGTCGGCCAGGCATGGTGGCTCATGCCTGTAATTCCAACACTGGGGGGCCAAACCGGAAGGATCACTTGAGCTCAGGAGTTCAGGACCAGCCTGGGCAAAATAATAAGACCTCGTCTCTACAAAAAAATTTTAAAAATTAGCAGAGCATGGTGGCACATGCCTGTAGTCCCAGCTACTCAGGAGGATGAGGTGGGAGGATGGCTTGAGTCCAGAAGGTTGAGGCTGCAGTGAACCGTGATCGCACCACTGCACTTCCAGCCTGGGCAACAGAGCAAAGACCTTGTCTCCAAAACATAGCAAAACAAACTATGAAAACCCATGTGGCCCATGGAAAATCATGAGACAGCACTTCCACTTTCAGGAATTTGTCCTAAGAATATACTCGAATGTGTAAAATGATATATGTATAATCACTCCACTGCACTCCAGCCTGAGTGACAGAGTGAGACTCCATCTCTAACAACAACAAAAACAAAACAAAAACAAAAAAAAAAACCCACAAAGTTGAAATCGTATCATCATTTCTCTGAATACTTCCAACGGAGTTCAAACTTACTCTCTTCCCAGCTATCAAGCTCTGAAAAATATTGCCCATCTAATATATTTTACCTCATGCAAGAATGGCAATTCATCTCTTGCTTTGTGGTACTCAGCCACACACTCCAAGCAGTAGCAGAGGTCTTCGTCGGCTGTTTGAAATTCACCGGACGGAGTGTTGGAAGCATAGCGCTTTAGGAAGTCAATGGTGGAAGCACCACCTGGCGTACACCAACAACATGTGCTCATTCTGTACCTACAGCCAGAAAAGATGACATCAAGAAGAAAACCAACTTCAGACCTACTGTGTGTCAAGAATAGGTACACTTTCAACTTGTGACCCTGGTTTCAATTTAAAATGTGTCACTAAAACCCAAATCTTCTGCTGGCTGGCTTATCAATCACTGATTCACTAAACTAAAAAAATCCTTCTATTTTTGACATACGAAAAATACAGAAAAATAAAAGCATTGTATAAGGAATAAGTATCATAAGGCAACATAAAGTTGTGCTACAGAGAAGGCTCAAAACAACACAGTACCGATAGAAAATATATAGAGACCCAGACTTACCAATATTTTCAAAGTACAGATTTTGGAATGGGGAAAAAAGTTACCAACTACAAACTTAAGTTCATTTCATAAACTGAATGGACCTAGCTCAGCATTCTCATCAGGAGTGATGTCACCCTCAAAGAGATCTAAAACTAGTTAGTGGGACGTGAAAAAGCCCTCCTCTTTTTAGATATAAAGCTCAGATAAACATACAGTACATAAAGAGAGACACAATATATTGGTGGTAATAAAATTCACAGGAGAGGCAGTTTTTAAAAATGTTTAAAAACTCTCCACTCAGGGAGAAAGGTTAGAAGGAGGTTAAAAAACCTAAGTAAGCTGGGAACGGTGGCTCATGCCTGTAAGCCCAGCACTTTGGGAGGCCGACGTGGGCAGACTGCTTGAGGTCCGCAGTTCGAGACCAGCCTGGCCAACATGGTGAAACCCCATCTCTACTAAAAAGAATACAAAAATTAGCTGGTGGTGCGCATCTGCAATCCTAGCTGCTTGGGAGGCTGAGGCAGGAGTACTGCCTGAACGTGGGAGGCAGAGGTTGCAGTGAGCCAAGATTGCGCCACTGCACTCCAGCCTGGGTGACAGAGTGAAACTCTGTCTCAAAACAAACAAACAAAAGAAACCTAAGTGAAGACACTGAGTATGTGGGAATGGAAACATGGCAGTGTGAGATTTTTGAGTATCACCGTCACCCTAAAATTCAGAATACATAATCTTTACCAACAGGAAATATAAAACATCTCAACAGAAACTAGGCTTGGCTGCTGAGGCTTCTGTGGCATAAAGCTAGTTCCTAAAATAAAGTGATTTTTTAAAATTCTTTAATTTCTTCTTATACCCACAATTAAATAATTATTTAGAAATGCATAAGCATAATCAAATACATTGTCATATGAATTGATTTTTTAAAATTTATTAAATATTACTTTTACTTATGCTTTTGAAGAGGTATACTTTCTTCATGGTTCTAAAAAGAATTTAGGGTAGCTTTCAACATTAAAGTACATACACACAAAAGGACATTTAAAAATGAGATTTCAAAAAACAAAATCAAAACTTCTTTAGAAGAAATTTAATTTCACTAAGTTCTACATGAGGAGCTTCCTGAAAGCAGAGAAAAAGGATAACATGAGTTACACAGTTCTCATCGACGTGGGGGGGAAAAAGAGTATGCAGTGATAGCCGCAGAGTACCGCCCTTTCCTGACACAAACTCTAACTCAATTACATTTTATTAATGCCTTCTAGTACAAGGGCACTGCAGACTAGGAAATGCCAAGTAACATGGGATAAGGTCTTCAATGTATTTCTGCAGAATTTAAAATTATTTTATTCAAAAGAAGAATTACTTATACCTAAGAGGCCAACATCACACTACTAGTAAGTTAACAGCTTGCAGAAGCTGTTTTTTTTTCCGGTAACCTAGTTTAATATGGAAAGTGAACTTAGAAGACGTAAGAACAGAAAGTGAAACTTCATGGAGGTTTCTCAAACATTTGAAGCATGATTTCAGCAGCTAACAGACTGCAGCCAATTTAAGCTTTAAAAAACTTAAGTGAGACTACCATGCAAATAAAATGTTGCATACTTCTTTTCCCACTTACCTTACTTGAAGCTCCAAATGTTGTGTACTTTAAAATAAGTACTAACAAAGGAGACAACAAAAGAAACCTTCTATTAAGAAAATTACAGAATTTGCTTTTTATTTCACTTAGAAAACTAGCCTATTTCCACAACCAAAAAAGCAAGACTAAATTTTCTCAAAATATATAGGAGTTACTACCAAAATAGGTGAGTGTCATGGCCGCTAGAAGATAACGGAGAATACTGCTGCAGAGCACACCAACAAGAGAACATGTGCTTCCATGGTTCTTCTTCAAAAGGCTGTGTGTGTGGTTTTGTCTTCAAATTTAAAATCATCACTGGCCTAATGGCTAAGCCCAGGAAACCTCAATAGGGCATATTTTGTCTTTAAGGAGAAAATTATTGCTTCTAAACTACTGTGAATCCTCTTAAGCTTTTATACAACTCAGTTCTTCTTGAGGTCTATTTTGTTAGTTTCATCAGACTGTAACGGCTTGCAATCATTAGTGAATGACAAATGGGTGTGTCCAGACAATACTCAAGTTGCAAAACCAAAATTAAAGCAACTCTCTGAGCACCCACCAAAAAGAGAGCTAATGTGTCAAAACCAAAAATATAGGATGCTTCACCATAGGTATTACTGTAATTTTCTACAGACTTATCCTTAGGCTATCCATTTCTCAACATTAACTAGCCAGAAACTTCAAATAACAATCTCTTTCTTCTACACTTCTCAGCTAAACATCTGGAAGTTTAGATTCACTACCTCCCAGCTCTTCAGCTCCTTTGCACTCTGGCTTCTACCCTTACACTCCACTGAATGTGAAGTCCCTAACAATCTTTACATTACCAATCCAATAGGTTCCTGACCTGACTCTGCTAAAGCATATGAAAATGCTGCCCATCCTTTCCTTACCTACAACACACCATTTTTTGGACACCACTTCTACCCAATCACCTTCATAATTACCCCTGCCTTTGTTACTCATATAAATGCTAAAGTTTTCGAAGGCTTGTCCTGAGAATTCTCACCTCTTCATTCAGTACTCTTTCTGGGCGGCCTACTTCAAACCACTGCTTCAACTACTGCCTAGATTGAAGCTGCCCAGACTGAGAATGTATTGTAAAACTTAATGCAGGCAGGGCGCAGTGGCTCACACCTGTAATTCCAGCACTCTGGGAGGCCGAGGCGTGAGGGATCACGAGGTCAAGAGATCAAGACCATCCTGGCCAACATGGTGAAACCCCGTATCTACTAAAAATATAAAAATTAGCTGGGCATGGTGGTATGCACCTGTAGTCGCAGCTACTGGGGAGGTTGAGTGAAATGATGCACTGTTCCACCTACTCAATAACTGACAGCCTAGCCTAGAACTCCAGATATATTCAATATCCAACTGCATACAGTGTATCTCTACTCACATATCTGACAGGCACCTCAAAGTAAACATGACCAGAACCCAACGAAGTCCTTCCCTTAAATCTGTTATTTGTTCTATATTCCCTTGTTGATGACATTACCATACATTCAATTTTCAAACCAGTAACCTAGGAATTATCCTATACGCTCCTTCTCCCTCAGCCGCAATCTCTGAGCTCCAGAGCCTACCCCTTAATTACATCTCTACTTTCTTCTCAGTGCAACCGCCACTGCCTTAGTTCAGTACATTTTCATCATTTGCCTGGATTACTGAAGAAGCCTAAATGATCTATTTCTTCTTTGATCGCCATCAATTCCTCCTCCAAAATGCTGCCAGAGGCCAAAGCCCCAAACTGGACTTCGAAAGCACAAATGACTCCTCCTCCAATGTTGGGATAAAATTCAAATTGCTGAGCTCAACACACACAAGGCCCGCGATGATCCAGCTTCCACATCATCTCTTTCCTCCACACTTACCTCCCTTGACTTGCTCTTCCTAAAACCATTCATGGTGACTGGTATTCCCTGCCTTTATGGAAGCTCTTCCACTGGCCTTGGAAACCCACCCTCCTACCTCTGCCCGGTACTTAACTGTGAATACACATCAGACTTACCTCAGGAACTTAAAAAAAAAAGTAGAAAAGATCCTATGGATAAAATTGTTTCCCTTTTAAAGAACTCCACTAAGATTCGAAGAGAAAGCTGGATTTGAGAACAACCAGTGTGCAAGCTCTTCCTGAGTGTCATCACGTCTGGGGGGGGGGCCTGTCCGACCCGTCCTCTCTTCCAGTCTATCTCTGATGACCTTCTTCTCTGTCCCTTTAGGACTCTGCACATGTTTCCATCATTGCACTTACCTTGGTGCTCTGAACTCCTGCTAAAAAAAAAAATTATTACCTGGACAAATGGCCTACAGAAAAGTGATCGTCTCAGCTGGGCTTAGTTGTGAACAAACACGGATTTGCATTCATATATGCCCAGACTCTGGCCCCAAAAGAACATTTCTGAAATTAAAAAACAAAAAACGAAATTGGTAAGTGGCATTTATACTCTATATCCCATCTGAGCCTGGTATCGATCCTATTACAGACAGATACTGCTGGCTGATGAGGAAGCCCAGATAGGTTAGACAACTTGGCTGTGGACTTCCAGGAAACAGCAGAACTGCAATTCTGACTCCCAGTTCCACAAGGGGCTGTCCCCACTCACGGGGACAGCTAGGCACCGAGCCAAAAATCCCCCAAGTTATTAGCCCGCGCAGGTAACATCAATCCTAGGATCCTCAGCTGTGTCACTTATCAAATACCACACTCGGCCTTCTCCTTGTGGAGCTCTTTTCCCTCAAGGCAGTCACCCCCGTTTCACTTGGGTCGTGCAAATTGCTGGGCACATCCTTAGATCCCCAGAAGTTGGGGAGGACGGACAAAGTCCTGTGGCCAGCAGCAAAAGCTCCAGCCCCTCCAAGTGGGAGAAACAGACTCTCCTCCAAACGAAGGGACCGGCCGGGCGCGGCGGCTCGGAGGATCCCTGGAGCAGCTGAGCTCAGCCTGGGAAACACAGCCAGGCCCTGTCTCTGCAACACATTTTGTTTTTAATTAGCCGGGCGTGGTGACGCGCGCCTATGGTCCCAGTTACTCGGGGGGATGAGGCGGAAGGATCGCTGGAGCCCAGGAAGACGAGGTTGCTGCGAGCCGTGACTGTTCCACTGCACTTCAGCCTGGGTGACAGAGCGAGACCCCGTCTCAAAAAAAAAAAAAAAAGAAAAAAGAAAAAAAAACAAAGGGAGGGACTCCAGGCGAGAGGCAGACGAGCGTGTGGAGGGAACCGACACTTTCCACCCCGAGACCTCCCGCTCAGCCCCAAGGAAACTACGCAGTATCCACACCAAAAACAGCTCACACGAGACCGCAGTGTAGACAACGGAAGGACAGGGGGTCGCAGCGGCCGGGTCCAGCGCGCAGGAAGGCAACAGGCGGCCGCCAGCCGTCGAGGGGTGCTCCCGCCCCCGCACCGAGGGAAGCGGCCGAGCCCGCGCCGACTCTTCCCCCATCCGCCCACCGGGACCTAGGCGCCGCGATGGTTCCCCGAAGCGGCCCTGCAAGCACAAGCCGCGCCTGCGCTCACGCCCGCCCGACCTACGGCCTCCAGCCCGCCGCTACCCTCACCGCTCTCTGGCTGGCGTCGGCCTCTAGCCCACCTCCATACCGGGCCCCGCTCTAGGCCACCAGCGGAAGTGCGGGCCCGCAGCCGCAGCTACCAACCAGCTGTTGCCGCGAGGTAGGCCCCGCCCCCGCGCTGAGTCGGCCGGCCGCAGGCCCCGCCCCGGCCGCTGCTTTCTGGTTTTGGTGCCCCCCAGGGGGCGGGGCATGGGAAGAGCGGCCGCGGTGCACCGCCCACGCCGGGCGCTGGCGTCACGTCCGGGCAGCTGGGGCCCGACCAATCCCGAGTCCCCGTCAGGGTGGACGGGGAGAGTTTGCCGCGGAACCTTGACCTCGGCCCCGCCCGGGGCTTCCTGCGGGTGGGGCGGCTCCGGGATGAGCTCTGCTGCGGGTGGGGTCAGCCCTTACCCGCTGGCCATTTCCGTTCCCTCTTTTTTCTTCTTTTTTCCACGCCTCAGGTGTCTCAGCGGATGTACTACGGTGACGAAGTAATTTTTCTCTTTAGATTTCCTTTAAAGACCTGAAATGTAAATTACATAAACGTGTAATTTCGGAGGAATATGTGTATATCCTTTATATTACAAGAAAGGGAGACCTTAGGTCTTGCGAACAATGCGCGCGATGCGCAACACAGCAGAGTAAATCCCTCGCTGGTGCGGTGGCTCCCGCTTCTAATCCCACCACTTTGGGAGGCCCAGGCGGGAGGCTCGCTTGAGCCCGGAGTTCAGAGACCAGCCTGTGCAACATAGCGAGACACCCGTATGTACAAAAAAAAATTAAAACTCAGCCACCGAGGCCGGGCGCGGTGGCTCACGCCTGTAATCCCAGCACTTTGGGAGGCCGAGGCGGGTGGATCACCTGAGGTCAGGAGTTCGAGACCAGCCTGACCAACATGGTGAAACTCCGTCTCTACTAAAAATAAAAAGATTACCTGGGCGTGGTGGCGGGTGCCTGTAATCCCAGCTACTCAGGAGGCTGAGGCATGAGAATGGCTTGAACCCGGGAGGCAGAGGTTGCAGTGAGCCGAGATCGCACCACTGCACTCCAGCCTGGGCAAAGGAGCGAGACTCTCTCTCCGGAAAAAAAAAAAAAAAAAAAAAAATTAGCACCTGTGGGCCCAGCTTGTTGGGAGGCTGAGGCAGGGGGTGGATATCCATTGAGACCGGGAGATCGAGACTGCAGTGAGCCGTGACTGTGCCACTACACTCCAGGCTGGGGAACAAAGCAAGACCCTGTCTCAGAAAAGTCTATAAATAAATAAAAATGAGTAAAATCCACTGGAAAGCCTATCCCCCCCCTTTTTTGTTTTTGAGATGGAGTCGCGCTCTGTCACCCAAGCTGAAGTGCAGTGGCGCAGTCTCGGCTCACTGCAACCTCCGCCTCCTGGGTTCAAATGATTCTCCTGCATCAGCCTCCCGAGTAGCTGGGAGTACAGGCGTGTGCCACACGCCCGGCTAATGTTCATGTTTTTAGTAGAGATGGGGTTTCACCATGTTGGCCAGGATGGTCTCAAACTCCAACCTCAAGTGATCCGCCCCGCCTCGACCTCCCAAAGTGCTGGGATTACAAGCGTGATCCACCGCACCCGGCCCCTACCCCCTTTTAGTAACGCCTACTACTGACCACGATGATGCAGCGTCACCGTCTTACAGTTAATAGAGGAGACAGGGAAATTAAACAATTAGTAGTGGTGACTCAGGCGATAAAAAAAGAGGCTGAGATGGGCCAGCTTGGGAAAAGTGGGTCAGATACAGCCTTACCGAGGAGAACCCTGGCCCGAGGATGAGGAGCAAGCCCAGGGGAACACTGCGGGAAAGGCCCAAGGCGAAGGAAGATTCTAGCAAGGGGGCGTGGCTTGTTGGAAGGGCGTGGTGGCCGTTATGCAAATTTAACCGTCTAAGGAGCAGCACGCGTTGACCGTTATTTTCCTCTTTTCTACTTCTTCATCCTGTCAAATATTTTGAACATATTTTGTTTTATCATATAACACTAATATACCAACACAGCCTTTATACCACCACAGTCATAAAATATAATTTTTTTTTTTTTTTGAGACGAGTCTCGCTCTGTCGCCCAGGCTGGAGTGCAGGGGCGCCATCTCGGCTCACTGCAAGCTCCGCCTCCCGGGTTCACGCCATTCTCCTGTCTCAGCCTCCCGAGTAGCTGGGACTACAGCCACGTGCCACCACGCCTGGCTAATTTTTTGTATTTTTAGTAGAGACAGGGTTTCACCGTGTTAGCCAGGATGGTCTCGATCTCCTGACCTCGTGATCCGCCCGCCTCTGCCTCCCAAAGTGCTGGGATTACAGGCTTGAGCCACCGCACCCGGCCATAAAATATAATTTTTATCATTTTTTTTAATGGAGAAAAGTGCCATGAAGGTAACTTGTGCCCAGAGCCCACAAAAGTCATAATTTCCTCCTGTCCCTGAAGCCCTCTGTAGGCCTTATCATCTTCCCACATTTTTTGTCTGTGAACAACATATAAATTTTACATGCTTTTTAACTCTGTATATGGAATTATGGAGGATGTATTTTTCTGCAAATTGCTTTTTACACTCAATGTTATGTCCTGAGACTCATTGATTCAAGGTGCATTCAGGAATTGTTGAGCCCAAAACTTACACAACCTATAGAATGTTAAACAGAAGCACTGCAATAGACTTTGTAAATATAAAATTAGAAATGAAAATTAATACTTATTTGGAATGAATAAATAAGTACAAATTACAAACTTCTAAAGCTGATAAAACCATAAACATGGCCAGGCGCAATGGCTCAGGCCTGTAATCCCAGCACTTTGGGAAGCTGAGGTGGGCAGATCACCTGAGGTCAGGAGTTCAAGACCAGCCTAGCCAACATGGTGAAACCCGGTCTCTACTAAAAATACAAAAATTAGCCAGGCTTAGTGGTGCATGCCCGTAGTTCCAGCTACTTGGGAGGCTGAGACAGGAGAATGGCTTGAACCCGAGAGGCGAGGCGACAGAGTGAGACCTCATCTCCAAAAATAAATAAATAAATAAATAAATAAATAAATAAATAAATAAATAAATAAATAAAAAGACTGGGAAGTATGAGGCCTCCAGTATCGTTCTTTTTCAAAATTGTTTTAGCTACTTAAGGTCCCTTGCTATTCCATGTGAATATTTAGAATTGGCTTGTCCCGTTTCTGCAAATAAATAAGTACAAGCAGTTGGAATTTTTATAGGGATTGAATTGTATTTTTAGATACATCTGGGGAATCAATTGACACCTTAACAATATTAAGTATAGCAGGTTCTCTAATAAGATCATTTTGTTCAATGTGGTTTTGTTATAACATTGATGAGAAAAAAAAAATCCATTCCTGCTCAAGGCTTTTTTTTGAGACGGAATCTCCCTCTGTAGCCCAGGCTCTGGAGTGCAGTGATGCGATCTTGGCTCACTGCAAGCTCCGCCTCCCAGGTTTCGGTTCAAGCAATTCTCCTGCCTCAGCCTCCTGAGTAGCTGGGATTATAGGCACGCACCACCACGCCCAGCTAATTTTTGTATTTTTAGTAGACACGGAGTTTCAGCATGTTGCCCAGGCTGGTCTTGAACTCCTGACCTCGTGATCCGCCTGCCTCAGCCTCCCAAAGTGCTGGGATTACAGGTGTGAGCCACCGTGCCTGGCCCCGAGGCCACTTTGTGTGTGGAGTTTGCCCCTTCTCCCCATGTCTGTGTGGGTTTCCTCCAGGTACTCCAATTTCCTTCCCGATTCCAAAGATGTGCCAGTTAGGTTGATTGGCATGTCTACATTGTCCTAGCCTGAGTGAGCATGGGTGTGTGTGTGAGTGTATACCCTGCAAAGGGATGGCATCTTGTCCAGAGTTGGCACCCACCTGGCACCAGGAAAGATTCTGGCCATCCGCGATCCTGAACTGGAATGAGTGGGTAGATTATTACCTTGTTAATCTTATTAATAAAGATTAGTCTTTTATTAATCTTTCTTGAATGTATAGCCTACATTTATTTCAATGTTTAATATTAGAAGTGTTTTGTGTGTTTACTTAGAAGTTTGGTCAGAATAACTGGCTTTTATGAGACAAGTCAGAACTTGTGGCTCAGAAGACAAACCCCACACACATTCAAGTGGATGAAAACAAGCCCCCTACAAGGGCTCTATCCTCCTCCTCCTCCTAGTTGTTCTTTAGTTTCAGAACCTGTTTGATGTGTTTTTTTAATCCTATATATATTTTACGGTTGTGACTTATCCATTGTTTGATTTTTGTACAAGAAAATCTTTGCTATAGAAATCAGTATACTATTTTTATCTGGAGAGAAGATATTATGGCAACTTAAACTGTGGTCAGATGTTAGAGAAAAATGTATAAATGCCTTCTTGCCATGCTATCAGTCATATTACATTCATTTTATATTGACTGACAATATCAAAAGTTTCTTTTTTTGTTTGTGTAAACTCTAATTTCTATCAAGGTGTAATGAATATTTAAAGTTGGTTTTTCATTACAAATCTCTCAGTGTTGGTTAACTGATTTTTGCCAGGACCATTATGCATTAAGCAAACAAATTCCACAGCCATTTGGGGGTAAAAGAGTAGGTTACTGATTTGAGATATTTCTTCTTTTTTAATGTAGGTGTCTACAGCTATAATTTGTCCTTGGAACACTGCTTTTGCTACATCCCATAGATTTTGGTATGTTGTATTTTTGTGTTCATTTGTCTCAAAGTATTTTATTTTATCTATTTATTTATTTTTGAGACAGAATCATTCTCTGTTGCCCTGGGTGAAGTGCAGTGGCATGATCACAGCTCACTATAGCCTTGATATCCAGGGCTCAAGCGATCCTCCTACCTCAGCATCCCAAGTAGCTGGGACTATAGGCAAATGCCACCATGCCTGGCTGATTTTTTCTTTTTTTTTTAGTAGAGACAAGGTCTTGCTATGTTGCCCAAGCTGGCCTCGAACTCCTGAGCTCAAGCAGTTCTCCCACCTCGGCTTACCAAAGTGCTGGGATTACAGGTGTGAGACACCACACCCAGCCCAAAGTGTTTAACTTCCCTTTTGATTTCTTCTTTGACTCATTGGTTGTTTTAGAGCATGTTGTTTAATTTCCACATATTTTTGAATTTTTTTGTCTTCCTTCTGTTATTTGCAGTTTCATTCTATTGTGGTCAGCGCATATACTTTTCATGATTTCAACCTTTTTAAATGTATGGAAAATTGCTTGAGGCCTAACATATGACCTGTTCTAGACAATGTTTCATGTGCACACGAGAAGAATGTCTATTCTGCTGCTGGTGGTTGGAATGTTCTGTATATTCCTGTTAGGGCTAGTTGGTTTATAGTGTCATTCAATTCCTCTGTTTCTTTAATGATCTTATGTCTGAGTGTTACATCCATTATTGAAAATGGGGTGTTAGGCCAGGCGTGGTGGCTCACGCCTGTAATCCCAGCATTTTGGGAGGCCGAGGCGGGTGGATCACGAGGTCAGGAGATTGAGACCAGCCTGACCAACATGTGAAACCCCATCTCTAGTAAAAATACAAAATTAGCTGGGCATGGTTGTGGGTGCCTGTAATCCCAGCTGCTCAGGAGGCTGAGGCAGTAGAATCGCTTGAACCCAGGAGGCAGAGGTTGCAGTGAGCCAAGATCGCGCCACTGCACTCCAGCCTGGGCGACAAGGCTAGACTGCGTCTCAAAAAAAAAAAAAAATTAGCTGGGCGTGGTGGAGGGCACCTGTAGTCCCAGCTACTCGGGAGGCTGAGGCAGGAGAATCACTTGAACCCAGGAGGCAGAGGTTGCAGTGAGCCAAGACCATGCCATTGCACTCCAGCCTGGGCAACAAAAGCGATTTGTCTTTAAAAACAAGAAAAAGAAAGAAAAGAAAAGTGAAAAAAAAAGAAAATGGGGTGTTAAAGTCTCCAAATATTATTGTACATCTATTTCTCCTTTCAATTTTATCAGTTTTTGCTTCATTTTTTGAGGGGCTCTGTTAGGTATATATGTATATATATACACACACATATATATATGGATTTTATATATATATAGGTTATATATATGTATATATATTTATGACAGTTATATCTTCTGATGGATTGATGCTTTTATCATTATATCATATCCTTTGTTCCTTGTAACAATTTTTGTAACAATAATTTGTAACAAGCTACAAATTATACTAATTTGTCTGACATTAGTGTAATTACTTCTGCTCTGTTTTGGTTACTATTTGCAAAGAATGTTTTTCTCTTAACTATTTATGTCTTTAAATATAAAGTGAGTCTTTTTTTTTTTTTTTTTGAGAGAGAGTTTCCCTCTTGTTGCCCAGGCTGGGGTACAATGGCGCAATCTCGGCTCACCGCAACCTCTGCTTCCCCAGTTCAAGGGATTCTCCTGCCTCAGCCTCCTGAGTAACTGTGATTACAGGCATGTGCCACCACGCCCAGCTAATTTTTGTATTTTTAGTAGAGACAGGGTTTCTCCATGTTGGTCAGGCTGGTCTCGAACTCCTGACCTCAGGTGATCTGACCACCTCAGCGTCTCAAAGTGCTGGAATAACAGGTTTGAGCCACTGCGCCCAGCCAAAAGTGAGTCTCTTGAAGACAGCACATCAATTGGATCATTTTTAATCCAATCTGCAATCTGTTTTATAATTCAAGAGTTTACTCAATTTAAATTTAATGTATTTACTGATTTAAAAAGATGTCACTTTTGCTATTTTTCTATTTGTTTTCTGTATGTCTTATATATTTTTGTTCAGTTCCTCCAATGCTGCCTTCTTTTGTGGTAAATAGATATTTTATAGTATACTATTTTAATTCTCTTGTCATTTGTTTTACAATATGTTTTTGAATTATTTTCTTAGTGGTTGCTCTGCAGATTACAATGTACATCTTAGCTTATAATAATCCTGTAGGATTAATATGGTTTTTTTTTTTTTTTTTGAGACAGAGTCTCACTCTGTTGCCCAGGCTGGAGTGCAGTGGTGAGATCTTGGCTCACTGCAAGCTCCACCTCCCGGGTTCACGCCATTCTCCTGCCTCAGCCTCCCGAGTAGCTGGGACTGCAGGCACCCGCCACCACGCCCGGTTAATTTTTTTTTTTTTTTTTTTTTTTGTATTTTTGGTAGAGACGGGGTTTCACCGTGTTAGCCAGGGTGGTCTCGATCTCCTGACCTCGTGATCCACCTGCCTCAGCCTCCCAAAGTGCTGGGATTACAGGCGTGAGCCACCGTGCCCAGCCTGATTTAGTTTTAATAGCATACAAAATCTTTGCTTTGCTCTCTCTTTATATTGTTATTTCTATTGTTGGTGGGCCAGTTTAGGTTCTTGACTTCACTGTACAAAAGAATTTGAGAGTGAATCTAAAGTGAAAAATAAGCAAAAGAGGCTGGATGCGGTGGCTCATGCCTTTAATCTCAGTACTTTGGGAGGCCGAGGCAGGCAGATCACCTGAGGTCAGGAGTTCGAGACCAGCCTGGCCAACATAGCGAAACCCCGTCTCTACTAAAAATACAAAAATTAACCAGGTGTGATGGCAGACTCCTGTAATCCCGGCTACTCAGGAGGCTGAGGCAGGAGAATCGCTTGAACCCCGGAGGCAGAGGTTGCAGTGAGCCAAGATCTCACCACTGCACTCCAGCCTGGGTGACAGAACGAGACTCCATCTCCCGAAAAATAATAAAAATAAAAATAAAGGCTGGGCACGGTGGCTCACGCCTGTAATCCCAGCACTTTGGGAGGCCAAGGCAGGTGGATCACTTGAGGTCAGGAGTTCGAGACCAGCCTGGCCAACATGTGAAACCCTGTCTCTACTAAAAGTACAAAAACTAGCTGGTCGTGATGGTGCATGCCTGTAATCCCAGCTACTAGGGAGGCTGAGGCAGGAGAATTGCTTTAACTCAGGGGGTGGAGGTTGCAGTGAGCCAAGATTCCACCACTACACTCCAGCCTGGGCAACAGAATGAGACTCTGTCTCAAAATAAATAAATAAAATAAAATAAAGGCAGGAGCAAAATGCCTTTCATAAAAATACTGTATCCAATAATGACAAGTACCAAAGATACTATTTGGTGACTGACAATTATCTGCTACAAAACAGGAAACACAATATATTTACTGGATTGTTTTTCAGATTGCAGGTGCCCTCTGGCATCCAAAAGAGGGATTTCTCAAAATATAATCTGCAGTGAGATCCACTTCATCATTCATTTATATCAATTTTTTTTTCTTTAATTATTTGTATCTCCCTGCTCCACCTCACAGTGACACTATGTTACTAAAAGCATTAAATATCTGGGATTTATGCTTCAAACCAAGACATCATTTGAGTAATTTAAAATGATATACAGCTCTCATGTAAAAATGATGCTTTGTGGTCACAATTACCTCAAAAAGTAATTATTTCAAATAGCCTGAGGTATCATGCTTTAGCAATTACAGAAGCATGCTTTTGACACCTGGCAACTTTTAAAGTTAGGCAAATGTGAAATGCTGAAAGATGTGAACAGCTGTTCCTCTGTATAAGTTGAGAGTGCAGCAAACTCAGGTAATGTCTTTATTTTTTAAATTAACCTCATCAGCCCACAGTTATACATACTAAATCCAAGACTTTTGGAAATACAGATCCAAAGAAGGGAATACCTTTATCAAGTCACAAAAGTTTGCCAAATCAATATAGTAGTCTTTAATACAACACAGTCATACTTTTGTTGAAGTCTTATATTATTTTCATGAAAATTTTCACACTAAAAATATCCTTTAAGTGCAAAATTGCAACATTGTATATTTTAATGGTGGTTTTGAACGTGGCAAGATATTTTATACAAATTAATATGGGTTTTATTTTATTTTTTCTTTTTGAGACAGAGTCTTGTTCTGTCACCCAGGCTGGAGTGCAGAGGTGCAATCTTGGCTCACTGCAACCTCCGCCTCCCAGGTTCAAGCGATTCTTCTGCCTCAGCCTCCCTAGTAGCTGACACTACAGGCATGTGCCACCACACCCGGCTAATTTTTTGTATTTTTAGTAGAGACGGGGTTTCACCATGTTAGCCAGGCTGGTCTTGATCTCCTGACCTCGTGATCTACGCGCCTCGGCCTCCCAAAGTGGTGGGATTACAGACATGAGCCACCACACCCGGCCTAATACAGCTTTTAAATGTTGCAATTTAGGGATGGCACTGTGGTTCACATCTGTAATCCCAGCACTTTGGGAGGCCAAGGCGAGAGGATCACTTGAACCCAGGAGTTTGAGACCAACCTGGACACTACAATGAAACCCCATCTCTTAAAAAAATTGCAGTTTCTCCACTTCACATGAATGCCTTCTTGCAAGCTGTTGAAGTTTAATACAGCAGCGCAATTGTGTGTGTACAAAACGCTCTTCTTGATTCTGCGGTTGGCCCAAATCCAGATAGAGTTCCAAAGTACAAAGAGCCTTCAAATTCTATCTTAAGGAGATTCCACAGTCTTTAAAAGTATTTGTCAGTCGGGCGCAGTGGCTCATGCCTGTAATCCCAGCACTTCGGGAGGTCAAGGCAGGCAGATCACCTGAGGTCGGGAGTTCGAGCCCAGCCTGACCAACATGGAGAAACCCCCGTCTCTACTAAAAATACAAAATTAGGCCGGGCGCGGTGGCTCATGCCTGTAATCCCAGCACTTTGGGAGGCCGAGGGGGGCGGATCACGAAGTCAGGAGATTGAGACCATCCTGGCTAACACGGTGAAACCCCGTCTCTGCTAAAAATACAAAAAATAGCCGGGCGTGGTGACGGGCGCCTGTAGTCCCGCTACTCGGGAGGCTGAGGCAGGACAATGGCGTGAACCCGGGAGGCGGGGCTTGCAGTGAGCCAAGATAGCACCACTGCACTCCAGCCTGGGTGACAGAGCAAGACTCCGTCTCAAAAAAAAAAAAAAAAAATACAAAATTAGCCAGGTGTGGTAGCGCATGCCTGTAATCCCAGCTACTTGGTAGGCTGAGGCAGGAGAATCAGTTGAACCCGGGAGGCAGAGGTTGCGGTGAGCCAAGATTGTGCCATTGTACTCTAGCCTCGGCAACAAGAGCAAAACTCCACCTCAAAAAAAAAAAAAAAGTATTTGTCAATATTTTATGGTTTTTTGCATGGAGGACTTGCACAAATTCTATTAGGGTCGTTGCTTGGAATAGTTTGTTGTTGTTTTGTTGTTGTTTCTTTTTTTTTTTTTTGCACATGGAGTCTCGCTCTGTCACCCAGGCTGGAATGCAGTGGCACGATCTCAGCTCACTGCAACCTCGGCCTCCCAGGTTCAAGCAATTCTTCTGCCTCAGCCTCCCAAGTAGCTGGGATTACAGGTGCCCGCCACCATGCCTGGCTAATTTTTTTTTTTTTTGGTTGAGATGGGGTTTCGCCATGTTGGCCAGGCTGGTCTCAAACTCCTGACCTCAGGTGATCCACCTGCCTCAGCCTTCCAAAGGGCCGGGATTACAGGCGTGAGCCACCGTGTCCGGCCTCATTGCGTGGAATTGGATGGTCTTTTGGGTTATTATAAATGGTGACTGTGGGATGCAAAAGAATGGCCCCCAAAGATATTTATTTCCTAATGCCCAGAATCTGTGAATATGTTACATTTCACCACAAAAGGAAATAAGGGTTGTAGATGGAATGAAGGTTGCTAATCAGAGAGATTAAGATAGGGAGACTAGCCTGGGTTATCCAGGTGGGCCCAGTCTACTTCCATGAACCCTTAAAAGTGAAAGACAGGCAGAAGAATGGGCCTAAGAGGTGCCACCTGAGAAGGATTCAATGGCCTTGCTGGCTCTGAAGCTGGAAGGAGCCACAAGCCAAGAAATGCAGTGGCCTCTAGAAGCTGGGAACAGCCTTCAGTTCACAGAGAGCAAGAAAACAGTCCTGCAATCACAGGGAACTGAATTCTACCAAGCCATGAGCAGAGAACATTCTCTCCTAGAGCCTTAGAAAAGAATGCAGCCCTGTTGGCATCTTGACTGTAGCTCTGTGAGAGCTATCTAGAACTTCTCAGCTGCACAGCTGTAAGATACTAAACTTCTGTTGCTTTAAGCCACTGAGTTTGTGATATTTGTTATGGCAGCATAGACATTTAGTAGAGATTTACTTTAAAATGTTTATTTTCTGTTTTTGTATCTAGTAACTTTACCTAATTATTAATTCCCATACATTTTCTAAAGATTCTTTTAGATTTCCTGTATTTTCAATCAGATCATCTGAATTATAGCAGTTTTATATCCTCATTTCCAATCCACGTAGCTTTTACTTCCTTTTCTTGCTTGACTCACAGGCTGGATAATGCTGTAAAGAAGTGGTGAGAGTATACATCATTCTCTTTTTTTTTTTTTTTGAGAGATGGAGGGTGGGTCTTGCTGTGTTGCTCAGGCTGGTCTCGAACTCTTGGGCTCAAGAGATCCTCCCACCTCAGAGTATTATTCTTTTTCTTAATCTGAATGAGAAATTTTTCACCTATAACAATAACGTTGACTACCAGTTTTTGTAGATACCTTTATCTAATTAAGGAAACTGCCATCTCTTCCTATTGAATGGATTTAAAAGTTATCAGTGTAATTTATTTTTTGGTTTCTCATAATTTTTCTTCTTTATTAACATGGTGGATTGCACTGATGGGTTTTCTTTCTTTTCTTTATAAAAAATTTTTGGTGGCTATTTGTTCCTTTTTCTTTTTTTTTTTTTTTATTGTTGAAGGGGAATTCACATAACATAAAACTAACCATTCTGAAGTGAACAGTTCCATGGTAATACACTCACAATGTTGTGCAACCACTTTAAATAGTTCCAAAACATTTCGTTACCCTTAAATGAAACCGCACACCCATTCAGCAATTGTTCCCCACTTCTCTCAGGCTCTGGCAACCACAAATCCGCTTTCTGTCTGTATAATTATCAATTCCATTTCGTATAAATGGAATCAGGCAATATGTAACCTTTTGTGTCTGGCTCCTTTCACTGAGCATGATATTTTCAAGGTTCCTTCACGCTGTAGCATGGATCACTACTTCATTCCTTTTTGTGGCTGAATAGTATCCTATTGTATACCATTTTTTGTTGATCCGTTCCACTGAGTTTTATATGTCTATTATTTTCTTTTTTCAGTTACTATTCTGTTTGTTTTATTTAATAACTGGTTGAAGGCCAGCTACGGTGCTTTGCTTACCTTATGGGTTTCCACTTTCACCAACTTTCTTGCCAGCTCATTGATGCATTTAATAACATTGAATAAAACCTTTATTCAACCTTTCTGGTGTTCAGAGGGAGGTCGGGGCAGTCTGGATACCTACACTGCTAAACTGCTAAAAACAAATCCCTATGCAATTTTTTTAAAACCCAGAATGATTTTAATATATGTTTTTTCTCTTAAAAACAGCTACAGTGGGCTGGGCGCGGTGGCTTACGCCTGTAATCCCAGCACTTTGGGAGGCCAAGGTGGGAAGATCACTTGAGGTCAGGAGTTCTAGACCAGCCTGGCCAACATGGTGAAGACCTGTCACTACTAAAAATGCAAAAATTAGCCGGGCATCATGGTAGGCACCTGTAATCCCAGTTGCTTGGGAGGTTGAGGCAGGAGAATCGCTTGAACCTGAGAGGCGGAGGTTGCAGTGAGCTGAGATTGCACCACTGCACTCCAGCCTGGGCGACAGAGCAAGACTCCCTCTCAAACAAACAAACAAACAAAAAATAGCTACAAAGGCCTTGGAAAAAGTGATGTTGAAAAAAGTTTTGAGTACATAAAAGTTTAAGGTAAAAAGCACCCTGCATCTTGCCATATATTCAACAGACATCGAGTAAATCCTCACTGGAGGGTGGTTATGACCAGTCAGTGGCATTCACATTCAAAGGGAGGCACAGGCATTAGGTTAGCAATTTCCACTGTGCTGAAAGTTACACAAGGGTGAGTACAGGGTGTTCCGAGAGCCTTCTCCTTCCCAACTGGGTTAAGCCCTTCCAAGGAGGCCTGTATTCTCAGTCCCGCCTTCAGACCTGGGCAAGCCCTCAGGGACCCTTGCTGTTTGGAGTGACTTCTCAACGTTTTCAAAGTCCCTCTCTACTGCGTGGGACAAGTTGGGGCTGGCAGTACTGTTCCCAGACCAAGCCCAGGCCGGGTCTGGCTGCGTGTTCTAGTGGCTCAGTAACGAGAAGCAGATAAACTAAGAAAGGAAGTTTATTGCTGTAACCAGATACAGGGAGAAGGTCGGAGATAGTTTCACCAGACCAACTCGAAGCATTACAATTTTCTCAGTGCTTACGTGTGTGGGGGTTATATGGCTATGTGTGGTATCGCATTCGGCTAAGTCTATAGGTGACTAATTTTGTTCTAACTAGAAGGTTAGGAGCCAAAAATGCCTTCTAAGTTTAATGAATCTATGAGGACCCCAGTATCATCAAGGCCTGTCTCCCAAATTCTAATTAATGAGGACTGTGGTACTGAGGTGATTATTTCTATCTTCTCTCTTTAACGGTTTGGTCCAGAGAGCTGCCTTAGACTATCCAGTAAATCTGTTCGCACAGCTGCCTTTGTTACCTTGACGCGTCCCGGATTTCATTGACCTGAGACGGGTCCTGGCACAAGGAATGTAAGGCTGTCTCCATTATCTTGACTTGCTCCAAGTTTGGGAGAAGCCTGTGCAAAGCTTCTCCTGAACGTATGTTTCATTTCTGGCTTTGAGATCTGGGCATCGATTTCTCTGGGTCTAATTATTAGCTCAATGTTAAGGCAGTGCTGTGGAAATGTGTCTGTGTAACTGGGGTGCTATGCAGGCCTGTCTGTGTTACTGTCAGGGAGAATTGGCCTGGCCCAGTACCTTCCCTGGGCAGAGCCTAGAGCAGGACTTTGAGGTCCTCAGCTCCAATTCTCCCTGTTGGGGGCACCCTCCAACTCTCTACCCCTAACCCCTGCACGTGGGGTGGACCAGATGCTCCCAGGAGCTTGGGGAAACTTGTACTGAGGGGCTTCTTCCAGAGCTATGTGTCTGGCTCTGGTTCTAGGAAGGTAGGGTGGTGGGCCAATTCAGCTGACTAGTGAGCTGTTTCTTTTGCAGAATTGCCTGAGATTGGACCACCAGCATGGTGTCTAGAAAATGACTTTGGGGTGTCTCAAGTTGCTTATATAGACAGGAATCCTGGCTCCCCCTCCTCCAAATTGCCAGCCACCCCTTCCCCTTCCCCTTCCCCGCAAGGATAGCCCTGCCTATAATTCTTTGTAGCATTCAACATGATTGTGATTGTCTATTGTCTTCCTGCCTGGCTTCTTTCCTTCCTCTTTTCCTCCTTCCCCTACTATTCCCTTCCTTCCATTCATTCAGTCAACCCAGACACCATTCAAGGTTCTGGGGGATGTGGGAATAAATGCATTTCTGCTTCCTTGGAGCTTATATTCTGAGGCAGGAGCTGGGCAGTAAAAAAGTAATTCAAAAAGCAGGATAGAGATAAATGCTATACACATAACACCAGAATGAGGTAAATTCATGGGGGTCTACTTGGCACCGGGGGGAGGTCAGATAATGTCTTCTCTCTGAGGAAACCTCATTTGAGTGGAAACCTAAATGAGGAGTCAGTCTTGCAAAAATGAACCTTCCACTCTTTTCCATTGAGTAGAAAATTAAATGAGGAGTCAGCCTTGCAAAGTTTTGTTGCATTGTTCTAGCGAAGAAACGGTACCTGCAAAGGCCATGGGGTGTTTCCTGCTATTCATTCATTCATTCAACAGCAGGTTCCTGGAGTGTGGTGGGTGAGAGGAATAAGAGCCTGAGACAGGGCTGAAGAGATCAGCAACAGCACATTGTGCGAAACCCCTGTAGACACGATGACATAGAGTTTGAATATTATCCAAAAGCATGTGGGAAGCCATTTCAAGGTTTCTTTCTTTCTTTCTCTCTCTCTCTTACTTTCTCTCTCTCTCTCTGTCTTCTCTTTCTTTTTTGACAGAGTCTCGCTCTATCACCCAGGCTGGAGTGTAATGGCATGATTTTGGTTCATTGCAACCTCTGCCTCCTGGGTTCAAGCAATTCTCCTGCCTCAGCCTCCCAAGTAGCTGGGATTGCAGGTTCCCACCACCACACCTGGCTAACTTTTGTATTTTTAGTAGAGACAGGGTTTCACCATGTTGGCCAGGCTGGTCTCGAACTCCTGACCTCAGGTGATCCCCCTGCCTCAGCCTCCCAAATTGCTGGGATTACAGGCATGAGCCACCACCCCTGGCCCCATTTCAAGGTTCTCAACAGGGTGGTGCAGTATCAGTTGTGCAGATGTGGGGACTACAGATTGGAGAAGGGCTGGTAGGGGAAGCAAGGAGATCAGTGTAACTCAGAGAATGAAGCCTGAGATCACGGCAGGTGGCAGTGGAGGTGGCTAGACTAGAGTCCAGGTGGGCTTGGAGACAAATGTGGTGGGGTGGGGTTTGCTCTTAGGTTGGATGTGGAGGTCCTGGAGGAAAGGATGGAAACAGGATGACTTCTAGGTTTCTGACTTGAACAAACAGAACGACAATACTGTTAGGTAGTTAGATGGACATTAGCAGCTGGGAGAGGGAGAGAGAAGAAAGCAGGAGGGCTGTCACTAAGACCAGCCCTAGCCCACCTAAGTTCAGCCTGAGACCGTCCTAACTCCACCCTAATGGATGGAATTTATGGTACAATCTGGGGCCAGCACATCCTGGAGAAAGAAAAACTGGGGCACAGATAACGATGGCCTAAAGCCACACGTGCCCAGTCCATGTAGGCCATAACCCAGGGAAAACCCATCCTCATTATAGTCGTTATAATAAAATTTACATGTGGTTTTGCCTCTCTGAGTGGGCTTTTCTTAATGAATTATGGGTAAAAACATGCGCAGTTTAACTTCAGGGATATAACCATAAACTGCCAATCAAATGATATCATCCTGTCACTCAAACACAGCCCAAGCCTCAACTCCTCCAACAAACCCCATAAAAGCACCTTGATTTTTGTAAAGAGGGGCTGATTTTACTTCCCAGAAATGAGCCTGCTCTCCCTCAGAGTGTTTTACTGTGTTGCAATAAATCTTGCTGTAAGCTTGCATTTCAGTGTTAGTTTGCCTTTTTTTTTTTTTTTTGAGATGGAGTCTCGCTCTGTCGCTCGGGCTAGAGTGCAGTGGCGCAATCTGCCTCAGCCTCCCGAGTAGCTGGGACTACAGGCGCCCGCCACCATGCCCGGCTAATTTTTTTGTATTTTTAGTAGAGATGGGGTTTCACCGTGTTTGCCAGGATGGTCTCGATCTCCTGACCTCGTGATCCATCTGCCTTGGCCTCCCAAAGTGCTGGGATTACAGGTGTGAGCCCAGCCTAGTTTGCAATTCTTTGCTCACTATCACAAGAACTGAGATTGCTGGTCCAGAGCTCCAGCTCTGTTGATCTTGGTTAAAGAATCCATTCCAACACAGGATGCCCGGTAACAATACCACTGGCAGAGATGAGGAAGCCCGGGGGACAAGTGACAGATTTTGAGATGGGTGTCAGCAATTAGAAAGTTATTTGTGCTGGGCGCGGTGGCTCACGCCTGTAACCCCAGCACTTTGGGAGGCCGAGGCAGGCGGATCACCTGAGGTCGGGAGTTCGAGACCAGCCTGACCAACATGCAGAAACCCCGTCTCTACTAAAAATACAGAATTAGGCAGGTGTGGTGGCACATGCCTGTAATCCCAGCTACTTGAGAGGCTGAGGCAGGAGAATTGCTTGAACCCGGGAGGAGGAAGTTGCGGTGAGCCAAGATCACATCATTGCGCTCTAGCCCAGGCAACAAGAGCAAAACTCCATCTAAAAAGAAAGAAAGAAAGAAAGAAAGTTATTTGTAATATAATAGATTTCAGGTGTAATACCTGAGTGGAGATAGTGAGTAGGCAGATGAATTTTTTTATCCTGGAGTTCGGGGGAGAATCTGACCTGTAACTATACACTTGGGAGGAGGGATCAGCATATACACATTATTTCAAGGCATGGAGAGAATGTGAAGAAGCCCAAAATTGAGCTCTGAGGAACACTAACTTTTCAATGTTGAGTGCAGCGGGAGGAGTGTAGCAGAAACTAATTGAGTCCATATATATATACATATATACACACATATTTTAAATTAAGATGAGTTACACTAGAGCCTGTTTGTATGGTGTTAATGGTCCAGAACAGAAGGCTGACAATTTAGGAGAAGGATCAACAAAATATCAAAATCTCAGAAAATGCAGGTGGTAGCCAGGCACTCACACCTTGTAATCTCAACACTGGGAGGCAGAGGTGGGAGGATCACTTGAGCCCGGGAGTTCAAGACCAGCCTGGGCAACATACGGAGACCATGTCGCTACACAAAAATAAAAAATAAAAATTAGCTGGTGTGGTAGCACATGCCTGCTGTTGTCCCAGCTACATGGGAGGCTGAGGTGGGAGGATTGCTTGAGGCCGGGAGGTCAAAGTTGCAATCAGTCGTGATGGTGCACTCCAGCCTGGGCAACACAGTGAGACCCTGTCTCTTTAAAAAAAAAAGGAAAAAAAAAGCAGGGGGATGGGCTGCAGGAGCTTAGGTGTAGGGATCGGCGTAAGTGTGGCTGGAGGTAGGTTTGTCTGCTTGGTGGAGGGAGGAGGGAGCTTATGTCTTATGGCTTCACTTTCCTAAGTGGATTATACATGAGGCAGAAAGGGAGTGTGAGAGGGCTGACTGTGCACGTGAGCTGATGTGGGGAAAAGCAAAGCAAGCCTACTAGAGATTCAGAGTAGCATCCTTTGGTAACATTGTGTCCGTTTGAGCTTTATCATCATTAAAGTGAAATCTGCCAGCTCAGTTGTAATTTTCTTCTGGGAATATTCAGCTCTTCAGGTGCAGGTAACAGGCAAAGGGAAGGGCTCACCCAGATCTGGTGTCTTAAACAGGGAAGTGCCTCAGGGGGAGAGAATGCCAGGATGGAGGGTGTTCAGGAAGGTGATTGTGGCAAGGGACCATGTGACAGCCTGGGTAAGCTGGGAGTGACCTGATAGCACCGAGGGAGGCTGAGAATGCCTGCTCATGTATTTCAGGAAATAAACAGGAAATGGTGTTCAGGAAGTGCTGGACTGTGTAGCCTCCAAGAAAGCAGGCCCCAAGGCTGTACTGTCAATGCTTGTTTTTTGTTTTTTTTTTTTTGAGACGGAGTCTCTGCCGCCCAGGCTGGAGTGCAGTGGCGGTATCTCGGCTCACTGCAACCTCTGCCTCCTGGGTTCAAGTGATTCTCCTGCCTCAGCCTCCCGAGTAGCTGGGATTACAGGCACGCACCACCAGGCCCAGCTAATTTTTGTATTTTTAGTAGAGATGGGGTTTCACCATGTTGGTCAGGCTCGTCTCGAACTCTTGACCTCCCGATCCTCCCGCCTCGGCCTCCCAAAGTGCTGGGATTACAGGCGTAAGCCACTGTGCCTGGCCTGTCAATGCTTGTCTTTTTAGCTCCTAACAGTACCTGGCTCACTGCACGTGTTCACCAATGTTTGTTGAGCTGCACTTGTCAAAGTGAAGGTGGTGCTATGAAGTCAGTGGATGTCTTGGTCTGGCTAAGATGCTAATTTCTGACCTACTTGGTATCTGCCATGCTGGGCCACTTTGTTGGGTAATGAAGTCCATCAGTGAAGACAAACAGCTGAAACACATGACTAGGGACAAGGACAAAATGACCAAGAACTGAGCCAAGAACTCGAATAATGCATAGTCAAGGCTGTTTAAAAACAATTTTATGGGCCAGGTGCTGTGGCTCACGCCTGTAATCCCAGCTACTCTCAGGAGGCTGAGGCAGGAGAATTGCTTGAACCCGGGAGGCGGAGGTTGTAGTGAGCCGAGATCACACCACTGCACTCCCGCCTGGGTGACAGAGACTCTGTCTCCAAAAAACAAACAAAAACAAAACCAATTGTACATGTTCCACAGCCTTAGTTCTTGTGAGGTGGGTATTGTCTTTCTCTTTTTACCTTTGTTCGCTTTCTGAGTCACTTTCTTTAGTAAAAGGTGAGATTTATAGGATCTGAAACCAGAACATTGACTCACTTTTTTTTTGAGACAGTCTCACTCTGTCGCCAGGCTGGAGTGCAGTGGCGTGATCTCGGCTCACTGGAACCTCCGCCTCCCAGGTTCAAGTTATTTTCCCACCTCAGCCTCCTGGGCAGCTGAGACTACAGGCGCAGACCACCACACCCGGCTAATTTTTGGTAGAGATGGGTTTTCACTATGTTGGCCAGGCTGGTCTCGAACTCCTGGCCTTGAGTGATCCACCCACCTCAGCCTCCCAAAGTGCTGGGATTACAGGCATAAGCCACCATTGCCCAGCCTCTGTTAATTTTTTTTTTTTTTTTTTGACACAGGGTCTCTGTCACCCAGGCTGGAGTGCAGTGGTGTGATCTCAGCTCACTGCAACCTCTGCCTCCCAGGTTCAAGCGATTCTCTTACCTCAGCCTCTCAAGTAGCTGGAATTACAGACACACGCCACCATGCCCAGCTAATTTTTTTTTGTTTGTTTTTTTTTTTTGGTAGGGATGGAGTTTCATCATGTTGGCCAGGCTGGTCTCAAACTCCTGACCTCAAGTCATCCGCCTGCCTTGGCCTCACAAAGTGCTAGGATTACAGGTGTGAGCCACTATGCCCGGCCTCTTCAGGCTTTGATGTATCTTACCAAATTGCCCTCCAAAAGGAACATAAAATTTATATTAAGTTCTTCTCCATTTGAAATATCTCGGGTGGTTTTGCTTTCCTGATTGATGGAATAGCCCACCATTGAAATTATCTTTGAATATCCAACAGGAGTTGTGTGTTGACACTGACACATTTTTTTTTCTTTTCTTTTTTTTTAGGAGTCTGGTCTGTCTCTGTTGCCCAGGCTGGAGTACATGGTACCATCATAGCTCACTGCAGCCTCAAACTCCTGAGCTCAAGTGATCCTCCCACCTCAGCCTCCTGAGTAGCTGAGACTATCGGCTGCACTACCACACCTGGATAGCACCTTTCGATAAGTATAACAGAGTGTCCCCTCCCCTCCTCTCCCTCCACCCCTCCCTCCTTCCCTTCCTTCCTTCCTTTTTACAGAGACAAGTTCTCACTATGTTGCCAGGCTGGTCTCGAACTCCTGGGCTCAAGTGATACTCCTGCCTTGGCCTCTCAAAGTGCTGGGATTAGACGTGAGCCACTGTGCCTGGCCTAAGTCAGTATTTCTACAAGCAATGGAAGAGATTGCTGATTTTTGTTTGTTTTCAGTTAAATACCAGGTAAGTTCAATGACTTGCTTTGACAGGACATCTTATATGAAAAATACCTATCTTTGAACACTAGAATCAAACTCAGGAAGTTGAGCTATGTACACTATGATAGGTACAAGGGAAAGAGACCGGTTTGAGAGAACAGTGGATTCACAACTTCCATCTAACACGAATGTGATCCATATATACATGGAGAGCAGACATCTAAACAACTGGAAACACAGCAGAAGGGCATGCTTTTTCGAAATTGTTACCTTTCTCATTTTCGCTCAGTACCCATATAGCTGAACTCACGTAATGAAATGTTCATAGAATGTGACCCTATTCTCTGCTACAATTAGAGGGATTTGTGAAACTTTTGTCATTTAATAAAACCATTAGTTGTAATTATTTATTAAATCAATTCATATGTTCCTCTCTTTTCACATTCAAATACGTTTTAATAGGAATGGCAATATATTTTAATGCTCCAGAGGAAAGAGTAGAACTCTGGCCATTGTACATTCTTTATTAAACATCAATACTGAAAACAGATTTACTGACATATGTATATAAATATAATCAAACTGAGAAAAAGGGACAAGAAATAGTAATCTCTCTCTCTCATGCGGTGGTGCGATCTTGGCTCACTGCAACCTCCACCTCCTGGGTTCAAGCAATTCTCCTGCCTCAGCCTCCCAAGTAGTTGAAATTACAGGTGTGCACTACCACACCCGGCTAATTTTTGCATTTTTAATAGTGACAGGTCTTCACCATGTTGGTCAGGCCGGTCTCGAACTCCTGACCTCAGATGATCCACCGGCCTTGGCCTCCCAAAGTACTGGAATTACAGGCGTGAGCCATGCATGGCGCCTGGCCTTCGCTTTCTTTTTCTATGTCCTCTCCTTCACTATCGTCTTCATAATAAAAGATGTCTCGAAATGGGAAAACTTGCTTGGGTGCTGCAGGAGTCTGGATTTTAGTGCCTTTTTTCTCCATCATTTTTTCTAACTTTTCCTTCAGCAAAGGTAGAGTCGTCTCATAAAGGTAGTCGATGATCTCTACAGAAAAGAAATTTAATTGTGCAGTTATCTGTCTGTACAAGGCCTCTTATCAAGGTCGAGGCATACAGGAGGCTGGTAATGAATATGAACTGCTCTTGTTATTGCTGTGTGTAAGGTCTGGTTCCAATTGGTTTACCCACATTCACTTCTTCAATCCTTGCAAAAATCCTACGAGGTAGGCACTGTTTTTAACTTGTTTTTCAATTGAGGAAACCAAGGCATAAAGACATTAAGAGACTTGCCCGAGGCCTTGGAATTCATAAGGATTCAAACTCGGGTAGTGATGTCTGCTGAACGCAAAGACGCATTTCATCACAGCCCAGGGTACGATATCACCCAAATGGCAGGTCCAGGAGAAATACCAGTGCCGTGCAGACTGCATGAGAGAGCACAGGCCTGCAAGCTCGTTAGTGAAAATCCAGGTTCTGGACTCGGTCTAGAGACTAGGAATTGGTACGTAGGTCTGAAATGAGGCCCAGAAATCTGTATCCTTTTTTTTTTTTTTTTTTGAGATAGGGTCTCGCTCTGTCACCCCAGCTGAAGTGCAGTGGTGCGATCACACTCACTGAAGCCTGGAACTCCCAGGATCAAGCAATCCTCCCACCTCAGCCTCCCCCTCCCACCTCAGCCTCCCAAGTAGCTGGGAACACAGACAAGCACCACCATGCCTGGACACTTTTTGTATTTTTTGTAGAGATAGGTGTGTGTGTGTGGGAGGGTCTCTCTTATGTTGCCCAGGATGGTCTTGAACTCCTCGTCTTACAAAGTGTTGGGATTACACACATAAGCCACTGCATCTGGCCAGAAATTTGTGTTTTTAACAAGTTCCTCACATGGCTCTGATGATCTGAGTTTGGGACTTACATATCTAAACCACCCACAAATGGCTACAAAGAAGGAACTGGGTGTCTTTTATTCTTTCTGGAATATGTGTATGCTTCTGTGTATGTGTGTACATGCATGTGGTGTGTGTGAGTGCATGCATGTGGTGAGTGCATGCATGTGGTGTGTGAGTGCATGCATGTGGTGTGAGTGCATGCATGTGGTGTGAGTGCATGTGGTGTGAGTGCATGTGGTGTGTGTGAGTGCATGCGTGTGGTGTGAGTGCATGTGGTGCATGTGAATGCATGTGGTGTGAGTGCATGTGGTGTGTGTGTGAATGCATGTGGTGTGAGTGCATGTGGTGTGTGTGAGTGCATGTGGTGTGTGTGAGTGCATGTGGTGTGAGTGCATGTGGTGTGTGTGAGTGCATGCATGTGGTGTGAGTGCATGCATGTGGTGTGTGTGAGTGCATGTGGTGTGTGTGAATGCATGTGGTGTGTGTGAGTGCATGCATGTGGTGTGAGTGCATGCATGTAGTGTGAGTGCATGTGGTGTGTGTGTGAATGCATGTGGTGAGTGCATGTGGTGTGTGTGAGTGCATGTGGTGTGTGTGTGAATGCATGTGGTGTGAGTGCATGTGGTGCGTGTGAATGCATGTGGTGTGTGTGAGTGCATGTGGTGTGTGAATGCATGTGGTGTGAGTGCATGTGGTGTGTGTGAGTGCATGTGTGTGTGAGTGCATGTGGTGTGAGTGCATGTGGTGCGTGTGAATGCATGTGGTGTGTGTGAGTGCATGTGGTGTGTGTGCATGTGGTGTGAGTGCATGTGGTGTGTGTGAATGCATGTGGTGTGTGTGAATGCATGTGGTGTGAGTGCATGCATGTGGTGTGTGTGAGTGCATGTGGTGTGAGTGCATGTGTGTGTGAGTGCATGTGGTGCGTGTGAATGCATGTGGTGTGAGTGCATGTGGTGTGTGTGAGTGCATGCATGTGGTGTGAGTGCATGTGGTGCGTGTGAATGCATGTGGTGTGAGTGCATGTGGTGTGTGTGTGAATGCATGTGGTGTGTGAGTGCATGTGGTGTGTGTGAGTGCATGTGGTGTGAGTGCATGTGGTGTGTGTGAGTGCATGCATGTGGTGTGTGTGAGTGCATGTGGTGTGTGTGAGTGCATGTGGTGTGTGTGAATGCATGTGGTGTGAGTGCATGTGCGTGTGAATGCATGTGGTGTGTGAGTGCATGCATGTGGTGTGAGTGCATGTGGTGTGTGTGAGTGCATGTGGTGTGTGAATGCATGTGGTGAGTGCATGTGGTGTGTGTGAGTGCATGTGGTGTGTGTGTGAATTCATGTGGTGTGAGTGCATGTGGTGCGTGTGAATGCATGTGGTGTGTGTGAGTGCATGCATGTGGTGTGAGTGCATGTGGTGTGAGTGCATGTGGTGTGTGAATGCATGTGGTGTGAGTGCATGTGGTGTGTGTGAGTGCATGTGGTGTGTGTGAATGCATGTGATGTGAGTGCATGTGGTGGGTGTGAGTGCATGTGGTGTGAGTGCATGTGGTGTGTGAATGCATGTGGTGTGAGTGCATGTGGTGTGTGAATGCATGTGGTGTGAGTGCATGTGGTGTGAGTGCATGTGGTTGGTGTGAGTGCATGTGGTGTGAGTGCATACGTGTGTGAGTGCATGCATGTGGTGTGTGTGAGTGCATGTGGTGTGAGTGCATGTGGTGTGTGTGAGTGCTTGCATGTGGTGTGGTGCACGGGCATGTCATGTGTGCATGTGCTGTGTGCACGAGTGTGTGTGTGTGATGGCAACACCAGCAGGACTCAGTTATTTACAGAGTGGTCGCTAAGTGTCAAGCACCGGGATGACCACACCCTACACGTTCATGCTTCATTTAGGACTTCTGGAAGTCCTGTCAGATAGGGATTATAATCTGCCTGTTTCCACCATTTTGCAGCTGATGAAGCTGAGGCTCTAAGTCCAGTCACCTGCCTAGGTGACTTTCATTACCAGCATGTGGCACCAAATGCCATGTTCTTAGCCATATAAATATTAAGAATACTAACCTGGAAAAGTCTTTTTCTGCCAAAATGGAACATAGACAGCTTTCAGCCTAGAAAATTTAGTTTGAACGTAAGATGGAGGAACATCACTTTAGAAAAGGAAAGAAAAGATAAAAAGCAAGTTAGTTTAAAAATCTATCATTTCAATACAGTGTAGTAAGTACATTTATTCAGGTGAGGTTTATAGTTTTTTTTATCGTAAACATAAGATCATCATACATGTGTGATACAAATATGACACAATTTTTGTGGAATATGGAAAGCTATTGTTTATTTGGTTTAAAAAAATGTAAAGGGGAAAAAGAATCAGTAGTACAGAATGGATTCTATTTAAATTAAGATAACTTGTATCACTAGTCGAGAAGGCAAAGTATAGAAGGCAAAGTATAATGCCGGCTAACGGGCTGATGCTTACCTTGTGCTCAGCCCTGCCCTAAGCACCTTAACTGCAGCAATAAATAATCCTCACGACAACTCAAGGAGGGAGTTACCACTCTCTCCCTCGTGCTGGAGAGACGAGGAAACTGAGGCACAGAGAAGTTGCCCAAGCTCACATGGCTAATCAGGGATAGAGCTGGGACTTCATCAAGTAGTGTGACTCCAGATCCTACCCTCTTAACCATTACACTCAGGACACATACATATTGGTCACAATTCAAAGACAGATGTTCCCTGATGTTTATTTCACAAAGCTAAAAAGAGCAGATGCTTATGAGGTTTTGGTACGTTTTCAATTTACAAAACATTTCAATTTACAATAAGTGGGTCAGAAATTATTCTTAAATTGTATTTTAAAGTAAAAAACCACTAAACTTTTTGGGCACTTTTTCCTAATAAAAGGGGAACATTAAAAAACAATTAACTAATCCAGTTGTTAAAATGATTAGCATGAAGAATTTGATCTGCTAAGTATGTAGAGGTAAAAGATGATCAGATTCTTCCGACCTCTTCATCACAGCAACCACTAGCTGAGGACGTATGTGCCAGGTACCAGACAATGTCTCTTTCTCGCATTATCTTCTTTTTTTTTTTTGGATGGAGTCTCGCTCTGTCACCCAGGCTGGAGTGCAGAGGCACATTCTCAGTTCACTGCAACTTCTGCCTCCAAGGTTCAGGTTGTTCTCCTGGCTCAGCCTCCTGAGTAGCTGGGATTACAGGTGCCCACCACCACGCCCAGCTAAATTTTTGTATTTTTGTATTTTTAGTAAAGATAGGGCTTCACCATGCTGGCCAGACTGGTCTTGAACTCCTGACTTCAGGTGACCCACCTGCTTTGGCCTCCCAAAGTGCTGGGACTACAGGCATGAGCCACTGCACCTGGCCCATTATCTCCTTTAGCCTTCCTGACAGCCTATTAAACCATAATGCAGATGAGGAAACAAAGGCTCAGACAAATAGGGAACAACTGCCCACAGACTTTAAGTGGAGTCCCTGGACTCTATGCCAAATCTGTCTCACTCTGAAACCCCAGCTCTACGGCAGCCTGTGCCTTTTCCCTTCCCATAATGCTGTGCGCCCAACATGCTGCAGACCCAAGCCCATGCTTCAGGAAGCAACAAGAACTGATCTGGACGTTTTAAAACCAAGCAAGTGTTACACCTCATTAGGTGGAGATGCTATCCTTAAATCCTGCCTATATAATTCACAAAGTCTTTAAGAATCTGAGGAGACTGAACCTTCAATATAATTTTTACCATTTTGTTATTAAAACTTTGAGAGTACGTAGTATTTCAAATAGTATTTGACTAGATGCCATAATCTCTATCTTAGAGTTTTGAGATTCGTAAATCTGAAATAGGTAATCAGTTCATCAGTTACCCCCTACCTGGATTTTGTGGGGCCCTTTTATTTATTTTTATTTAATTTATTTTCTTGAGACAGGGTCTCACTCTGTCACCCAGGCTGGAATGCAGTGGCGTGATCTCGGGTCACTGCAACTTCTGGCTCCCAGGCTCAAGCGATCCTCCCACTTCAGCCTCCAGAGTAGCTGGGACAACAGGCATGTGTCACCACGTGCAGCTTAATAATCAGTTTTTAAACATGTAATTTTATTTAAAACCATAAAAACCCATTTTAGTTTTAAAAATCATGTGATCTGAAGAAATGTCACAAAGCATACACAAATTTAATGGAAAAGCTGAATTTTTTTTTTTTTTGAGATGGAGTCTGGCTCTGTGGCCCAGGCTGGAGTGCAGTGACGCAATCTCGGCTCACTGCAACCTCCTCCTCCTGGGTTCAAGCAATTCTGCCTCAGCCTCCCCAGTAGCTGGGATTACAGGTACCTGCTACCACGCCCAGCTAATTTTTGTATTTTAGTAGAGATGGGGTTTCACCATGTTGGGCAGGTTGGTCTCAAACTCCTGACCTCAAGCAATCCACCCGCCTTGGCCTCCCAAAGTGCTGGGATTACAGGCGTGAATCACCACGCCCGGCCGAAAAGTTGAATTTTTAAAAAGTGGTTTGACATTATAAAGGGCTTTGTCAATGTAAGTCGTTCTCAAGATGGGAGCTGGTGGGGTGCACATCAGCGTCACCTCCTTCAAAGCACCTGGCACCCTCCCTGCTTGGGGCCTATGATGCTGAAGAGTGGGCACCCTGCCCCTCAGATGAGCTAGAAAAGAAAAGACTTTGGGACCACGGCATGTATCTGTGAGTCCTGGCAGGGCCTGGACTAAGAATTTCCAATTCTCCACATTCAAGAAGGAAGAGACGGATTGTCCTTTCTTGTTTGGTTATAATCCCAAACCATAAATAACTAACCACCAGAACCAGTTTAAACCCTCCCTAATGGTTCCGCAGAATATTGACTAGAAACAAAACAAAATCTTTCCTAATGGACCAATGGCGACCTCACACCAGTAGCCACACTTCTGGAAGTCAGCCAGGCTGCAGCAGCCTCACCCCACTGTCTACCTTCCAAAACCAAAGGCCAAACAATCCCTCAACATCCCTGCATCTGAAAGTCACTGATCCCCGAGCCCCATGATGCTCGGCAACACGTAGAGGGCCTGTGCTCTGCAGCCCAGCTCTCCCTTGCGTAGCAAGCAGTAAGTTGAGATATCGAGAGTGGTGGGCCCTCCAATCGCAGGAACTGATTAAAATGCAAGAGCTATGTGCAGTGAAGGCTCACAGTGAAGGGAAAGAGAGACAGCTTATAAACACAAGAGCCATGTTCAATCTCACTTCTCACATGAGAAATGCAAATGAAAACCACAAGGAAACTGACAGAAGCTTAAAGAGGAACAGGATCTTTATATAGTCTTAAAATGTCTTCCCACAGCCATTTCTTACCACCAAAGGAAGAACCAGTATTTTTATACAGTGGGGAAAAGAGGCAGATGCTGCCTTAGCTAAATAATAAAAAAAAGTCAAAACGAGAATTATGTACCTTGTGACGTAATGCAGTGATAGCAAACATCAGGAATATGCTGTACTCCTGCCCGAAGGACACAGCCTGAATCTCCTCAAGAGGAAATACCAGACAAGTGCCAACTGCGGACATTCTACAAAACACCTAGCCTGTATTCCTCCAAAATTTCACTACCATCAACAGCAAAGATGGACGATCTTCATAGATTAAAAGACAGTAAGGAAGGCCGGGCATGGTGGCTCACGTCTGTAATCCCAGCACTTTGAGAGGGATTAAGGCCAGGAGTTCAAGCATAGCCTGGGCAACATGGCAAAACCCCATCTCTACTAAAAATACAAAAAAAAAAAAAAAAAAAAAAAGTCAGGTGTGGTGGCTCACGCCTGTAATCTCAGCAATTTGGGAGGCTGAGGTGGGTGGATCACTTGAGGTAAGGAGTTTGAGACCAGCCTGGCCAACATGGTGAAACCTTGTCTCTATTAAAAATACAAAAATTAGCCAGGTATGGTGGCAGGTACCTGTAATCCCAGCTATTCAGAGGCTGAGACAGGAGAACTGCTTGAACCCGGAAGGTGGAGGTTGCAGGGAACCGAGATCACGCTGTTGCACTCCAGCCTGGGCAACAAGAGTGAAAATCCGTCTCAAAAAAAAAAAAATTAACTAATTAAAAAAAAAACTAGCCAGGCAGGGTGGTGCATGCCTCTAATTCCAGCTATTTAGGTGGCTGAGGCACAAGAATTGCTTGAACCTGGGAGGCAGAGGGTGCAGTGAGCTGAGATCACACCATTGTAACTCCAGCCTGGGCAACAGAGTAAGACTCTTGTCTTCAAAAAAAAAAAAAAAAAGGACACTAAGGAAATGGAACAATTATTAAAGGGGGAAAATGCTATCAAGGACATTACTGGGACAACTGGTGAAATCTGAATGTGGACTATGTTTTAGAGGGTGTACTATATCAATGTGAAACTTCCTGATTCTCGATTGTACTATGGTTATGTAAAATAACATCCTTGCTTGGGAAGTGGTATCTGCCACTAACTCTTGAATGGTTATGGGAAAAACCGTATTCCCTTGGAGGAGGGAGAGAGGGATGATAAAGTGAACGTAGCAGAATGTTCAGAAGAGGCGACTATGGGTAAAGGGGATGCGGGGTTCTTTCTGTTACTCTTGCAACTTGTTTAGCTTTTTGAAGCCTTTAAGAGACTTTGCATACATTTCATTTGCCTTTCTTGGGTGTCTTCGGTGGCAGGTGGGCTGGAGGGAGGGCTGGTCTGATTTATTTGGTCCAGAGCACAGAGACTGGAAGTCTCGAATAAACACACACATTGCAGCTTTCCTGTTCTGTGGCGCTGGCACACCACCCTGCAACCACGCAGTGTTTCCTCACCCAAGACTGTATCTTGGCGCTTTCTTTGCCCCACCACCGAGGGGCTTTCTCATGATTTTTTGTAGCTATAAAGAATGTCACTATATGGGTAAAATACATATATAGCCAGTCCCCTATTAACAGGCCTTTTGCAGTCAGTTACTCTGTATACAAGTCATTTCATGTATGTGTGAAGTTGTTTTGTAGAATGTATTTCTAGAAATGGAATTACTAGAATTATTTGAATTTTGAATGGTACTAAGGCTGCAAAGTATGTAAAATTTACCAAAACAGATAACAGTAATTGGAGGGAGTGAATGTAGATGTTTAATAAGGACGGCTGGATTTTGACAGTTGCTGAACTGGGGTGATGGGTACATGAAGCTTCATTTATTTTGTATCTGTCTAAAATTTTCCTAATAAAGTTTCTGAAAAAAATAATTGGGCATTGCTAATAAAGCAGTACTTAGAAGAAAACATATGGCCTTAAATGTATATTACAAAGAAAGAAAAATGGAAAATGAGCTAAGAACCCATCTCAAGAAGTTGAAGAACAGCAGCAAAATAAACTCAAAGAGAGCTGAAGGGAGGGCGTGATAAAGAGCTGACATTAGAATAATCACAAGATAGGGTCAACGCAATCAAAGCTGGTGCTTTGAAAAGACAATCTCTGGTAACTCCTATTCAAGCAGTAACAAAAGAGAGTAGGTATAAATAGCCAACATTAGCCATCAGAACATCACTCAGATCCTGCAGACATTTTGCATAAACCATCTACGGAAAATAGATACTGGTTTCCTGTAGGGCTACGCGTGGCTGGTGAGTGGTAAGGGGACACTTTTCACTGTGTTTCCTTTCAGGTTTCTTTCTTTCTTTCTTTTCTTTTGAGATGGAGTCTTGCTCTGTTGCCCAGGCTGGAGTGCAATGGCATGATCTCGGCTTACTGCAACCTCCGCCTCCTGGGTTCAAGCGATTCTCCTGCCTCAGCCTCCTGAGTAGCTGGGACTACAGGCACCTGCCATCATGCCTGGCTAATTTTTGTATTTTTGTAGAGACGGAGTTGAACCATGTTGGCCAGGCTGGTCTTGAACTCCTGACCTCAGGTGATCTGCCCACCTTGGCCTCCCAAAGTGCTGGGATTACAGGCAAGAGCCACCGTGCCCAGCCTACGTTTCTTTAATTCTGGACTACGTAATCTATTACCTATTCCAGAAAAACAGCAAAATCAAACTGAACAGTCAAGTCCTTTTTCCTTATGGGTGGGGCATGATATTCAGTTCTGTATTTGAATTGTTACACACAACTAAAACGTTCTAACTGGGAACCGACCAAGTCATTTAACCAGCGCTAAAGCACGGGGTCTCGGCAGGGTAACACATCTGAGTCACCTGGAGCTCTGAACAATCCTGACAGCCAGACCCCACACCAGACCAATCCCATTCATGCGAAGCCAGACCCCACACCAGACCAATCCCATTCACGTGGCACTGGTATTTTTTAAAAGTTCCCCAGATGATTTTGAAGTGAGAGCTGGGCTGAAAACCAGAGAATTGCTAGTGTTTACAAAGTTCCAAATTGGGTACACAAAGGTAACTGGAACTCCTGGATGTCTGGAGCGTGTGCTGAGTTGTCAACTGTCTGAAGTCCCCTGAGGCGTGGGAGTCTGGCCTGCACACGCACCCAGCCCATCGCTGCCGTCATTTTACTCACTGTTCTGGGCCACCTGGTCCCTTTCCAGTCCCTTGAATGTGCCCAGCCAGTGCTGGCTCAAGGTGTCCGCATTCACTACTCTCTGTCCGAACATCTTCAGTCTCATCCCCGCATGGCTACCCTGCCACCGCTTCTGCTTCCATAGTCTTCCCTAACCACTCTATCTGATTGCCCCCGACGTCCCTTCTACTCTATTTTTGTTTTCTTTTTGGTACCATGCTATCTGAAATGAGCTTATTTGTTTACAGTCTCTTCCCAGAACTAAATGTGAGTTCCTACTCTGTGCCTGGTATACAGAAGGTAGTCAATAATTATTATTAGTTTGATATCGTTATCATCAATGTAGTTTTTAGGTTAATTCTATACTATACAAAACTTGGCATTTGTGTCAGCAGAATGGATGCTCTACCAGGCAAGGAACTTGTCTTTTGTTCAATGCTGTATCCCCAGAGCCTAGAAAAATGCCTGGCATATAGGCACCTCGTATTTGGTGGGTGAAGAGTAATTCTGAGCCTTTGATTTTTCAATAATTGGAATTGATAAAAGGTATGTACTGGGAAAATTCACTTCATTGTTACTAAAGTACCTATAATATCACCTCCAATGCCTGCCAAGGTCAACTCGACTGTATGGTAATACTTCCTTACACGATTATTTTTCCACTGGAAAACTGAAATAGGAGGGAGGTGGGTGGGCCATAGGTATTATGCTCTAGCTAAAATCTGTAATCACAAAACACCTGAGGCGTGATGATCTATGTGACACTAAAAAAAGGGAAGAAAAATGAAAAACATATCCAACTAGTGATGTATTTAGTGTCATGAAAACCTGATCTACCTAGCAGCTCAGAGCCTTTACGTATACACTGCTCCTAAAATTACAGTTTCCTCTGCACTAACAAATTGGTTTCCTAGCAAATACACTGAATTTTAACCACCACTTATACAAAATTCCAAATGCAGCATCATTATCAGCCCTGTAAGATGATAGGGAGTTATTGTATTTATTAAGTCATCTCTATATTTTAATTAGTTTAATATTAAACAAATGGTCTTACCCTATGGCACTAGCAAGATCTTCCCAGTCTATTTCATTAGTATCTTCCACATTTATTTCATACAACCTGTGAGAAAAAATAAAAATTAAATTTTCAAGCAAAAATAATCATGATAGCCATCTTCATGGACGCGTGGAGTGCTGAGAGCTGGAAGGTATGTGCGCTTTCGCCGCATTCCAGCTCCCTCGTTACACATGCACAGTGAGCTCAGCATCCCAGCCCAAGGTTAATCCAGGTCAGTCAGTTGGTGGGCTACAGAGATGGGCTGAAAAGACCTCTTTCCTCTTTCTGAGCCCTTTGTTTCTCTCAACAAACCATGTTGCTTTCTCACAGTAAAAAACACCACCTCATCATTCAACATAGACACACAGTAAGAGGACATCTGTACTATGTGACAGACACTGTGAAGGTCTTTTTTTTGATACAGGGTCTCGCTCTGTCACCCTGGCTGGACTGCAGTGGCGTGATCGTGGCTCACTGCAGCCTCGACCACCTGGACTCAGGCAACTCTCCCACCTCAGCCTCTCAAGAAGCTGGAACCATAAGCACGTGGCACCATGCCCGGCTAATTTTTTAGATTTTTTGTAGGGATGGAGTCTTGACATGTTGCTCAGGCTGGTCTCAAACTCCTGGGCTCCTCCTGCCTTGGCCTCCCAGTGTTGGGATTATGGGCGTCAGGCACCACGCCGAGCCAAGTTAAGACCTTAAAGTGCGCAAATTCATTTACAGTAACCCTCCCCCCCCAATCTACAGACAGGGAAATGGTGCCAAGAGACACAGTCATGGGCTCCAGATTGCATGACTAATAGGTGGGGCCGACACTGGAACCCAGGCCTGCTTGACTTGAGATGCCCTTCTTGGATCTGGTAATCTATGCTGCCTCTCTAGCAGGGAAGACTGGGCGGGGGCATAACCACCCCCCGATCCACCCCTAGGAAAGAGGATCAGGAAACCCACAGTGAGCCTTAGGCAGGGCTCACGTGTGAGGCAGAGGGAATGAAGGCGGACAGCAAGGCCAGAACCCACAGGCTTCTGCTGCTCTTTCCTGTTCCTCAGTCGACATGGGCCAGGTCCACTAGTCTCACACGCATCACGAAACGGGCCCATGTCTCCCTTTTCCTCGTCACCCTTCAACACTTTAGGGGGGACCCTGCATGGACAAGGAACTCAAAGACAAAACCAAAGACAAGCAAGGGTGACACCAACAAGCTCATGCTGGAGCACAGGAGGGCTCTGCCTGAGTCATTTACCCCCATTTTCCAACGGGCGTAAATAATTTATATCCATATGAAATGCTTCAAAGACTAAAATACACGGAGTATACAGTATGTTTCACACGTTATTTTCTTTTATCCTCCTGAAAGCACTAAGAGCTAGGTACGATTATCGTCATCCTCAGTAGATGAGTTAAGATGAGTAAACTGAGACTTAGAAGGGTAGGTCATATGCCCACAATACATGCGGAAAGTGCTGGAACAGGGATTTGGACCTTGGCAATCTCACTGCAGACTCTGCTGGGTTAACAACTTCTCTTTGGCTAGAGACAGAAACAGTTAAGAGGCATCCGTTTCTATTTTTCATACCTTTCAATAAGGCTGACCTTGGCCCGCAGGGCATTCATGCCATAGTAGATACGCCGACCATTAGTCATCCTCTTGGTTAGAATTTCTGTCCTACATTAAAAGGAAGAAAAACATAGTTTACTTTCAAGGGTAGAGTTTTCATTAAAATATCCTATATTTTTCTTATCTAAATTGCTCTCATTCAGAACCAACTTCTAACTTTTCTTTTTTTTTTTTGAGACGGGGTCTCACTTTGTCACCCAGGCTGGAGTGCAGTGTCACGGTCTCAGCTCACTGCAACCTCCACCTTCCGGGTTCAAGCGATTCTCCTGCCTCAGCCTCCCGAGTAGCTGGGATTCCTTACAGGTGCGCACCACCACGCCCGGCTAATTTTTGTATTTTCAGTAGAGACAGGGTTTCACCATGTTGGCCAGGCTGGTCTCAAACTCCTGGCCTCAAGTGATCCACCTGCCTAGGCCTCCCAAAGTGCTGGGATTACAGACATGAGCCACAGTACCTGGACCTCAATGTATTTTGACTATCTATGCACAGACAGGCATTGCTCTTATTACCATTACCAGCCTTGGAACATCAAATAAGACAAATTTAGTAAAGTGAGAAATGATTTGATGATTCCTCTAATGCCGAAGCTAGTGGCTGCAGGCTGACTGAAGGTTCTAGTAAAGGCAGTGACCCAATTAAAAAGATTTTAAAAGTACTTATCTTGAATAGCAAAATTTGTCACAATCTGATAGATCATTAGCTGTTATATTTACATTCTTGGTAACGGAGATACACACGCTGATCAACAACATTGTTGCTCTTAATGAGAGCCATCCACGTTTACAGGGTTGAAATGTACCAGTGGAGGTCACTTCAATGTTACACAAGGTAAATAAACGTTCAGAGTTTAAGTTTCCTATTTTTATCTCAAATTAATAGCTAAATCTTGCACGTTATCTTAATTATGTTGATCTTGAACCAGTACTACCCTTAATGATTACCATGTCCTCCTTTTAACATTGGTATGTCATCCTCCACTTGAGGCTTATAACTCACTCTTCCTTTTTTTTTTTTTTTTTTGAGACGGAGTCTGGCACTGTCGCTGGGGCTGGAGTGCAATGGCGTGATCTCGGCTCACTGTAACCTCCGCCTCTTGGGTTCAAGCAATTCTCCTGCCTCAGCCTCCCGAGTAGCTGGGATTACAGATGCCCGCCATCCCGCCGGCTAATTTTTTGTATTTTTAGTAGAGGTGGGGTTTCACTATGTTGGCCAGTCTGGTCTTGAACTCCTGACCTTGTAATCCACCTGCCTCAGCCTCCCAAAGTGCTGGGATTACAGGTATGAGCCACCGTGCCCGGCCCTCACTCTTCCTTCTTTTAGCTAAAAATAGAGGTAAAAAGAGCTCTGGTTCCTCCAACATTCCCTGTTCTTTGGAGTTTATTCCCCTGGAGTTGTAAGGTATATAAACAGTATGATCTAGGAGTTTGCTTTTAACACAAAATATGTCTACTCTGGATTTTACTCCTATTTATTATTCAAGAGCCACTGAGTGCCCTTCATGTGCAAGGTAGGGGGGTCATGAGCATGCAGAACCACTGGTTTGAGGAGTTCGCTGCAGCTGGACATCCAGCTCCGCGACTCTCCAGGTCTTGGAAAAGCTATATCCAGCAAAGAATGTGTGGCAGAAGCAGGACTGAAACTGTCTCTATGTGACTGACGCAGCCAGGAGCATGCCTACCTCGCTTCATCTGAGGAACCGCAGAAGCAGAAAGCACATTAGAAGGGTGGAGCTGCTACTGATCACTACACTTGTGATTTCTCTCTGTATGTTAGTTTTCTATCTTTTTTCTCTCTATATATTTTTTATTTTTTTGAGACAGAGCCTCGCTCTGTTGCCCAGGCTGGAGTGCAATGGGGCGATCTCAGCTCACTGCAACCTCCACTTCCTGGGTTCAAGCGATTCTCCTGCCTCAGCCTCCTGAGTAGCTGGGACTACTGGTGGCTGTGAGCCACCACACTTGGCTAATTTTTGTATTTTTGGTAGAGACAGGGTTTTGCCACATTGGCCAGGCTGGTCTTGAACTCCTGCCCTCAAGTGATCTGCCTGCCTCAGCCTCCCAAAGTGTTGGGATTACACGCATGAGCCACTGCGCGTGGCCCCTTTTTTTCTAATGCTGCCAACAGATTGCTACCTTGTTTTATTAAAGACTTAGAAAGAGTGAAGAAATCAGAAGTCAATATTCAGTTTTAAAAAGGTTCAAGTTCTTTAGGAGAAAAGCATACACTCTTCAATGCATCAGGGCTAGTTACGTGCTCATTTAAATCAGAGAGTGATATGGAAGCAGCTGGGGCAGCAGACTAGACACGATTGTTCTTGACACGTCAGCTTCCCCACGGCAGTTACACAGATATTCTTGGTAACCTCACCTCTCCACAGAAGCTGGAGAGACAGAGAAAGAGAGAGGGAAGAACTTACCACTTACTTTTACACTGCATCCAATTTCTGGTTTGCACTTTAGCTTCTACTTCTACCCAAGATATGCCCTTGTAGAGTTTTTCCCGAACAATTGATAGGCAACTTTCAGGATTTTCTTGGAGTTTGGAATCCACCTCTTTTAACTCCTGGGGAGACATCTTCTTCAGAATCACTTCTTCGACAGCCTTGATTAGTTTCCGGGTTTCAGACTTACTCCAAGCACCACGATTTCTTTCTGTAGATATAAAAAGATGGTCTTATAGTAGCTAGTCTATTTGCTTTCAAACACAATATTAAAAATGAAATGATAAATCGGGTACTTTTCAGAAAATAATGTGCATCTCAATTATATAGACATAAAACAAACACAATTATGTGCATATTAAAATGAAATTACTAACACGGTCATGGATTCTTTTTAAGAACTAAAGCCTGAAATTATTCAATAAGTCCTTTCTTAAAGCAATGTTTTATTTATTTATTTCAAAACAGTTGTTCATCCTGTTTCTGAGAACGTCTCCCGCATCAAACTGTGAGGTTCCCAAACATTTAATGGGGGAAGAAAAGCCAGCCAAATGGCTTTTATGTTATGTACATGTCTCTTGGCCAAGAGTTCATAGTGTAACAATATAAATAGCTACACTGATACCAACACAGTACTTGATGAAGGCACCTGAGAATTTCTGAAGCCAGTTATCTGTGGCGGATGCCCCAAAGTATCAACGGTTCACCCTTCTTCACTAGAGACATTCACGGTCACGCTAAGTAAGGAGCGTCACACTGGCAGCTGTTTGGCTGTGCTTTTGGTCTGGCCACAGAATGTTACATTTTCCCCTCAATAACAATTTGGATGAATATTTAAAAATCAAGAGATTTCCAAAAAAGAAAAAAAGATAGCTAGAGTTCACAAAATTAAAAAAAAAAACAATTTAAGATTTTCCTCTAGTTCTTGGAAACTTGAAGAACTGGCTGCAAGGCACTAGCTGTGTGGCCGGAGTGTGTGAGCCCCTGTGCTAAACAGAAAACCCGGTCAGGACTGTCTTCTGAAAGGAAACCTTTTAGGAAAGAGGAGACACAGACAGGAGGTCACCAACACTGGTTCTGAGAAAAGTCCCCGCCTGACGGGCACGAACTGCGTGCCTGCCTCCCTCCCAACGTGTCCCGTGCCACTGCGGGGAAGTGACCCTCCGCCCAGGCTCTCCCACCACCAGTTTATTGGGGTCCTGGTCCACTTGGCAGTTATATTTGCACGGACAGTTACTGAAGTGTGGTAAAAACCAGCCTAGTGGGTAAAGGTCACATGGCTTCACTAAACACACGAGGAAACCAAACAAATTAGTATAGAGAACAGCTTAAGAAACAAAGCTCTTGCGGAAGACAGGTCTACGGTGATTTCCGGGCATTGGATCGGTTATGGCTGAACCAGGCCTGTCAGGGCTTATTTCTTCAGCGAGGTGGGCACTGGGGGCTGCCACTTACGACTGCTGATCTGTGAGAACTTGAGGGCCACGGAGAGGCTACTTCGGGCCACCATCTCACCAATCGTCTTCCAGTCATTCCCAAGGAGAGAATGGTACATCTTTAACTTCTCAGTATCTCCTTCGCTATACCTAGGAGAAAGGGAAAATGTTTTACAAGTTTAAACGAACTATCAGATTAAAAATGGTATTCTCATCCCAGTACGCAGCAATCGTGGGGAAAGCTGAATGGGGCAGGCTGTCAGGGAACCCGGTCACAGCCCTCTTCACTTCCTGTTGGCGTCTCACTGGTGGTCATCCTATCAATCAATCACTGAAGTGGAGACCAGAGGCCTGGCTCAACTGAACAGCAGCCGGAGCAATCACTTAGCCCTTCTTCAGCTCAGAGCCTCTGTCCCTGTGGTGGAAACGGCCTTCCTCCACCCGACCTGGACAGTGCCTGCATGCTCGCCAGTGCCGTTTAAAGGGTGCGTTTTCGGGGAGCGCCTCCCTGACCCCCTTAGCCTGAAGTCCCCGTTGATTGCTCCTGGAGAACACCGTGCTTCTCTTCCATAGCACTGGTCACAACCTGCACTCACACGTGCACTGGCTCCCTTGTTCATGCCTCTTCCTCCAGACCAGCACTGCCCAACAGAAACATAATACGAGCCTCTTACGGAGTTTAAGTTTCCTAGTAGTCATAGGAAAACTCACTTTACCTAGTTTTAATCAAAGGAACTTTAAGAATATATTTCTTACATGGACATGTTGCGTGATGAAAAACAAAAACAAAAAATAATATATTTCATTGAACTCAATACATTAAAAATGCCTATCATTTCAACACGTCATCAGTATCAAAAAATATCAACGATGTATTTTACATTCGGTTCTTCATCTTGAGCCTTCAAAACCCAGCATGTGTTTTACTCTGACAGCACATCTCAATGTGGACTAACTACATTTCAAATGTTCCACAGGCCCAGGAGGCTGCTGGTCACCATACTGGAAGACACAGCTCTAGAAGGGAAGTTCCATGAGGGCAGAGATCTTGTCGGTTTCGTATACTATGTTATCCATAATGCTTGACAGACAAAAGATGGCTTTACTGTATAAACTGCATAAACATGCAACAAATGGCTTTACTGTAAATATGTAACTACTTGAGAAATGTAAAGTGCATTCATCCTACATAAAAATACATGTTGGGAGCAAGCCCCCCCCGCAAACTGGCCATAAACAGAATCTCTGCAGCACTGTAACATGTTCATGATGGCCCTAATGCTCACGCTGGAAGGTTGTGGGTTCACGGGAATGAGGGCAAGGAACACCGGGCCCACCCAGGGCGGAAAACCGCTTAAAGGCATTCTTAAGCCACAAACAATAACATGAGCGATCTGTGCCATAAGGACATGCTCCTGCTGCAGTTAACTAGCCCAACCTATTCCTTTAATTCGGCCCATCCCTTCGTTTCCCATAAGGGATACTTTTAGTTAATTTAATATCTATAGAAACAATGCTAATGACTGGCTTGCTGTTAATAAATACGTGGGTAAATCTCTGTTCGGGGCTCTTAGCTCTGAAGGCTGTGAGACCCCTGACTTCCCACTTCACACCTCTATATTTCTGTGTGTGTGTCTTTAATTCCTCTAGCACCGCTGGGTTAGGGTCTCCCGGACCGAGCTGGTCTCAGCAAACACATATATTAAAGTACTAAGAAAAGCACTATAATATTATAAATGGATTTTAAGATTAAACACCTAAATATTTAAATAAATAAAAAGCAATCTTTATAACATCTTCAGATTCCTATCTGAGTAGGAATGGTGGTTTATGTCATCACTAAGAAGTCCTAAAAAATACAATTTCTTTTTTTTTTTTTCTTTGAGACAGGGTCTGGCTCTGTCACCCAGGCTGGAGCACAGTGGCATGATCATGGCTCACTGCAACCTCCACCTCCTGGGATCAAGCGATCCTCCCACCTCAGCCTCCCAAGTAGCTGGGACTACAGGTGCATACCAGGCTAATTTTTGTATTTTTTGTAGAGCCACGTTGCCCAGGCTGGTCTCAAACTCCTAATCCAGTGATCCGCCTGCCTCAGCCTCCCAAAGTGCTGGGATTACAGGCATGAGCCACCGCACCCAGCCAAAAACAAACAATAACATCGGAGCATTTTCAGACATTTGTCTGTAAATGCAGCGTATGGTGAATAGAAACTGGTTATTCTTCACTATTTTTTTTTTTGAGGCGGAGTCTTGCTGTGTTTCCCAGGCTGGAGTGCAGTGGCGCAATCTCGGTTCACAGCAACCTCTGCCTCACAGGTTCAAGCAATCTTCCTGCCTCAGCCTCCCAAGTAGCTGGGATTATAAGCGTTTGCCACCACGCCAGGCTAATTTTTGTATTTTTAGTAGAGATAAGGTTTCACCATGTTGGCCAGTCTGGTCTCGAACTCCTGACCTCAAGTGATCCGCCCACCTCAGCCTCTCAAAGTGCTGGGAATTATAGGTGTGAGCCACTGTGCCTGGCCTACTTTTCACTATTAAGAATCATGGCTGTAAGCCAGGTGTGGTGGCTCAAGCCTGCAATCCCAGCACTTTGGGAGGCTGAGGCAGGAGGATCACTTGAGGTCAGGAATTTGAGACCAGCCTGGTCAACATGGTGAAAGCTCATCTCCACTAAAAATATAAAAATTAGCTGGGTGTGGTGGCACACGCCTGCAGTCCCAGCCTCTTGGGAGGCTGAGGCAGGAGAATCGCTTGAACCCAGGAGGTGGAGGTTCCAATGAGCCGAGTTCGCACCACTGCACTCCAGTCTGGGTGACAGAGGGAGACCCTGTTCCAAAAAAAAAAAAAAAATTGCCAGGCACGGTGTCTCACCCCTGTAATCCCAGCACCGTGGGAGGCTGAGGCAGGTGGATCGCCTGAGGTCAGGAGTTCCAGACCAGTCTGACCAATATGGTGAAACCCCGTCTCTACGAAAAATACAAAAATTAGCCGGGCGTGGTGGTGGGTGCCTGTAGTCCCAGCTACCCGGGAGGCTGAGACAGGAGAATTGCTTGAACCTGGGAGGCGGAGGTTGCAGTGAGCCAAGATTGCGCCATTGCACTCCAGCCTGGGCGACAGACTGAGACTCCATTTCAAAAAAAGAAAAAAACAACAAAAAATCAACAACAAAAATTAAAAATTAAAATAATAATAATTCTTTGATTTTTTACTTTCTATTTTTTTGAAGTCAGGAATTGCTTGCTATAAAAATATTCTAAGGGTAAATGATCACCACAACACAAATAATACAGCACAAAGAGATGAACTGTTAGATTTTTAGAATGACTCTAAAAATTACTCTAAAAATTTCATTCCTGTGTGTGTGTCACAGGTGGAAATATATTACCTCAGCTGCCACCATTAACCTGCCAAAAGCATTCTTGTAAGTCCCATTTAAAATGTTACCTTTAGTGGATTTTCTTAAAAGTTCTGTTCACAATTGTCTAACCTCAGGATTGGGGAAAAACAGGCAGGGCAGGTCTCAGTCTGTGTGTGAACTTTCCTCACCTAAGGCTGATTTATTTCTGTAAAAATTTTAAAAAGGAAACCGAGGTCATATCAACGTTGGAAGTTTAAGTAATGACCTATGTCTCAGTTTACAATCACAGAGCTAAGCAGAACTCAACTGCCGCTGCCAGAAGATTTATGAAAGCTGCCTCTCAGAGAGAGGTCAAGCAGCTGAGTAGAAGGTAGTTTTCGGGGGCCGTGGAATCCGAGCTAACACCTTCCTGCTTCTCCTTCTGTCCCTGAGCAGAGTGCTAACGTGCTAACCCAAACGCTCGGTCTACGTTTGGTTTGTTTTTAAATGTGTTGGAAACAAATTATAATCCGATATTGTATTTGGGGAAAAGGAAGGAGAGAATGACAACCGGGTTAAGCACCCCAGGTTGATACCACTGAACTGCATTTAAGGGACCTAATCCCAGCACTTACCTCCACCTTCAAATAGTTACTAAAAACCCACAGCACTCTGCTAAGTGCTGAATGGAACATGTGTCGAGATGGGATGTTTGGGTTCACAAGGAGCTTATGACGTAAGCAGAGAGCAGAGTAAACAGGAGTCACAGCACATGAAGCAGCATATGGGGAGTGCTAAAGAAAAAGTGTAGAGAAAGCTGCAGATGCAGGAAACAGAAGGTCACCACAGCTTCACTAAAGAGGTGGGGATGGAAAAGGCCATGAAGACACACATTTGACAACAAATACACCACCTGGTTTCACACACACAAATCTGCGTTATCTTTACTGCTAATCCACTGCTGTGAATATTTTGATTTATGGTATCAGCAAAGACTAGAGAAATGTTGTCTCAAGCTGCTAAGACTTTTTTCTTACCTGCCTTTGTAATTGTTGACATCGAACATCTTCTTTGCTCGATAGTATATAAGTTTCCAGGGCCGGGCAATGTTCCTACCTAAAGTCAGAAGAAAGGTGATCAGAGGGACTCACATGAAATGAAGTCGCAATTGTAAAAGGAACCCAGAACAGCCCTTATAACAACATGAACTATCCTAAGCCCCGTGTTAAGGCTGGGATTTCCTACGTCCTGAAGAAAGCTGTCTTGTTTTTTTTGTTTGTTTTTTTTTTTTTGAGAGAGTCTCACTCTGTCACTGAGGCTGGAGTGCAGTGGCACTGTGTCGGCTCACTGCAACCTCCATCTCTTGGGTTCAAGCAATTCTCCTGCCTCAGCCTCCCGAGTAGCTGGGATTACAGGTGTCCACCGCCACGCCCAGCTGGTTTTTATATTTTTAGTAGGGACGGGGTTTCACTAAATGAAACCAGGCTGTTTCATTTGGTGAAGGCTGCTTCACCAAATGAACCAGCTGGCCAGGTTCATTTGGTGGCCAGGCTGGTCTTGAACTCCTGACCTCAGGTGATCCGCCCTCCTCGGCCTCCCAGAGTGCTGGGATTACAGGCATGAGCCACCGCGCCCGGCCTAAGAAAGCTGTCTTGAAGAGCAGATACACACAATCACCAGTTTCCTTGGAGATCTCCGAAAACTAAATGCTTAGTACCCTGAGGCTTCAGCTTCCGGTCTATGCAATTTGTGGAAAGAATCCTTAAGAGGCAAAGTAGTTTTAAGATAATGTGAATTAAGAGGAAGAGAACACTGCGGTGGAGAATACAGGGTAACAGTTTTCCAGAAGATGAACAATAATCTTTCCCAAATCAGCTTTTCTCACTTTCTCACTCTAAGGGGAAATAATCCCTCAACGGGGGCGTACTAGCCTGCTTTTCTTCGTGGATTCCACACAACACCTAAGAAATTATCCTCTTTAAATTCAAGAGAGATTTGCTTTCGCTCTGATCCCATATGACAGCATGACCTTCTAACTTCACAGGCAGCACCTCCAGTCGGAGGGTTCCAGTTACAAAGCACACATATGGCCACACTTAAAAAACACGGGAGACCATGGTGCGTATAAGGATGTGCTTTGTGTAGCGTACACAAAATATAAATAAGGAACAGGAGGAGAAACCAAAACCACAACTATTGCCAAGGAAGAAAGGTAAAAGTTGATCATTTAATTTTTCACCCTAAACTTGGGAGACATGAACACATTCCAAATCCCAGAAAGTACAGACTGGCAATAAGAATACCATCAGGGCTGGGCGCGGTGGCTCACGCCTGTAATCCCAGCACTTTGGGAGGCCGAGGCAGGCGGATCACGAGGTCAGGAGTTCGAGACCATCCTGGCTAACAAGGTGAAACCCCGTCTCTACTAAAAATACAAAAAATTAGCTGGGCGTGGTGGTGGGCACCTGTAGTCCCAGCTACTCAGGAGGCTGAGGCAGGAAAATCACTTGAACCCCAGAGGTGGAGGTTGCAGTGAGCCAAGATTGCACCACTGCACTCCAGCCTGGGCAACAGAACAAGACTCCGTCTCAAAAAAAAAAAAAAGAATATCATCAGCCATCACAGCAGTTAATGTGCGCCGCCTGCAGGCAATGGGCCAGGTACCGTGCTAACACTTACCATGGGTTATCTTGTTTATGGCTGGAAGGCTGTGGATGGTCAAAGGGTGATTGTTTCTAAACTTACCAATGTGTAATCTAAACGAGTATCTCCTTTTTAAGTTGGTGATCACAGATTTTTCCTCAGGATATCTGTCCGTGTACAGCAGCTTGTCTGCACTCTCAATGCCTGTCAGGGCTAGAAAGTCTTCCACATTTTTCTCTAACTGCTTATTTTCCTTTACAGAAAACTTGCCAAATTTAATAGCGACACCTAGAATTGGGAAGGAACAGGGAGAAAGTGTGTATTGTTAATAATGACAAAAGCAAACCTATGACTTGGTTTTTCATCAGCAATGACAGTACCTCGGCCCAACAGTCCCAACACCTGACATTCGCCCTCCTGCCCGCACTTGCAGATTTGGCCTTTCCTTCAGGGTTCAGCCCAAGCCACACCTCTTCTGTCAATGTCTTCCCGGGTCATCCTATTCCAAAGTGACCTTTCCTGTTTAATCTATCTTTTTAAAAAATAGTTTTCAAATTTATTTATGCATTCTTTAGAGATAGGGTCTTGCTTTTTCACCCAGGCTGGAGTGCAGTGGCATGATCAAAGTCCACTGCAACCTTGAACTCCTGGGCTCAAGTGATTCTCCTGCCTCAGCCTCCCGAGTAGCTGGGACTACAGGTGTGTGTGACACCTGGCTAATTTTTTATTTTTTGTAAGACGGGGTCTTGCTGTTTTGCCCAGACTGGTCTTAAACTCCAGGCCTCAAGCAATTCTCTTGCCTTGGCCTCCCAAAGTGCTGGGATTACAGGTGTGAGCCACCTCACTTGGCCTAGGTTTACTTTAAAAATATCTTATGGGCAAGGCACAGTGGCTTATGCATGTTATCCCAGCACTTTGGGAGGCCGAGACAGGCGAATCATGAGGTCAGGAGTTTGAGACCAGCCTGGTCAATAATATGGTGAAACCCCATCTCAACTAAAAATACAAAAATTAGCTGGGCTTGGTGGCAGGCGCCTGTAGTCCCAGCTACTTGGGAGGCTGAGGTGGGAGAACCACTTGAACCCAGGAGGCGTAGGTTGCAGTGAGCCGAGATCATGCCACTGCACTCCAGCCTGGGCTACAGAGCAAGACTCTGTCTCAAAAAAAAAAAAAAAAGAAAAAAAAAAAAGTCTTTTATGAAATACATACTCATAAAAATTTCAACACAATACACCAAAATGGGATTCTATACCACTCTATAATTGTGTGTACGTGGGTAGTGCTGTCTTTTTTGCTTAATTTGTCTTGTCTATTTTTCTGAATCTCTTCAATCCCATTAATTCTGGAAGGTTATGACTCCTCTTTTTACTTTTTTCAATGACCAGTTGTATTGGGTCTCACACAACAGATACTCAGTAAATATTGCTCATTTGTAGTATACAGCCTTAAATTTGCAGTTTATTCTTAAACCCAATAAGCTTTATTATTGGATTTAAGAATAATAAAGGTTATTTATTATTCTTAATAATAATAATTCTTAATAAGAGAGGTTCAGAAACACAGTGAAATCAAGAAGGTGATCAAGTCTACCACAACTGGCTCACCATCAATTTAATATCTTGGAGAAAGAAACGATACCTCATTAAAGTTGATTTTAATTTGACAGCATTTTAATTTTATATAACTGTTGTATCATTTCCAGTGTCTCAACCAATTAACCTCTCGTCCCTTCTCTTCTTAGTGGGAATTAATTATCTGGTCTCTTTAGCCCCATTCTTCCTGGCCACCTTTACCAGAAACTGGGCAAGAAGAGGAAAAGCAAGTGCACTTTATTTTGCTAATTTTACAGCTTGGACAATTCTGGTAGGAGATAGAGGTGAAGGAGGAGAAAGAATGCTTCTTGTCGATCTATAAATCTGAATCATCCATAAAAGAAAGTTAGGTGCTAGCTCTGCATACAGGAAGTTCAACAAACACTAAGGCCCCACAAGCTCACCTTGTGCTTTAAATTCCTTAAACCGTTCCAAGTCGTCCCGGTACATCCGCTTGATTGTGCTGGTGGCCCTGTCCTTGATGTTAGGAATGAACTCCTGAAGCTGTTTCACGGCAGAACCCAAATCCGCATCTGAATCATCGGCATCTCCTGAATCTGCAGATAAGTATCTTATTTCGGAATCTTCAGCTGTTTCCACATTGTGTTCTTCATTTGCAGGTTCTAACCTAAGGGGTTAGAAAATTGGGTTGACTAACATTAACACATCACTTGACCTCATAACTTTAAAATTTTTCCTTCTTTTTTTTCGTGAGACAGAGGCTTGCTCTGTCGCCAGGCTGGAGTGCAATGGTGCGATCTCAGCTCACTGCAACTTCTGCCTCCCGGTTCAAGCGATTCTCCTGCCTCAGCCTCCAGAGTAGCTGGGACTACAGGTACGCGCCACCACGCCCGGCTAACTTTTGTATTTTTAGTAGAGACAGGGTTTCGCCATGTTGGCTAGGCTGGTCTCGAACTCCTGGCCTCAAGTGACTCACCCACCTTGGCCTCCCAAAGTGCTGGGATTACAGGCATGAGCCACCACGCCTGGCCTTAAACTTTTCTTAAAATGGCTCTCACTTAGGCTACTAGAATATTAAAGCAAGATGAGATCTTGGAGTTGACTCAGTCTGTGATTTTCAAACTTTTTACTGGAACTTGAATTACTTGGATATATCTCAGAGGGAGCCTAGAAGCTAAAAGTGCAGCCCTAAGCCCCATTTCCACTGGTTATTTGCTCAGACTATTTTTCAAAGGTAATTTGGGCTTTTATATTTTTCAAAGGTAATTTGGGCTTTTAAATTTACTCATAGATTTTCTAGGGCTGGAATAGTTCTTAGTGAAAATCGAATCTGTCTTATTTCACACATGAAGAAATTAAACTACCTGCCAAGTTTACACAATTAAAGATGTACGATATTCTGTACAATGAGGGTCTACCTCTTGATGATTTTTGCCATTTAATATGTATGTGCTAAGGGTAGGCACGGTGGTTCACGCCTGTAATCCCAGCACTTTGGGAGGCTGAGGCAGGCGGATCACCTGAGGTCAGGAGTTCGAGACCAGCCTGACTAACAAGGACAAACGTCGTCTCTACTAAAAATACAAAATTAGCCAGGCATGGTGCATGCCGGTAATCTCAGCTACTCAGGAGGCTGAGGCTGGGGAATCGCTTGAACCCGGGAAGTGGAGGGTGCGGTAAGCCGAGATTGCACCATTGCACTCCAGCCTGGACAATAAGAGCAAATCTCCACCTCAAAAATAAATAAATAAATAAATAAAAATAAAATTAAAAATAAAAAAAAGTCTGTGCTAAATAAAGAGGTATCGGCAGAATCCATACGAAAGAAATATACCAGCAGCTGGAATACCACTCCCTCGTTACCTTGGCGCCTCTTGCACGTGCTTGCTTGCCAAACAGGCCTGGGTTTTCTTTTGTCGGGGCCTAGATTTCACACCTTCTTCCATCATGGCGCCATCACCTTCTACTGAATCAAAGAGTGTGCTCTCAGAGTTCTTACTGGGCACTGAAAAATCATCACCAGACACTCGTGCCCTTTTGACAGACGTAAGCTTCCTTTTCTTAGACTTCTTCTTTGTACTGTTGGATTCCTTGAACCCTTTAAGAGCTGTACTGCCTTCCACAGTCCCAACCTCACTGCCCACCTGTGATCCTTCAGGGTATGCACTCTCGAGGCTCTCAGGCATGGCCACTGCCTCAAATTCCTGGTGATTGGACTTTTTCTTTTTTTTCTTAGACTTGTTTTTATAAGCAGGTGCTGGTATTCCTGCAGTTTCACCATGCAGGCCCACAGCAGGCCGGGATTCCTGCATATCAGCCCCAACCTCACTGCCCACTTGTGATCCTTCAGGCATGGCCAATGCCTCAAATTCCTGGTGATTGGACTTTTTCTTCTTTTTTTTCTTAGACTTTTTTTTGTGAGTAGGTCCTAGTAGTTGTGGAGTTTCATCATCCAAGCCCACAGTAGGCTGGGATTCCTGCATATCAGTCCCGGCCTCTCTGCCTGCTTGCGATCCTTCAGGCATGGCCAGTGTCTCATATTCCCGGTTACTGGACTTTTTCTTTTTTTTCTTAGACTTGTTTTTATGAGCAGATGCTGGTAGTTCTGTAATTTCACCCCCTGGACCCACAGAAAGCCAGGACTCCTCCTGGTGGGATTCTGACTGAGGCAGGGTGTCCCTTGCCCGCTGGCTCTCCCAGGATGCAGCTTTCCTCTGATGCTTTTTATTCTTTTTCTCCCTAACTTTACTGTGCAGGGCTTCTGATTTATGTGCATGTGACTTAGCAAGTACCTGAAATTTGTCTGTTTTAGGCTTTCTTGGTAACTTCTGTTCTATGCTCATATCAACACAAACAACATCAACATCCTTTCTAAAATGCTTTGGTGTGTTGTTAATATTTTCTTTATCCACAAGGACAACTGTAACACCTGCTTCCTCGTCCACCTCCAAAGCACTATATCTTCTCTTTTTTCTCTTTTTGAGTGTGGAAGTGGCATTTGCAGTCTCATCACAGATTCTGGATTTTTTCAAAGGAGAAGAAATGAGATGCTGGAAATCTTTTTTCCTCTTTTTCCTCCTAGTTATTTGAGACTGTTCATTCACCAGGGAGGAGTCTCTGAAAATTTCGTGGGAATGTTTCTGAGGTCTTTCCTTATGTATAGAACACTTTTTCTTTTTCTTGTCAGAAACTGGAGTGTGGATTTCAAATCTGCTTGATTCTCCTTCCATTTTATTCCTATATGGAAATGTGACAACAATGGTTTATTTTTGCTTTTTTTTTGAGACGGAGTCTCACTCTGTCGCCCAGGCTGGAGTGCAGTGGCGCGATCTCGGCTCACTGCAAGCTCCGCCTCCTGGGCTCATGCCATTTTCCCGCCTCAGCCTCCCGAATAGCTGGGACTACAGGCACCCACCAGCACGCCCAGCTAATTTTGTTTTTGTATTTTCAGTAGAGATGGGGTTTCACTGTGTTAGCCAGGATGGTCTCGATCTCCTGACCTCATGATCCGCCCACTCCAGCCTCCCAAAGTGCTGGGATTACAGGCGTCAGCCACCGTGCCTGGCCTATTTTTGCATTTTAAACATAGCCTCAGCGGAAAAAATCACAGCAAAATGAAATTGTATGACAAATGACAAGCCTGTAGTCATGATTACAAATTTCAGATTATTCTAGATACACAGGTGGCTCACTGGAATTCTCTCTGTCTGGTCCCACTGCCTTTATGATAGAGAAAAAAAGAGTTAACAGAGAACAACAGTGCCTTGCACCATAAGGCCCCTGTCCCCCACAGCCTCACCTCTGAACTCGTCTTTCCAACTCTGCGTTTAAGCCAAAAGCAGCTTGTTTTGCTTCCTCAAACGTGCCATAACCTTTCCCCCCCAGCTCTCCATGAAATTCTCTCCACAGCCTCCCCACCCTCCTTGCCTCCTGCCATCCTTCAGAGCTTGGTTTGAAGATCAGTTCTTCAAAAAGTTTTCCCTGATTCCTTGGGCTTGGCCTGATTCCCAAGTAATATACTTTCATATTTAAAAAAGAAACATTTATTTAGTCATTTACAGGCTGTCTTCTCTGCTTTAAAAAAAAAAGACAAAGAAAAAAGAAAACAAGGAAGAAAAAGATGGTTTATCTGTCTTGTTCCCCTCTGTGTTTGTACCATGGAGAAGCCATTAGACTCCATTCGAGTGCAGGATCCACAAAAGGGCTTCGCAGTGGGGATATCAGGTATCCACTGACCTCAAACCAGAAGTTGGCCTCTTTGTGAAAGAAGTTGGATATGCCTTGTTAGTGTCCAACAAAGAGCGGACGTTCTGCGATACACTGGAATAAATTTCACAAGCCACTAACGTTAATACTCACATACAGGGTGTGTGCACTTGGAATTAAAATACAGAAATATAAATGCACTTTCCAAAAGAGATGATTAAAAATATAATTTTGCAAACATGTCTTATTGTTCTCTTTGCTCTGTATTGCTTCTGGGTTTCATTTTTTTAGATTTATCTTTGGCTAAATGACACATTTACGTCGTACAAAAATAAAAATGATCTTCATATTTCCTCTCCTTTTTTACACAGAAGGTTAACATCTATATATTGTGATCTGCATTTGCTATTTTCACCTAACAACATAGATCCTGGAGCTCTCTCTATATCAGCGGTCTTTAAAGTCTCAATGCTAAGCACATTTTCTACAGAAGCTACCTAATTTATCCGGGGTAGTAAATATCAGCTGTATTAGACAAGGAATATGTTACTCCCCCAAGTCTAACACACCTACTTGCACTGCCACATCCTCTCTCTCTCTGTCTCGCTGCAACAAAGGAAGTGTCCCTTCTGTCAAAGGCTATTTCCTTCCGTTATAGGAAGGAAAATGTGTGCTGGCTCCCAACCCTCTCCTGCCTTCTCAGAGAGATGGTGGTCTCTCCGTATCTTCTCTCTCATCTCTCTCCTGTATCTTCAGCCTGCGTTTTCTAGCAAAATGCCAACAATATTTAATCTCCTCTAACTTAAAAAAAAAATGCAACTGTCGTTTAACCCTAAAGTCTCATCCAGCTGTTCTCTTTCTTCCCCTTCACAGCAACATTTCCTGAAAGAGAAATCACTCTTTCCATTACCTCACCTTTCATCCACTTATTAACCCACATCCTGGTAGCTCCCACCCCACTACTCCACTGAGACCGTTCCAGCAAGAGTGCCTTTGTTCTTAAAGCCACAAATTTCAACAGACACTTTTCAGGCCCATCTTTTAGGACCTCTTAATAAATCACAAACAGAGCAAAGCCGATTATTTCTTTTTTTTCTTTTTTTTTTGAGACGGAGTCTTGCTCTGTCGCCCAGGCTGGAGTGCAGTGGCGTGATCTCAGCTCACTGCAAGCTCTGCCTCCCGGGTTCACGCCATTCTCCTGCCTCAGCCTCCCGAGTAGCTGGGACTACAGGTGCCCGCCACGACGCCAGGCTAATTTTTTTGTATTTTTTAGTAGAGACGGAGTTTCACCGTGTTAGCCAGGATGGTCTCGATCTCCTGACCTTGTGATCCAACCGCCTCGGCCTCCCAAAGTGCTGGGATTACAGGCGTGAGCCACCCACTGGCTGATTTCTTTTCTTTTCTTTTTTTCTTTTTCTTTTTTTGGAGACAGAATCTCGTTCTGTCACCCAGGCTGGAGTGCAGTGGCACGATCTCGGCTCACTGCAACCTCCGCCTCCCGGGTTCAAGCGATTCTCCTGCCTCAGCCTCCGGAGTAGTAGCTGGGATTACAGGCGCAAGCCACCAAGCCTGGCTAATCTTTGTATTTTTAGTAGAGACGGGGTTTCGCCATGTTGGCCAGGCTGGTCTTGAACTCCTGACCTCAGGTGACCCACCTGCCTCGGCCTCTCAAAGCGCTGGGATTACAGGCGTAAGCCACAGCGCCCGGCCTTGATTTCTTTAAATAACATTTCCCCTTCCATCAGTTCCTTTCCTTCTTTTTTGTAAATACTTCCTAGGCTGCTCTCTGGTCTCTGGAGCCCAGTACAACCTTCTAAATATATAGTCTCTCCCTGCTAAAAACTTTTTAGGGTTCCCCTGTTATTCTTAAGATAAAGTCAAAATCCTCACAGACCTGCAAGAGTCTTCATTTCTTCATAATCTAGCCTAGAGATGGACAGAGGTAAGTCCATGCCCACCTCTCTACCTCTCACTTCTCTCTAGGTTTCAGAAACCCTGCTGTTTTCAGTTCCTAGAATACACTACCTTCCTTTTCGTCTCAGGAACTTTGCAAAAACAGCCCATTCCATCAGGAAAGCTCTTCCTCCGCATTACCTTTCTGCCCTTTAACTGGTCCAAGTATGAAAGCCACTTTCTCAAGAGGACCTCTCTAACTCCTTAGCCGGTCTCATCTTTCTGGTTAACAGTGTTTCCCAACAACCAGCTGCTCCCCATTGCACTTTTGGCAGTTATAATATGATCGGCTTCTTGAGGGCTGGAATCCTGGCCATCTTGCTCCCAAATGGCTCCCCAGTCAGTGCTCGATACATATTGAGAACGGATATGCATTTATCCCCCCTTACTCAGAACATACACTTCCCGCTCTGCAGGTACGTGCCCAAACCTGGTCCCGGATTCTCTCACCGCCTTTGGGGTGCGAGAGAGACCCCGCTCTGCTCCCGGGTGGGCGCTCCAGGGCTGAGACTGGAGGAACTAACCAGATGTGAATTCTGCATCTTCTCACTCCCAAAGACCCAAGCCGCGGCCGGGCGCGGTGGCTCACGCTTGTCATCCCAGCACTTTGAGAGGCCGAGGCGGGTGGATCACCTGAAGTCAGGAGTTCGAGACCAGCCTGGCCAACATGGTGAAACCCTGTCTCTACTAAAAATACAAAAATTAGCTAGGCTTGGTGGCGGGCGCCTATAATCCCAGCTACTCGGGAGGCTGAGGCAGGAGAATCGCTTGAACCCAGGAAGCGGAGGTTGCAGTGAGCCGAGATCGCGCCACCGCACTCCAGCCTGGGCGACAAGAGCAAAACTCCATCTTTAAAAAAAAAAAAAAAAAACACCCAAGCCTCAGTTTCCCCGAGATAAGGCCTGGGGCAAAGACCGCGGCCTGGAGACCTCAGGCCAAAAGGCGGGTCTCCCAGAAGACGGGGAAACCCACCACCCCACGCTGAGTTTTTACGCGCGCATTTTGAAAAACAGAAACAACAAAGGCGCTTTCAACTTACCCTCCGAAAGCGCCGCCACCTTTCTCCCAACCCGGAAGTGCTGCTGTTGAGGAAGCGGAAGTAGTAGTGCGTCGCCTTCCGGCCCCCTCGGCGTCACGCTGCCATGGTAACACGGCTGCCGCTAGGCCTTGGAGGCGCGCACATTTGCCTACCCATTTTCCTTCTGGGTCCTTTAGACGTCAGGTGGGGTAGAGAGTGCTCCTGAAACGAAGAAAGTAGGACAGAATCCCCCTCCATTGACGTACTAATGCATGCGTGCATTCCATTTATTCCAGTTTTTGGTGAACTCCAGGAACAACTTGGGAAGACAGATGACAAATCAACTAAGATAATTTCAGATTATCTTGTAAGGAAAATAAAACAGGGTGACGTGATGGAGAGTGACTAGGGGACGGTGGGTGCTACTTTAGATGTAAGAGAGGGCTCACTGAGGAGGTGACATTTGAACTGAGTTCTAAATGGAAAGGGCAGGCAAAAAATCTAGGCAGAAGAGTGTTCCAGGCTGGAAGTGAGTGCAAAAGTCCTGAACTTGGTTGCTGGAGGACCTGGGACAAGGCCAGAGCAGCTGGAGCACAGAGTGAATCCACACAGTGAACCCACAGGGTGACAGACAGGTCGCACACGCCCAGCCTAAGTGAATGCATGTGAATGCAGGGGAGGGGGTGGGAGAGGAAGTCAGAGGTCTGCAGGGGCTATCTGGTGCAGAGGCTGATGGATGTTAAGCTTGGATGAAGTCTCAGAAGTTTAGAGTTAGCAGGAGCTTTGGAGATCTATCCCAGTCTTCCCATTTCAACAGAGTCCTGAAGAGACTTAGCCAAAAGGGCAGCTTTAACCTGGCCATCAATTCGAGGCCATTATATTTACCAACCAAACGTTTAACCTTTTTGGATAGTGAACATATACGATATAGGCAACAAGTTTTCTCACTTAATCCTTGTAATGAGGTATTATTAGCCCCACCTTGTGGATGAGAAACCTGGGTTTACAGTAACTTGTCCAAGGTGACTTAAATGGGCCAGCCAGAAATCAGACCTATGCTCTTTCTACTACTCCACTATCTTGCCCCTCACTGTTCCACCTGACTTCTATGTGATCTGCCAAGTGGCTTTGATTAAAAAATGCACAAACTATGCTTCCGTGAAAGTCTGGAAGGGAAGCAGGTTGGAGAAACGATGAGCCTATGTATGTACTCATGTTGCCATGCAAGGGCTGCTCTGGGATGTGGACGTGCAGTTGGAGCTCCGTCTGGAGAAGTCTGTAAATGTGGTGTTGTCCACTGTTGATATGGAAGGCCTTGAAGTCCAGGTCCGTCATTGGTGTCACGTGTTCTGTGGTGACCCCACTTACCCAGAGCCTTGTGGTGCTAGTGATGCATGAATGAACCCACAAAAGGCTGGCACTAGAGGAGAGATTAGATATCATCCAGTATCGATTCAGGAAAACTCCAATAGTGGTTTCCAATCCTCCTCCAACTGCACCAATCACCTGGGAAGCTTTTTTTTTTTTTTTTCAAATGCAGAGTCTCAACTTTGCAATGGATTTTATATTAAACACTATTGTATCACATTAAAATCTTCGGACATGATAATGACATTGTAGTTACACATGGGAATGTCCTTGCTACATGATGACGTACTTAGGGTTAAATATGGTGTTGACAGATATTTTTCAGGTGATTCTGTAATGTGTGTATGTGCATGCTCACAGAGAGAGAGCAAGAAAATGTGACCAGTGCTGGGGACGGGTGAATCTGTTAGTCCAAACTGCACCATTTTGTAAGCCCCCTGCCATTTTGCAGACCTTGCTTAAAGTGAAACATTCCACGGGGGTTCAGGCAGTGAGAAACAGCCTGCCTCTTATCATATTCTGCTGGGAGAAAGTGACAGGAACATCACGTTCCACCAGAACAAGGGCCAAACTGCCTCATCATGGGAATACCTTATCAACATCTTCCCGGGCAGCAGGCCATACCCACCGGGCCCCTCCCCGCCCAGGCCTATAATTTCTCCAGCCTGTAAGCAGCGGTAGGCACTGGCATTAAGCTGGTCTCCCACCTCTGTAGGTCTCATGCTGGACATAAAGCCTGAATTTGCTGTAGAGCCGCCACTCTTTCTTTAACCCTCCCCTTCCCTTCAAAATCTAACCGAATCTAGGTGAAGCCTATATGTATTTTCATTGTATTCTTCTTTCGACTTTCAACTTTTCTGTAGGTTTGAACTTTTTCACCAAGTTGTGGGTGGGTGGGTAAGGGGATTTTTAAAAATGCAGCATCTGGCCTGGTGAGGTGGCTCATGTCATTATCAGAGCAAGACTCCGTCTCTTAAAAAAAAAAAAAAAAGGAGAGCCTCAGATGCCATTTCCAGATATTCTGATTTAGTGAGTCTGGGGTGAGTCCTGTGAATCTTCGTTTTTCTTTTTTTGGCACATGGTCTCATTCTGTCATCCAGACTGGAATGTAGTTGCCGAAACACGGCTCATTGTAGTCTCAACCTCCTCAAGTGATCCTCCTGCCTCAGCCTCCCCCATAGCTGGGACCACAGGTGTGTGCCAGCACACCTGGGTAATTTTTTTAATTTTTGGTAGAGATGAGACCTCACCATGTTGCCCATGCTGGTCTCAAACTCCTGGGCTCAGGCCATCCTCCCTCCTAGGCTTCCCAAAGCAATGGGATTACATGGGTGAGCAGCCAAGCCCAGCCCAAATCTGTATTTTTCAATTTCCCTTCATTCTGTTGCTTAAATTTGGGAACCATTGATGTAATCCAACTCTAGCGTTTCCTTGTCACCCATCTCACAGGAAAAAAAGAAAAAAAGCCCTTAGGATCCAAGAGGGTGACTTGCCCGAGTCCTCCCAGTGGGTCAGCATCAGCATCAGGCTTGGAATGCATTTAGTGCTCTGTCTCAGGTGTGTGTGTGGCGCAAAGAGCAGAGGTGGGGAGGGGTTGTGAGTGGAATGGGGGTGAGCAGAGGATGGAGTCTTCGACTTGGAAGACAAATGTAAATGACCCTCTATGAGCCACGCCGCTTTGAACGCAACCCACTGGAGATTCTCGGTTCTCCTGTATCGATTCAGGAAAACTCCAAACAAGTCCACACTGGTAGCCACCAAGAGTTTCTTGAAAGAAAAGTACAAGCCGAGCCGGGCTCTGTTGGCGTCCCGTCGCCAAGGAGACGGGCCGTTGCATTCGTCCTCCAGGGGTGGTCTTGGTTTTCTTTCCTCTCCCAGTCTGCAACGCGGGGCCCAGGAGACGCCCTGAGGATCCCGCGGGGCTCCTGCATTGCTCCGGGGCTCTTTGCGATGAGGGGCCGGCGCGAGCGGGGCGCGCCTGGCTCCGGAGGGGTCCTGGCATCTGAGTTTCCCCCTCAGGATCCCGGTGGTGCGGCCCGGGCCGCCCGGCAGGCCCTTCGGAGCTCCAGGCTGTGCCCGACGTGGGGAAGCGCGCCCAAACCAGCCCGCGGGCCGGCTCCCCGGCGACCTCAAGGATGCCAGAGGCCAGGAGCTCCGGCCCGGACCTCACGCGATGGAGGAAGCAGCAGCAGCCTGTGCGCCGCACGGTCAGCCAGGTCTGCCCGCCCCCGCGGCGGCCCCTGACCGTGGCGGACATCCGTTCCGGCATGGAGAACGAGCGGCTGGGGGTCGTGCGGGACTCCATGTTTCAGAACCCTCTCATCGTCAAGGTGAGCACCCCACGCCCACCGCGCTTTCGCTGTCGCCGGCTCCGGGCACCTGCGCCGCCGGGGGTCCCCACCCGCAGCGCCCTGGCCCCGCGGCCCGGGGTCCGAGCGCAGCGTGGGAAGCTCCAGCTCTGGTCCAGACAGGCCTGGACCCCCATGCAGGTCGCGTCGCCTCTCTCAGCCTCGGTTTCCCCATCCTCACAGTGGGATGATAATGGCACCACTAAAGGGACTGATTGGGAAGATTGAATAGGGTAATTTCTGCGGGACCTCGGGACAGCGCCTGACATGGGGTAAGGCTGCAATGGGTGCTGCTGTGGTTTCCCACAGAGTGAACCCACAGGGTGACAGATAGGTCGCACACGCCCAGTCTAAGTCGTGGCTGCCAGCCCTCCCAGGGTAAAGGCCGCCTCTCCGGTTCCGCTGCACGCCTGGGGTACGTCTATGCAGCGGTGGCTCCGTGTCTGTCCTGGAAGCATCACGTCGAATGTTCATTTCCGTTCGATCATACTAATTTCTTACCCAAATTACAACCCTAAGAGAAAAAAAGCATAATCTTTGGCCTAGGAGGCTCCGCAGACAAGAATGAGGGAGCTGCGGTTTCGGGCTGGATCACTTTCCCTTCCATTACACTTCCCTCCTCCCCACCTTTAGCCTCGCTTCCCGCTGATGGGAAACCAACACTGCTGTGGCGGCCACACCTTCCCGGGGGCCACTGGAGAAGTCAGGCTGAGGCTTGGGGGTCAGGGAGCAAGCCTCGAGGCGAATTTATCTTGCGCCGCTGGAGGGCAGTGCGCCTTTAAAAATGCGCCCCGCGTCCCAGGTGCGGGAGTGGAAGGCGCAGGTGGTAACCGTGGATTCAACAACAATTATTTGTGTGACCGCCAGGCGCTGAGTAGAGCCCAGAGGTGGTGGTGGCGGTTTGTTTTTGTTTTGGGGAAAAGGGAACCCGTGCTAGAATTAACTGAGTTAATTGGCTCCTGGCAAAACATTGACTCCCTCCTCTTGCCTTCCCTAAACTCGGTCCTGAGAGGAGGAAGGATACTGCCTAGGCGCAGGCTGCACCTGGGGGAGGCTGGCTTCCCACACTCGTGCCTTTCCATCGAATAGGCTCCTTTCTTAGGCCTCTCAAAGTGGAACAAGGTCCTTCACTTACTTCTACGTGAGAAGAGCCACTCTGAGTGGACAGGCAGGACAGGCAGGTGGGGCCCATTATTCTTGGATGAAGGAGAGAATCACGTCCGCCACCTCTGACTACCTGCATTAAGGTTAGGTCGTTGCTTTTGTTCAAGTAGTTAGTAGTGAGCCAACTTCTTCCTACTGAAGTGTAAAGTGAGGGCGTATGGAGTTATTCTCCATGGTGAGTTAGTGTGTGGTGCCCACGCTGAGCAATATGTACACACACACACACACACACACACACACACATACATGCATATGCATTTGTGTATGCACCCATATAACATACCGTTTACATCTATCATATATACATGTATGCATATGTATAATATACATGTACATATGTGTAAAATGTATGTACATATATGTAAATTTCCCCCTTCTTTTCCTTTTTCCTTTTGCTTCCCCCGCCCCACCCAGCTATATCGAGGACAACATTTGGCCTCTGGATGGCACTAGCTAAACAGCTTCTAGGACCAATTCAATCCCTGATTTCTGAACCCAAGCTTAGGGTCGGAAAATGTACAGGAGGTGACTCACCCACGACTGGGGTTCTGTCTTCAGGGCACGAGATGCAGAGCAGGTCTGCCCTGGCCCCTGGTGACCATGCTGGAGCAGCAGGGACCCACGTCCAGGCTCGTGCTCTCTGATGATGGAGCCTGGGGTTCTCTTCTTCCACCAGGGACAGCCAGGGGGCAGCCTTTACCTCTGGCTTTCCTTCGTGGGTTCTTCGGGGTCTTTAAGGTACTTTCTGGAGCAGTTAAGATGACGTCCACTTTTCAGTATTTACCATATATAATATTAGAATATCTTATAACTTTAGAGGTCAAAACCTGACATAAATAAAAGTTGGCAGAGAAATTGACCGCAAAAGGGAACCTTGACTGTTATCTTTTCTGGACCCTTTTTGCAAATGAGCACACTGAAGCCACCTCTGTTGTTTTTTTTGGGTTTTTTTGTTTGTTTGTTTTGTGCTTTTTTTTTTTTGTTTGTTTGTTTGTTTTGCTCAAGGTTTTGGCAGAGATTGGGTTTGCAGCTTCGTTTGCTAACTCCCAGCCCAGCATTATTTTTACCACTTCAAACAGCTTCCTATATTAGTTTTTTTAAAAAAATTATGAAACAACTTTGGTGTTTTTGACTAAAGAAAAAGAGAAAATGGAAAATATGTGAGGTTGTGGAGCTTTAAGATTTTTTTCTTTTCATGTTATGGAAATTTCTACTGAGCTTGGCTTGTGGATTTCTTCATTGTGGCATGTCAGTTTCACCATCATAGATTTTCAGCTCCCCGTAGTAGTGTGTGCCTTTCCGCTATGTATGGTAGAGGTTGGGAGTGCACTCTGCCGTGGTGTCTTTAGGAGGGTGATTAGAACTAAAGTATATTTTGGTTTTGTCTAAGTCTGAACCTGAAGGTGTGCATTGGAAGACTATAGCACCTTAGAAATAGGCATTTATTCTACCATATTGGGGGGTTGTTTCGTGGGTTGTTTTCTCCAATGAATAGGATCAGCATTTTTTTTCATTTAAAATGTAGAAATACTGACTGAACAAACTCAACAGTGTTATTTCACATCCATAAAATTTACCAGGATGTATACACATCAGTTATTCAAGAACACGTCTGCAAGTTGCCACCATAACCAAGTGAAAAGTGAAAAACTGAGACATCCAAGCAGGTATTTTATCTACAGATGCTCAACAACCATTTGCCTCATTTAAAACCAAGTCAACTGGTTATTTAATAGGAGTGATTGAATCAAGTCGGTGTTTTACATGGCCACAAAAGATGTAAATATTTTCCATTAGAAAGGGTTTCAACTCTAGTATAGACAGTGATGTGCAGTTAGCCCGTTTTCCTTCAAATGTGACTCTCTGGAAAGAATAAAATTAAATAGAGAAAGAACCAAGCTTCTCCCTGCTTGGTTCTCATTTCCCCAGAATTCTGTGACTCCACATAGAATCCTGCTACAATAGCCTTCAAGACTCCTTCACAAAACCTGTCAGGGTTGCACCTTTCCTGCCATCGGAACTCAGCTGATAACCTGTCAATACAATTATAGGGAGAGACTGCTTGGTTTGCTCCCCTGACAGCCTTGGATCTTCTGTCTCCCTGGAGAGGCTGCCTATGTACGGGGGTGGAATTTATGGAATCGAGCACCCTTAGAAAGTGTAAAAGATCGTAGCACCCGATTTTTTCATAATTTATTATTGACTTTGTTTTTCTGTGAGGTTTTATGTAACCAATAAGAAGTGCATGCATTTTTAAAATAGAGTCATAGAGCAGACACGGCATTTGGGGCTGGAAGACATCTTACAGACATCTAGTCCACCTCCTTTTTTGAGGAGATCAAGGCCCAGCGAGGGGAACAGACTCATCCGAGGTGCTATCCTCACCTGGTGGCAGAATTGGGATGAGACTAAGGTCTCCTGGCTTCCAGCCCCACGTTCTTTTGGCCACAACATATGATTAATTAACCAATGACAATCCAGATTGGTGACATCATGTATAGCAGGCAGTCAAAAAGTGTTCACAGATGAATCAGATCCCAATATCATTTCATTCAATGTTCCTTCCAAAGTGAGCTCTACTGATTTCTTAGGACTTCTTGACGGCCAAGAAATATTTGTTGAAGGTTTGTCAAGTGCCCAGTGCCATCCTGAGCTTTCCTGGGGGCATAGAAACAAGTTTAGAATTCAGCGTTGCTGAATTTCACAGGAGTTAACCATTTACTATTTAGCTGGGGAGATGGGATACATGCACACGTTTATAACTGTGCAGATAGAGATGAATGCGAAGAGGCAGGCAGCTTAGCACAGCACCTGCTGTAAGGAAAGCTCTTGGGAAATGTTAGCTCTTATTCACACACACACACACACACACACACACACACACACACACACGCAGGTATGCACAAATAAGACAGGCATTGTGATGGGTCCCCACCCCCGTAAGTTTTCAAGTGAGCTGCATTGCCCGGAAGAGTTCAGATTTGCAGGAAGGGAGTTCTGGGCAGGTCTCAGGGACCTGGAACCAGACCTTGAAAAGTGAAAAAGCAGAGTTGGGAAAGTCATTCAGCTCCATTCCGCCCTCCTCGGCTCCTAAATGCTTGTAGGTTTTCACCCCAACTTGAGTCCTAGTTTACAAGACCCAGTGCTGCCGCTGGGATCATTATCATTATCATCACGAGGAAGCGTTTATTTAGAGCCAGTGTGTTCAAATTGGATGCTCTACAAAATTAGGCAACCACACCATGCCCACTAATAGCTTAACATCTCTAATAAATATTGATGCTGGCGAACATAAAGGCACGGAGAGGGACCAACACAAAGAAGGCAGGCAGACAAAAGCCCAGTTGTACAAATATCCCAGCATGGGTCAGTATTTTTATTACATTTGAGTACAATCTGAAAATGTTACACGCAGCTTTATTGTTGAAGAGAATATACCCCTGATTGCTCCAGTCCTTTTACATTCAATTACAATGTAATAGGAGAAAATAAAACCTTAGGAAGGGATTTAAAAATGAGCTGCCCATCCTAATGGCCCCATCTTGGAGGGCCAGTGGGTCAGTTTCATTTTTCTAGAGAGTGCCGTGGGTTGATCCATCCTTACAACTCTCTCCCTCGTGGCCCTTTTTTCCTTTTTTCTTCTTTTTAAACCAAAGTCTCCCACTTCTGGGTGCCCAGGTACATCCTTCAGTGAGTCGGGCTGAGGCAGGAAACTAACCCCCCCGCCCAGCTCCGTGGCCATTTCAGAAAGCCGAGCTGCCCCCTTCACCGGCTCGTCACCACCCTGGGGCAGCCACTGCCCTGCCGGAGGAGCCTGCTGTCCTCTTTGTCCCTCTGAAGAAGGTGTGCTTTGGCTTTGAAGCGTTAATTAAGCGCAGACCTCAGCACTCAGGTTCCTCCTGTTGAACTCAGCACTTTCCTATTACGTGGCTCTCAGAACACTGCGGTGGCGTGGCAGGAAGGCCGTTCCTCCAGGAAAAATTCTGAGGCTGGGGTGAACTAATCAGAGGTCTCTTCTCACACCTTCCAGAGCATTCCAGGCTCAAGCGTTGCTCACTGTATAATTCTGCCTGCTTGTTCCTTATTTTGAAAGACAAAGTTTTCCTCATTTACAACTGACCCTGCGGACGAAATTTCAAAACCCCGTTTTCTATTGCAGTGGTTTGCAAACTGTTCTGTGGTCTTCAGGAGCATTGGAGGTCTCGTGAAATGTCTGATTCAAACAGCCTTTTAAGAAAATGCATCTTTATATTTAAAGTTTAATAAAAACATCAAGATAATTAAATGTATTTTATATCAAATGCTAACAATGGAGACCACCAACATGTTAGCTATGCTTGGAGTTTCCTAGCTTTGGGGTGTTAGTTCTCTGTGTTTGTGTGTGTGTAATGCTTGTAAAATGTGTCACAGACAATGAACATTGTAACCAGGCATAGGACTTTGGGCTGAGCGAATCCCTTGGAGTAGGACAGTGTGCTGAGGGCTTTGCGGTGGTCCCTGAGACCTGGGCTGTGTTAAACCTTAGACCCGTCTGCTGGGCTCTCACTCCTGCCTCAAGAATCTCAGGTTGGCTGGACAAAAACAAGGGAGGCACACAGTCACACTCATCCAGTGTCTGGTTGATTTTTGGCATATGCTATAACTGTTGATATGCTATAACTGTTGAGTGCTTCTTATCTGATTTTTTTTTTTTTTTTTTTTTTTTTTTTGAGACAAAGTTTTGCTCTTGTTGCCCAGGCTGGAGTGCAATGGCACGATCTTGGCTTACCACAACCTCCGCCTCCCCGGTTCAAGGGATTCTCCTGCCTCAGCCTCCCTAGTAGCTGGGATTACAGGCATGTGCCACCACGCCCAGCTAATTTTGTAAGTTTTTTAGTAGAGACAGGGTTTCTCTGTGTTGGTCAGGCTGGTCTCGAACTCCTGACCTCAGGTGATCTGCCTGCCTCAGGCTCCCAAAGTGCTGGGATTACAGGCGTGAACCACCACACTGGGCTTTTTTTTTTTTTTTGAGACGGAGTCTCACTCTGTTGCCCAGGCTGGAGTGCAGTGGTGCAGTCTTGCTCACAGCAGCCTTCGCCTCCTGGGTTCAAGTGATTCTCCTGCCTCAGCCACCCGAGTAGCTGGAATTACAGGCGTACACCACCACATCTGGCTAATTTTTGTATTTTTAGTAGAGACAGGGTTTCACCACGTTGGCCAGGCTGGTCCGAACTCCTGACCTCAAGTGATCTGTCCGCTTCAGCCTTCCAAAGTGCTGGGATTACAGGTGTGAGCCACTGTGCCCGGCTGATCTTTTGTATTAGTTTTTTTTAATGCCAGCGTTTGTTGGTCATTGGTAATGATTCAACTTTAAATAAAATTGTCCTTGGAGTCTTCCTTCAAGCTCCTGCATCAGTATGTGAAGACCACAGTATAAATGAGGAGGGCTGTTAAAATGATTCCAGACTGCAGCTTTTGTTTTCTTTTTTTCTTTTTTTTTTTTTTGAGACGGAGTCTCACTCTTTCGCCCAGGCTGGAGTGCAGTGGCACAATCTTGGCTCACTGCAACGTCTGCCTCCCAGGTTCAAGCAATTCTCTTGCCTCAATCTCCTGAGTAGCTGGGATTACAGGTGCCTGCCACCATGCCCAGCTAATTTTTGTATTTTTAGTAGAAACGGGCTTTCACCATGTTGGCCAGGCTGGTTTCAAACCCCTGACCTCGTGATCCGCCCACCTCGGCCTCCCAAATTGCTGGGATTACAGGCGTGAGCCACCATGTCTGGCCGCAGTTTTTCTTTTCACACAACTACAAAAGATATCGAAATAGGTTGGCTGCCCAGGCAGATAGAAAACTGCACCTACTTCAGCAGAGAGGAAGGCCAGCAGTGTGGTATAGATGCCAGGTTGGAGCCAGCAGATCCTAGAGTGAGTTCTGTCTCAGCCACTTACTGGCTCTGCCACCCACGAGACTATTTACCCTTTAATCCTCAGTTTCCCCTAATTTAAAATGGAATGGTAATAGTTAGCACCCCAGCATGGGAGAGTTTTGAGGGTTCAGTGAGACAGTGCAGGCAGGGTCTGGCCCAGGAAAGAGCTTAATAAGTGAGCATTTTGTTATTTTCCATTATCCCGAGTCCAAATATTTATGTTTCTCAAAGCTACCTTATTGTTCTCAGCAATTGACTTTAAGTCAACGTTAAATGTCTGAACTTATAAAGAAACAGAGAATGAGACAAATCCACCCAAGTGCTTACATTTTCCCCCTTCTGCTCTCACTGAAAAATACTGTCACCCACCTCATCTCTTGTTTCCTGTGGCCATGTGCCCTAGTTGCGAGTGAAACCATCCAATTTCTAGCACTCATGCCGAGCTTACCCTTGAGGGTTCTTGGGCAAGTGGCTTAATTTCTCAGCCTGGGTTTCCTTATTTGGAGAGTCTGGGTACTAAGACCTACCCTACCTACATCTCAAGGTTGTAACGTGGTCGGATTCAAATGAGATACTATATGATGGAAGAGATTATGGCAAAGTGGAACGAGGCCAGGAGTTCTTAATTGAGGGGGGCAGTTTTGCTCCCCAGGGAACACTGGGCCACGTCTGGAGACATTTTTGGTTATTACACCTGGCGAGGGGGTGCTGGTGGCATCTGGTGGGCAGAGGACAGAGATGCTGCTCAGCATCCTGCTATACACTGGACAGCGCTCCCAACCCCAAAACAAGGAATCCTCTGGTCCCAAATGTCAATAGTGCCAAGGCTGAGAAGCCCCAAACCAGGAGACATAAAGGAGACGTGGGAACTTCGTTATCCTTCACCCGTGGTTCATGGTCTCTTGTAACCTAATGCAAAGACTCTAGAAATGAGCCGGTTTGGTTTTAATTGCTTCTCTACCCATTGTTTGCTTCCGATTGTCTTCCTCTCATACACTTTATGGCTATTTAAAATCCCCGCCTTTGAATCCGTTTCGTTTCCCGAGCAATGTAGCTTACATGAGTTTGCTAGCTTCTGTCTGAGACTTGTCAATCTCTAGCCTCACCCATGTTGTCGTTTAAAAAAATAAAAAGCATTTCTAGCAATCCATACAGTGTGGCTCAATAATTCATTAGATAAACTCATTAGCAAAGGGGCTGATTTGTTGAGTAATCACTGACCGGTAGACAAGCTTTGTTTCCCTGGTGCACCAACTTCCAAGGATTTTGTTTGGTTTGGTTTTGTTTTCCTCAGCATGAACTAATCTAAGATTTAAAACAAAATTGATTGAGTACACCAGAAATTAAGCTCACAGTGGGCCAGGGCCCCATCACAGACTCTATGCTCTCATTGTGGCACTAAATACAGCATTTCAGGGAAGCAAATAAATATGCTTTATAAAGAAAACAGCTGTATTTTTCCACCCAGTCACTCAAAGGCACGTCAGGGTTCGGGCAAGAAACTGACAGACATGGGTCAATGAACAGGAAGGTCAACATGAGTAGCACACAGGAGGGAGAATGGCCACCAAAAGGATTGTGGAAAACACATAATGAGCCAAAAAGAGGGATTTTTGATCTTTTATATGAACCAAACAATACATATTTGGGAGACCAGTGAACTCAGAAGCATACAAGATAAATTTCTTTGTGTGGATCGAAATCTTTTGTGTTTGTCCAGAAGAATGAAAGTGGAGGCTCAGAACTCTTTGATTTCAAGGTATGTGTGGCATTAGTGAGAGGACACACCGCTGCCAGGTGGCTGGTTGTTTGTAACCAATAGCACAGCGTCTAAGCTGTGCCGTGGCGTCAGAGAAGCAGCCCCAGGGAGCCAAAGCTCGGATGCCACAGCCTCCCACAAAGATGGGGCACCCAAAAAGGCAACGAGAGAGGTGATCTTTCGGCCACAGCATTTCTGTTGAGGGAATTAGAAAATTTACTGGCAGCTTTATTAGTTAATTTTACTGGACAATAGTGAATTTGGCCGTGTCACCACATTAAAATGCCATCATAATATTCCCATTATGTAGAATCGCATTTATATTTTCCATCTGCTTCCCAGGAGATCTTTAAGAGCCAAGATATTGGCTTTTTTTTTCCTTTTTATGCATTTAAGACTGCTAATGAACCCATCAGCCAAAGAGCAAATATTTATTGAACACCTACAATGTGCAAGGGACCGGAGGAAACACAAGAGGTTGAAGACTTTGTGTCCAAGAAGTTGTAGTCTGATCAGAGAGAACCAGACTTTGCACATTAAAACTCATAAGTTATTAAAAGTGGGTGGCTGGGGGCAGTGACTCACACCTGTAATCCCAGTACTTTGGGAGGCTGAGGCAGGAGGATTGCTTGAGCCCAGGAGTTCGAAACCAGCCTGGGCAACATAATGGGACCTGGCATCCACAAAATTTTAAAAAATTAGGCGGGTGTGGTAGTGTGCACCTGTAGTCTCAGCTACTCAGGAAACTGAGGCAGAAGGATCTCCTGAGGCCAGGAGGTTGAGGCTACAGTGAGCTATGATCACACCACTGCACTCTAGCCTGGGTGACAGAGCAAGACCTTGACCAAAAAAAAAAAAAAAGGTGGAAGGAGAGGTGATGAGAGGCCAGAATGCCACGTTTAAGCGTTGAGGCAGGAGCAGTATTGGGGCTTTCCAGGCAGCGCAGACGGCTGATGAGGTTGGGCTGGGCCTGTAGGATGGACTAGATTCCACTGGGGGAACAGGACAGGAAGGGGACACCTAGAGCAAAGGCACATCACCTGGAATGTGCAAGGTGTTTTCAGCAAGAATGGACATGCCTGTAATCCCAGCACTTTGAGAGGCCGAGGTGGGCGGATCACTTGAGGCCAGGAGTTCGAGACCAGCCTGGCCAACATGGTAAAACCCTATCTCTACTAAAAATACAAAAAAAAAAAAAAATTCTGGGCATGGTGGTGCACACCTGTAATCCCAGGTACTCGGGAGGCTGAGGCAGGAGAATTGCTTGAACCCAGGAGGTAGAGGTTGCAGTGAGCCAAGATCGCGCCATTGCACTCCGGCCTGCAGCCTGGGTGACAAGTGAGACTCTGTCTCAAAAAAAAAAAAAAGAAGAACAGAACAATAACTCTATGATTCTATGCATTCATTCACTCACTTCTTTAACACCTTTTGAGCACATAATGTGTACCAGGCACAGTACCAGGCACCAAGGATACAGGGGTAAACCCACCTGGATATAGGCTTTGTCCTTGAAGAGCTTACAATCTAGCAGGCAGAAGCAGACAGAGATGAAAATCAACAGCAAAGTGGTACAGACGTGGCCACAGCCATCTGGATGGGATCCATGCCCAGCACTGAGGGCAGCTCCATCTTCACCTGGACGAAAGGAGATGAGGAAAGCTCTCATAGGCTGATGGCTTGGCTTGTGTCTTTTTTTTTTTTTTTTTTTTTTTGAGACAGAGTCTCGCTTTGTCACCCAGGCTGGAGTGCAGTGGTGTGATCTCGGCTCACTGCAACCTCCATCTCCTGGGTTCAAGTGAATCTCCTGCCTCAGCCTCCCAAGTAGCTGGAATTACAGGCGCCTGCCACCATACCCAGCTAATTTTTGTATTTTTAGTAGAGTTGGCCAGGCTGGCCTCAAACTCCTGACCTTAGGTGATCCGCCCGGCTTGGCCTCCCAAAGTGATGGGATTACAGGCGTGAGCCACCATGCCCGGCCTTGGGCTGAGTCTTGACACAAAGATTAGCAAGTATGTGGGGGGGAACTGAAGAGGTGGGGGCAGGGTGAGATCCAGGTTTTGCCAGGCTTAAAGTTTATGCAATTTTGGGATCCCTCTTTAAGAAACAGAATACAGAATTACAAATAATTTTGAAAATTAAGTCCAAGGCCTTGAAATGTGCTGGAGAGTGACCCTGAAGCTTAACTTCACTAGTTTCATGGTAAATCAACTTTGGGAGAGAAAAAGCTTCCCAGGAAAAGGGATGGCGTGTTCAGCGGGGCTGGAGTTTGGAGGGATGCACACTAGACCATTAGACTTGAGAATCCTGGGTTCTCATGCTCTGGTTTCTCTTCAAATCGTATAAATCTTTCGCCTTTTACTAAAGATTTCTGTGGAGAATCCTGGGTTCTTCTCCAGGCTTCGTGACATTCAGTCATTCATTCATTTCTTCACTAAGCATTGCACAGTTCCCCTGAACCAGGCACACCAGGCACTGGCACCACAGTGAGGAGTTCGCAGTCTACTGCACACTCTCATTGGCTCTGAAACCTTGAGTGACTCACTAGATGTCTCTAAGCCTTGATTCTGCACACCTGAATGGCTTCTCTCCCATCCTTCATTTGCTCATTTGACCATTTGCAAAATGTTTATTGAGGAGCTGTTATGTGTGCTGGGCCTTGGGGACACCTCAGTGGATAAGACAGCCTTAGTCCCAGGTGGCTTTTTTTTTTTTGAGACGGAGTTTTGCTCTTGTTGCCCAGGCTGGAGTGCAATGGCACAATCTCAGCTCATTGCAACCTCCGCCACCCAGGTTCAAGTGATTCTCCTGCCTCAGCCTCCCCAGTATCTGGGATTACAGGCTCACACGACCATGCCCAGATAATTTTTGTATTTTTAGTAGATAGGGGGTTTCACCATGTTGGCCAGACTGGTCTTGAACTCCCAACCTCAGGTGATCTGCCTTCCTTGGCCTCCCAAAGTGCTGGGATTATAGCTGTGAGCTACTGTGCCCAGCCCAGCAGGTGGCTTTCAAGGCCCTGCAGAAGACAGACAGTAAGCCAAGGACTCCTCACTCAGGGATACACATTGCGGAGGAGTGCAGGGCACTCAGAGGCTAGGGAAGCCCCACCTGGAAGATACCACGGATGCTATGTTTTAGCCCAGCCCTTCGAGCTGAGGGGTCCTGGTCAGTGAAGAGTTACTGGAAGTGGAGTGTGTATGTGTCCGCGTTCACATGAGCAATGGGACGAGACTGTTCCAGGCAAAATAAGAGATTTTATGAGAAGACCCAAAGCAAGGAGGAACCTGGAGCTTTGGGGAAAGAGGGCCAGGGGGCTGCAGTGAAGCAGCAGGGAAAGGCAGCACTGAGGTGAGGCTGGGCAGGAAGTCAGAGGCCAGGGACACCTGCAGGGGTCAAAGCAGGGGGAATACACAAAGGGCTGAGAGACAGGTCCAGAAACCAACAAGAGGCTGCAGCAACCACACCTCCTTCCCTCTACTGAAGGTGACAACAGGCGGACAAAGGGATACACTCCCAGTGGCAGCGTGCTGCGATGTGACAGCTGGGATGGACATGTTAGTTGCATCCTGGTCCCCAACCAGGCTGGGCACAGATGGCAGGACGTGTCCTTCCAGGCTGGTTTAGGGTTAGTGACTACGATTTGTTTACTTTTTGTAAGTTACACAAGCCCAAGTCCGCCGCGCTCCGTATTTTCACCAAGTCGTTCAAGGGAACCTGCTGGAGCAATTCCGGGGAGTCCCTTAGGGCTGAGTGTTGGGCTTCGCGGCTGCCTCCAAAACCTTTACAAACCATCACTGAAGATTTTTCTGTCTTTGTAGGCACCCAGGGGGCATAAATTCGGAGGTTTAAGCAAGTCTTTTAAAAACTACTCTTCTAAAAGGAAAGCGCCTGTTGGGCGAACCTGAAAGCTCTGTCTTTTCTTAGGCAGCCGCTTGCTTCTTGGGGAGATCTTCCCAGGATCACCTCACAGGATGCTCACGGGTCTGACTTCTCCCGGAGTGGGAGGATGAGGAAGAGGCTGAGCCTGGAGTCTGGGTTTCCAGGAGGCTCCTGGCTGTAGACCATTTGATCAGCTGACGCTCCAGTTTGCCCACTGACAGCTGCTGCCCTCTGTGCAATGTGCTCACTGTGTGCCGGGCACTGTGCCTCTCCCTTACATCTTTGCAACAATCCTGAGACAGGATGACTATCATTCCCATTTTACAGATGGGGAAGCCGAGGCTTATAGAGGTCACACAAATTGCCCATAGTCACCCAGCTCATGCCTGGAGGAGCCAGGCTTCCAACCAGGTCTGTCATCCCAAAGCCTGAGGTCGTAACCGCTGTGCAGATCCAAAAAACTTAGTGACATCAGTGGCCATCACTGGTTGAGTACCTGGCCAAGTGCCAGATCTTTTACATATATTATCTCAACTCTGCAAGCTCCGTGTCTTGAGCCCAGAAAGGCTCAGAAACATGCCCAAGGCCACATGAAGGGTAAATGGCAGGATTGGGGCTGGCAGTGTGGCCTGAGTAAGTCCACAGCTTGTCATGCTTCCTACATGTTATGCCACACTGCCCGTTACCCTGGGAGACCCCTTTGTCCTGATGGGAGAGAAGAATCCAGTTAATCCATGTGCTTATCACCTGCGTCTATATCTATCTGAAGGGTCAAGCTCATCTGGGGATATGTTTTCTGTTCTCCAAGGACCTTACAGTCTAGTTGGGCAGAAAATTCACATCACACACGTGCACCTACGGCCAGAAGTTGACTGCACAAGGCTGAAACCAATGCAGCCAAGACATCCATGGCTGTTAAAAAAAGAGTTAGGAGGCCGGGTGTGGTGGCTCACGCCTGTAATCGCAGCACTTTGGGAGGCAGAGGCAGGCAGATCATGAGGTCAGGAGATGGAGACCATCCTGGCTAACACGGTGAAATCTGTCTCCTAAAATTACAAAAATTAGCCGGCATGGCCTCGGGTGCCTGTAGTCCCAGCTACTCAGGAGGCTGAGGCAGGAGAATCACTTGAACCAGGGAGGCAGAAGTTGCAGTGGGCTGAGATCGTGCCACTGCACTCCAGCCTGGGCGACAGAGCAAGACTCCATCTCAAAACAAAAAAAAAAGAGTTAGGAAGAGGGAGCAGCCCTGGCCTGGCCTGGTCCAGAAAGACCTGTGGAATTGCTGGAGGGCTGAGAAGAGGAGGGACAGGTGTAGACAATGGCTAGACAAGGTGAGAAATTGGCTGCCATGAGCTTGGGTGCATTTTTAGGGGAAGTCTGGAGGAAGCACACTACCAAGAAGGCGGCAGAGGGAGGTTCCTGGGAAAGGGATGCTGGGATCAGGTGAGGACCGCTCAAGGAGCCTTCACTTTGGGTGTCACCACTTGAAAGTTTAAAGAAGAGACTCGGGATAAAGACGCATAGATACCGGGTTTCCCACGGATGTTGGATTTCAGGTTATTCCAAACGTGCGCATCTGCCGGCCAGGGAGCCAGGATGGCTGGGGGCAAAACCTCCATCAAGGCTGAGCAGAGCGGCCTCCCCCTTTTCAAAGGAAAGGCATCCCCTCCTCCTCTCCCAAACACGGCTCCCTTCTTCTCCCCACCTCCCTAATCAGAGAGAGCAAATTGTTATCAGATTAGCGCCAGCAATGAAAAGCACAGTCCCGCTCACCCTCGCAGTTAGTTAGCATTTAGATAGACTGGGACTGGGGCCCACACAATAGGCATCAAAGCCCAGCTCAGGGCGGCGGGAGGGATTAATTTCTTTAACCAACAGGCCTGATCTGGCCTAACTCATTACCCTGCCTTGTCAGCGTGGATGTTAGATTCGATTGAAGATTATACCATTTAGGCCTTTCCCTTGTTTTCTGCCGAAATCTGGGCTATTGAATTGCACATTCTTGCGTCGCCCCCGTCAATACTCAGCGGCCTGAGGTTCTAATTCTGCTTCATTTAAACTTCATCAACTTTTCCAATCAAGTGGAAGGATCCGAAATAGGCTCTGTGAGCAGAAGGGCCCGATTCCCTTTGTCAGATAATTTATTCTGTTTTCTCCTCCCCCACTCCTTTGCTCTCTTTCTCTCTCCAACCTCGCTCCCCAGTCCCCTCTCTCAATGCTCCCCCCTCCTTATCCCCATGCTGAAAATGAGATTACAGTATTTAAATGACTATGGTAATCAATCTAGGGACCCCGAGCTGAGATTGAGGTTAATTTTTCTTAGCAGAACAAAGAAGCGTGATGCCTTTGGGGACGTGAAGGTGCAGTCTGGGTTTCTTGCTTGTGTTTTTTCCCCCCCGAAATTGCAGTTTTAGGAGTCTTTTCTTGTCACTAACTAGGCGCCGAGTGTGATTTTTAAAGGCAGCAGCCTCTAAGAGAGCAGAAATGTAATTTTGAGCTGATAAACAGCTAACGGCCTTCAATCAACAATTTTAATAGGAAAAAAAGTCACTTACATGATATGGGTACAGATCTAATGAAAGGGTGATCATTTACCTTATTTATTTTTAAACACACATGGAATAATTTCCCACTGTGTTAGAACTAGTAATTACAGCCACACGGTGTGTCCGTAAACTTTTGAATGAAGAGCCTTGTCACTCAGACGGCCCTCTCCCTGGCAGCTTTTGCTGCTATAAAAGTTGAGATTTTGTCATGTTTTGGCTAATTGGAAACCGGGTCATTATACCATTGAAAATCTACATGAAAGTGACTTGTTCAATTGTTACCTGAAGCATTCACAAGCCGGCCAGTCATTCTGCCGAGACCCCCGCCCGCCTCCCCGAGCTTCTAAAACAGAGAGAATCAAAATATGTATATTTCTTTGTCTCCCTTTGCTATCTTGTCAGAGCTGTTTTACATGCTGCCACCCAATGTTATCTTTTATTTGTGTCAGGAGAAAGGATTTGACAAGTTCAGTATACAATGTTCATTTGGCAAGGCAAATTTTTCATACCAATTTTGAGTTAGGAAATGAAACTATCTTTCAACAGAATGAGCAACATCATTTTTGGACAGACTTATTATGAGAGAGAGGATTGCAGAACTTTATTTCCTTGCATGATCCCGAAAAGTCTAATACATTTTTTAAAAGTAGGATCCCGTTTCCACCTGCAACCCAAGTTGGGGGGAAATGAGAAACAACAGTAATGTCTTCAAACAGGGAGGCCTAATGTCACATTCCCCACCCCCCCTCCCTGTTTCCCGCCAGTTATTAAAAGGCTGGAATAAATTGTTCCTCTTCTATATTATAATGACTTTGCTTCAGACCCTTTAAACTGTGGGTGAGTTTCTGACAGTCATCCACATTTGCAAAGCAAAATATTTATTAACCATCATCGTCTAAAGCAGCAACGGAACCTGAGGCAACCTTGTTTGTGCAGAGCGAGATTCCCCCGCCCCTGTACCCACTTTCCATCACTGTTTGCCTAAGAAAGAAGACTCTCTCACCCTCTGTGCTACCGAATTCATTTGGGGCAGTGGTTTATGGTGACATTTTTCTTTCTTAAAGCAAATATTGACTCACCATGGGGAAATTAAAACTCCATTAGGCATCGCTACATTGTCGAGCAGCCTGCATTACAGCAGTCAAGCTACTATTAATTGGTTTCTTCCTCAGGAATAATTCAGGGAGGGCAGAGGGAATGGAGAAAGAGAAGATGGATCTCAGCCGTAATTCCTTAAAATGACACCATCTAAATCAGCAAAGGTGATCATTATGTGGTTATTAATCGAAATATAAAGAAGACACTGCCTAATAATAGGATGAATTTATCCATATAAGAAGCCTGCAGCTAAGTTATTTCTGGGCTGGAGAGAATACATTTTAAGACACAGGTGGGCCAGCCTTGGCCAGATTTGGGCCAGAACCGGCTTCCCCAGAGCACGAGAAGCCCCGATTCTTCTCTCCTCTATCTGGGTGAAGAAGTTTTTGTTTCCTGCAATGAGGTAATTAGCTGTTCCTGCAGCCCATTCACGGCTTCCTTCTCAGCACCAACGCTCTGTTTTTTCACCCTGACCATTCCCTCCTTGGCCATCCAGCAATTCCGGCCATGCCCAGCCCATCCTATGTCCCACCCACTCCACTAAGACTTCTCCGGTCCTTCTCGGGTCTAGCGGCTTTGCCCTCTGTATTAGGGCTGCCTAACGAATGACCACACATCAAGTGGCTTAAAAACAGGTATTTTGGCTGGGTACGGTGTAATCCCAGCTACGTGGGAGGCTGAGGCACGATAATCGCTTGAACCCGGGAGGCGGAGGTTGCAGTGAGCCGAGATCACGCAACTGCACTCCAGCCTGAGCAACAGAGTGAGACTCTGTCTCAAAAAAAAACAACAACAAAAAAACAGATATTTATTCCCTCAGAGTTCTGGATGCCAAAGGGCTGGTTCCTCCTGAGAGCCGTGAGGGAAGGATCTGTTCCAGGCCTCTCTCCTGGTTTGTAGATGGCCCTCATTATGTTCCCATGACATTCTGCCTGTAAAGGTGTCTATGTCCAAATTTCCTCTTTTTATAGGGACAACTGTCTCCTGCAGTATCATCTCATAATTACAAATTATCTTGCCAATGACCCTATTACCAAATGAAACCACATTCTCAGGTACTGGGAGTTAGGACTTCAGCGTATGAATTTTGAAGAGACGGAGTTCAACCTCTAACATTCTCCATTGACCCCATGGCTCAAAGTTTGTTGAGCATTAGATTCTTTCTTTTTTTTTTTTTTCTGAGACAGGGTCTTGCTTTGTCACCCAGGCTGGAGTTCAGTGGTACAATCATAGCTCACTGCAGCCTTGACCTCCTGGCTCAAGTGATTCTCCCACCTCAGCCTCTTGCATAGCTGGGACCACAGGGGCATATGCCATCATGCCCAGCTAATTTTTAAGTTTTTTTTTTTTTTCACAGAGACATGGGTCTTCCAGTGTTACCCAGTCTGTTCTCAAACTCCTGGGCTCAAGCAATCCTCCTGCATTGGCCTCTCAAAGCGCTGGGATTACAGGTGTGAGCCACTGCGCCCAGCCAGAGCATTAGATTCTTAATAACTGCAAGGAGCCGGGCACAGTGGCTCACACCTGTAATCCCAGCACTTTGGGAGGCTGAGGCAGGCGGGAGGTCAGGAGTTCCAAACCAACCTGGCCAACATGGCGAAACCTCATCTCTACTAAAAATACAAAAAATTAGCTGGGCATGGTGGTGGACACCTGTAATCCCAGTTACTTGGGAGGCTGAGACAGGAGAATCACTTGAACCCGGGAGGCGGAGGTTGTAGTGAGCCAAGATTGCACCATTGCACTCCAGCCTGAGCGACAGAGCGAGACTCTGTCTCAAAAAACAAACAAATAAACAAACAAACACCCTGTACGGGAAAAACACACCTCGATTACCCTGGAAATGAGGTTCCTTCCAAACAGCTGGGGAGGCGCAGAGGTAGGGGCCATTCTCTTGCCATCCATAGTCTGGGTTTTGAGACTAGGGAACACACCCAGGTCCCAAGGCCTTCAGGGCACAGTCAGCACTTTGAAGACCCCCCCCTGCTCTGCGTACACTGGCATCACCAGGCTGCGATGGTGTTGGTCAGGGTCCCACCAGGCCCTCTCTGACCATTGGCTTCTGTCATATCTCATTCACATGTGACTGCTTTGGGCTTGGGTCCTGGTCTCTGGTCCCTGAGTTTTGGTAAGAATAACAAGGTAATCACTAGAGTGTCACCCTGCATGTTGAACTGGGGACCTCTGTCTTGTTTTCTTTCTTTCATGATAATGGTTTTTCTCAAATGTTTGCCTATTCTTGGTTGGGTATTATATTTTTATTTGCCATTTCCTAAATATTTGCCTGTGGATGTTTTTTCTCGGACTGCTAGAGATTGCGGAGGAGAGGCAGACTAGATTGGAAAGTGAGATAAACTAGTGGTTTTTCTTCTGAGTATGGAAATAAAGAGCTACATGAGGGTATCTTTAATGTCTCCTTTCCAGCCAGGCATGGTGTCTCACACCTGTAAACCCAGCACTTTGGGAGACCAAGGTGGGCAGATCACGAGGTCAGGAATTTGAGACCAGCCTGGCCAACATGGTGAAACCCTGTCTCTACTAAAAATACAAAAATTAGCCAGGGGTGGTGGCGGTTCCTGTAGTCCCAGCTACTTGGGAGGCTGAGGCAGGAGAATCGCTTGAACCCAGGAGGCGGAGGTTGTAGTGAGCCAAGATCGCACCACCGCACTCTAGCCCAGGTGACAGAACGAGACTTCAACTCAAAAAAAAAAAAAAAAAAAAAAAAAGGCCGGGCCCAGTGGCTCATGCCTGTAATCCCAGCACTTTGGGAGGCCAAGGCGGGTGGATCACAAGGTCAGGAGATCAAGACCATCCTGGCTAACACGGCGAAACCCCGTCTCTACTAACAAAATACAAAAAAAAAAAAAAAGTTAGCCGGACATGGTCGCGGGTGCCTGTAGTCCCAGCTACTTAGGAGGCTGAGGCAGGAGAATGGTGTGAACCCGGGAGGTGGACAGTGAGCTGAGATCGCGTCACTGCACTCCAGCCTGGGCGACAGAGTGAGACTCTGTCTCAAAAAAAATAAAACTCTGCTTTTCATGATCATTGCTTTAGTCTGAATGCAAATGCCACCATTGCTTTCTGCTTGGTGAGAGGCTCAGTTAACCTTGGAAGGGAAGAGGCTCAGTTAACCCAACTGCTTCCAAAGCAGCTCCCCGGATAGTCCACGACTGCTGCCCCAGAGCCCTCTTTTCTCTGGTACATGGGGTCTGCACTTGGCGTTCTCCTGGGCACTCCCTGGCTCCGTGGCCTTCATCTCCTACACTTATTTCTGGTGGTGGTTTCCTCTGGTTTTGCTTTTCTGTTTGTCTGCTTCTGTCTAATTTCTATCATTCATAAATTTTTTAAAATTTCTGGTTCTGTGATAGAGCTCCCTTTCTTATTTTCTATACTATTTTGGATTTTTTTGCCTTTTGGAAAATACTTTCTCTGTCCTTTCGTGGCATTTGTGGGATGGGGGGAGAAAAAGTGGATGAATAGGTTCAGTCCTCTGTTTTGATCCAATCTCCTCATTTTTCCTTCCTAAGATTTTTGCAAGCATTAGATGTCATAATAAACTGGTAAGGAACATTCCAAATCATAGCCTTAAGATAGTTACATTTATCCCCTACAAAAAGAGTTTTAGAAACTACCTTAGCATCTACTTATAATGCAGCCAAGAATGTTTCCATTCTTCCCAATGACCAGAGCTATCCTGTGAACTAGAAAACCACTCCTTTGTTGCGATCTGAAGAAAAGCCCTCCTGTCCCAGTCGTTCCTACCAGATTGCCAAGTACCAGGAAATCTCAGCAGAATCTCTGTCTTATCTGACACATCTGGGACCTCAGTCAATATGTCAGAAGGAAGAAGCAGCACTTCAAGCTATTTTTACCCAGTAACAGAAAACTTGTTCCTCTTCTGGTCATGGCCAAGTAACCTCCTATCATATCAGCCCTCCCAGAGATAACATTTATATACTCCAGATAAAACGTAAAAAAAAAAAGAAGATGCTAGGAAGTGAACAAATGCAGGCAGATGCAGCGGGCAGATGAGGGAGTCAACACTTGGAGGAAGACAACAGCAGGAAATGACTTTCCTATTTTAAAAATGACCTTTATCCAAAGGCCAGGCTATAGTCAGTGCTGCACAGCATGTCTACAGTTTGGATAGAAACCTGTGATTCTAGTCAACCTGTGGTTGAAGAACCAGAAGACAGAATTGGAGCAACCACCATCACTGGAAGGTGAGGGAAGAATCCAGGAAAGGAGAGAGCCAGAGAAGGGAAGTCCAAATTCAGGGTCTCTGGATAATCCCTGAGCCCATACAAAAGGCACAGATACTACAAAGCCCAAATAAGGCTAAAATAAATAACAGAACTTAGACATGAACTTCCGTCCACTGCAGAAGAGGCAAAGTTTGCACTTTGAGTTCAATCAAGTTAGCTTCTTGCAAACAAAACAAACAAACAAAAAATGTTTTAAAAGAACATAAATAATCCAGAGTCTCTACAATGGGTCAGTCACAATGTCCAAGGCACACCTCAGAAGTATATTTGACATGCAAAGAAATAGGAAAATATGACTCACTCTCAAGTGAAAACATATAGAATTGAGATAATTATCCAGATTTAGAATCAGCAATCCTGAATTTAAAGTGGATGCTATGACTGCGCTTGAGATGTAAAGAAAAATATGTTCTCGATGAATGAAAAGATAGGACAAAAAGTAACCCACAGGAATCTAGAAGTGAAAATACAATGTCTGAGGTAAAAATTCACTTAATGAGCCCGACAGCAGAATCTAGATAACAGATGACTCAGTGATCCTGAATATATACCAATAAAAGTTATCCAATTGAGGAACAGAGAAAAAAGACTGAAAAAAGTGGGCAGATCCTCAGGGACCTGTGAGATGGTATCAAAAGGTCTAACATGTTTTCCTGAAGGAATAGTAGCCCAAATTTCCCCAAATTTACTCAAAGACATATTAGGCTGGTGCAAAAGTAATTGCAGTTTTTGCCATTACTTTTGCACCAACCTAGTACATCTCAGTGAATCCCAAAAAGATTTATTGAACTACTGGCCTCAAGCAATTCCTCTGTCTTATCCTCCCGAGTAGCTGGGATTCCAGGTGTGAGCCACCACTCCTGGCTATTCAAACGAGATTCCTAAAAATTAACAAAACCACGCCTGTGAACGTCATAGGCACATTGTGAAGAACCAAAAATAAAGAGAAAATCTTGAAATCAGACAGGGAAAAATAACACACTGCACGTCAGGGAACAACAATTCAAATAATCACAGATGTCTCGCTGGAAACACGGAGCCCAGGAACACAGACCTTGGCCCAGAGTCCTCTCTTAGAATTTCTAGTTCTATAAAAGGACATCAGGAAGCAGGACACAATATAAGTGAGCCTGGATCTGGGGGAGGGCAAAAGGGTGATGTGTGGAAGAAATGTGTCGTTTCAGGGACAAAGTGGAGTGGAATCCCTAGCAAGATGTGAACAGAGTCTGAGGGCTTTACATGGGAGGAGTTGGGTGGCCAGGAACCCATATTTGAGAATGTCAGCTTGACAGTCTTGTTGGGAGCCAGACCCGTCCATAGATTGTAGCAAGGACTTTGGACTTGGACAGGTCTGCAGTTTACCCCTCCTTCTGCTGCTTGCTAGCTGCATAACCTCAGATAGCAAGAGGGTCCCTTCTTAGTCCTTGGTTCCTTTTTTTTTTTTTTTTTAAGATGGAGCTTGCTTTGTCGCCCAGGCTGGAGTGCAGTGGTGCGATCTTAGCTCACTGCAAGCTCTGCCTCCCGGGTTCAAGCAATTCTCCTGCCTCAGCCACCTGAGTAGCTGGGACTATAGGCATGCGCCACCACACCCAGCTAATTTTCATTTTTTGTTTTGTTTTGTTTTGTTTTTGAGACAGAGTCTCACTCTGTCGCCTGGGCTGGAGTGCAGTGGCGCGATCTCGGCTCACTGCAAGCTCTGCCTCCCGGGTTCACGCCATTCTCCTGCCTTAGCCTCCCGAGTAGCTGGGACTACAGGCACCCGCCACCACGCCCAGCTAATTTTTTTTGTATTTTTAGTAGAGATGGGTTTCGCCATGTTAGCCAGGATGGTCTTGATCTCCTGACCTTGTGATCTGCCCGCCTCAGCCTCCCAAAGTGCTGGGATTACAGGCGTGAGCCACCAAGCCCGGCCAATTTTCGTATTTTTAGTAGAGATGGGGTTTCGCTATGTTGCCCAGGCTGGTCTCAAACCCCTGACTTCAAGTGATCCACCCCACCTTGGCCTCCCAAAGTGCTGGGATTACAGGCGTGAACCACCATGTCAGGACCCTTGATTCCTTTTCTATAAATGAGGGCTGACAATAGCACCTACTTCATGGGGCTGTTGCAAAGATGAAATGAGACAGATGTGTGTAAAGCTAAGTGCAGAGCTTGCTCAATGGTAAGGGCCTGAGAAATGGCACTTGCTCTGAGGGCTGCTGGGTTTCTGTTTGCCAGCCGTACTCGTGTGTGAGCTCTTCTAGCCTTTGATGGCCCTTCTTCCCTTACCACACTCTGTGAGTCGTGATTATGCCAGCTGGTACTCACCTTCTCACCTCTATGACAAAGGACAGCACAGATGGCATAAACTAGCCACCTGCCTGTGGGCAGACTGCCCTCCACCCTGACCTGAGATGCCACTTCACTACGCTCCCCACACTTCTCCTCTCCTCACGTGGCTATTCATTCATTTTTTTTTTTTTTTGAGTCAGAGTCTCACTCTGTCACCCAGGCTGGAGTGCAGTGGCACAATCTTGGCTCACTGCAACCTCCGCCTCCTGGGTTCAAGCAGTTCTTCTGCCTCAGCCTCCTGAGTAGCTGGGATTACAGGTGTGAGCCACCATGCCCAGCTAATTTTTGTATTTTTAATAGAGATGGGGTTTCACCATGTCGGCCAGGCTGGTCTTGAACTCCTGACCTCAGGTGATCCACCCGCCTCGGCCTCCCAAAGTGCTGTGATTACAGGTGTGAGCCACCTCTACCAACCTATTTATTCATCTTTTAAAACCCAGCTTTGGTCAGGCGCTCATGCCTGTAATTACAGTACTTTGGGATCACTTGAGTCCAGGAGTTAGAGACCAGCCTGGGCAACATAGGGAGACCCCATGTGTAAAAAAAAAAAAAAAAAATTAGCTGGGCATGGTGGCATGTGCCTGTAGTCCCAGCTACTTGGGAGGCTCAGATGGGAGGATCGCTTGAGCCAAGGAGGCTGAGACTGCAGTGAGCCATGATTACACCACTGCACTCCAGCCTGGGTGATGGAGCAAGACCCTATCTCGAAAAAATAAAAATAAAATAAAATAAAATAAAATAAATAAGGCCCAGCTCTGGGTCCTCTCCTCTGGAAGTCTTTCCAGACCCCATCCCCGCTCTGAGGTGTTTTATGTGGCCCCGCTCTTTGCCGCCTTTGTATCCTGTGTGTATTTCTGTCATTGTTCTTACCATGTATATGAAAATGTCTGTCCTTGTGGGTTCCTTGTGGCCAGGAACCAGGTCTTTTTAAATTTTTTCTATCCCCAGTGCCTGCAGTACTTGGCATAAAGTAGGTGTTCAATAAATGTTTGTCAAATGAGCAAATAAACAGTTTAATGAGGACCTGGGAGACTGTCTCCTAGTGAATAGTAGCCTTGGCATTTCTACAAACATCTAGATGTATTTTCGATCCAAACTTAAGACACTTTCATTTTAAGATTCAAAGACAGGCTTTTCTCCATGAAGGAAGGCACAGCTATGTGCACAGGTGGGTGGAACCTATGAATCTACAATTTGGTTTCACCGAGAAGCAAAATATCTGTGCGTACAACTTTGTGTAATTGAAACACGATTCATATCACAACAACCTGTGTGTTATCAAGCCCCCAAGCGCCCATGAGCAGTGCAAACGGATATAGGAACCTGTAGGGGGGCAGAGGGATTGCTTCTGGTCTGGCTTTTGATTTGAGCATTTAACAAGTAAATCCAAATGGGCACTTTGAAACCGTGATCCCTTCCAGCATGGCCACTCTGTCAGATGCACGCTCTGCCTGGGCCGCCCAGAGCACAAAAGCGAAAAGGAAGGAACACATGGCCAGTCCCAAGCCAGAAAGGGCCTTTCTGTGGCAGGATATTGAGCTGTTTGATAAATCCCAATATTACGCTTGAATTATACTTGAATGCTTAGAGAAAGACCATTGTTCAAAGACGCTTAACATGGACTCAAGTGGATCCCTTTCTTCCGCCGCCTTGGAGGTGGTGTTGTGGGCTGTAATGATTTGGTATTGTATTTATAAGCTGACAGGGTAATCCTAGGAACAGCGGGAGGGAATGCAACCCAGGCAAGACTTTTCCACCCTGCTAATTAAAACAATCCTTCCTCTCCCCGTGAAGGCTAATGAGACAGAAAGCGAGTGGGCTAATGAAAATGTCACCACGAGATTGCCCACTTATTTTATTTATTTACTGAATGTTGTAACTTCCATTTTGGGGTTCTAAGAGAGAGAAAAAGAGAGAGATTTTTAAAACTTTACTAGAAAGCCCTCTCTCATTCATCACTGCTCTGCCCAGGATGAGCTATCACCATGCGTAGCTTTAGTGATCTGAGATTTTATCTCCAGTTGTCAATAATAACGACACGCTAGGAAAAGACTGTGTTCACTTCAAACTAAATAAAAGTGAAGGAATCTGAATGCTTTTCAGAGTATTTCCCCCTGAATCCAAGAGGCCAGTTTGTTTATGAAAGGCTTGGCCCCTGGGGTGGTTGGTCGAGTTAAAGAAGCTTCATCGATACCGAGTGGTGTTTGGTAGACCGGAGCAGTGTGTCCAAGCAGACTTAATGTCTACACCAACAGCGTTTGGCACTGCCAAGATAGCAGGAACTCAATTAACATGGTATCGAATGGTGTCCAGCATGACCTCACCCTTCAATACCATGAGGGCACCCCACGGCCCACCTTCATTTCAAACCCTTGCATTTTTCTAGAATGTTTGGTGATGTCAGCTCATGACTTTATTGTCACCCACTGTACACTGGACCAGTGAAAGAAACACAGGGCTTACCTTTATGTAGATTCTGCTAAGTGGGATTTTTATGCTAATGAGTCTGAATTTTTGGTCACCAGAGTGCATTTGCTCAGTGAGTGAACTGAGATCGGCAGCAGGTGCGCATTCCCCAGGAGAACCCAGGGAATGAAGAAAGGATGATGGTCTGGTTATGGACTTGGCAGGTGTATTCATTTCCATGGCTGCCATCGCAAGTCACAACTTGGTGGCTTGAAATAATAAGAAATGTATTCTGTCACAGCTTCAGAGGTCAGAAGTCTAAAATCACAGGTGCTACCTGGGCCAAGCTCTCTCCAAATTCTCCAAGGGAGGGTCTTTCCTGGCCTCTCCCAGTTTCTAGTGGCTCCAGGTGTTCTTGACTTGTGGCCGCATCACTCTGATCTCTGCCTCTGTGGTCACGTGGCCTCTCTCCTGTGTCTTCTCATATTCTCTCTTACGAGGGCACTTTTCGTTGAATTTAGGATCCTCAAGGATCATCCAGGATGATCTCATCTCAAGATTCTTAATTGCATTTGCAATGATCCTTTTTCCAAATGAGGTCACATTCACAGGTTCTGGGGACATACCTTTTGCAACCCACTATAGTAGGGTTTGCAAAAAATTTGAATTGGTCACTTGATCCAAGTCAGTTACACAAGCATTTTTCACTCTTGCTTCAACAAAGAATTTCTCTTCCTAGTTTTTTCATGGCATGAAGATATATGCAGAGTGATCTTTATGAAAAGAACAGTCAGGAAAAAAAATACAACCTTTTGAAGACATTTAAGTGATATCTAGTGGCCATTCCACCATTCCACATTTGAAGCTGGAAACTTTAATGCTACGGCAATTCAAAGTGATAATTACGAACGCTTCAAGTGAGATTCCTGATGGGGAAAATGCCCATGATAGGTTGATGAGTGGGGTAGTGAGGAGGAGGTGGAACACAAAATTATATGTCTAGTATGATAGCAGTTTTGCAAAAATTATCCTTGTCTGGAGAGTGAACTTGTCTGGATAGGGCCAGGAAGTGAGCTCTGAAAAATGAAAAGTGGTAAGTTATAGATAGGGGCTGGATTTTCCCCCCACCCCTACTTTACAATTTCTGTTATGAGGATCATTTTTAAAGTTACAGTAGAGCTTGCCTCTGTGGGGAGACAGGAACAGGAGGGAGACCTGCTCTTCATTTCGCACCCTGTGTATCATCTGACTTCTGTGTCATGTGCATGTAATACTATTCAGGTAACTCGATGCATAAAGAAAGATGACAGTTCCTGTCATCATGAGGCCTTCCCTGATCGCCTTGTCCCCAAGCACTGGTCCTGCTTTCTGAAGACTCCTTGAGCTGTTGATACACTGTGAGTGTGTTTATAACCTTACTCTGCAATTGTTTGTTTGCTCTTTTCTTCTTGTGCAAGGAGTGAGACCATGGGCTAAGGCTCGAAGCAGAAAGACATTAAGGTGCACTCCAGGAACAGAAAGACGGCCAGTATTACGGGTTCAAACTCGACGCAGGACGTGGCAAGAGGCAAGGCTGAAGGAAAGAGTCGTGGATGTCACAGTAGAAGTCTGGACTTCGTCCGAGGGCAGTGGGAAAACATCAAGAGGGGCGGGACCACTTTTGCATTTTTTTTTTTTTTTTTTTTTTTTGAGACGGACTCTCACTCTGTCACCCAGGCTGGAGAGCAGTGACGCGATCTCGGCTCTCTGCAAACTCCGCCTCCCGGGTTCACGCCATTCTCCTGCCTCAGCCTCCCGAGTAGCTGGGACTACAGGCGCCCGCCAGCACACCCGGCTAATATTTTTTGTATTTTTAGTAGAGACAGGGTTTCACCATGTTAGCCAGGATGGTTTCGATCTCCTGACTTCGTGATCTGCCCGTCTTGGGCTCCCAAAGTGCTGGGATTACAGGTGTGAGCCACCGCGCCCGGCCCACTTTTGCATTTTAGAGAGATCACCCCGGGTGTGGAAAATGGGTATATAGTAATTTCACCATATAGCTGTAATAGATATAAATAAACCTCAAGAGTACAGAGAAAAGTGAGACATTGGCCAGGCGCAGTGGCTCACTCCTGTAATCCCAGCACTTTGGGAGGCTGAGGCCAACACCTGAGGTCATGAGTTCAAGAGCAACCTAGCCAACATAGTAAAACCTCGTCGCTACTAAAAATACAAAAATTAGCAGGGTGTGGTGGGCTACTGTAATCCCAGCTACTCAGGAGGCTGAGGCAGGAGCATCACTTGAACCCAGGAGGCGGAGGTTGTATTGAGCCAAGATTGCACCACTGCCTTCTAGCCTGGGAGACAGAGCGAGACGCCATCAAAAAAAAAAAAAAAAAAAAAAGACATTGGAAAATAATTAGAAAGTGATGACTTTTGAGTATGTATTGCATTGTCTTTATATAACTTAAAGTTTGTATAATTTAATTTTTAATGATGTTCCTATTTTACATTTGGCTTGCAAGATTCCTGATACTTAATGATTGGCTCTGGTGAGCTGATAGAGACTGATTTTGTATACCATTGGTTTCTATTGAGTCTCAAATGCATGTATTTTAGGAAAATGTAATATACTTCCACACATAAAAATTTCCAAGATAAAAGGATTCTGAGTTCTCCTTTATTTGGGGGAACAGATATGGTATATATATATATATATATATATTTTTTTTTTTTTTTTTAGACAGGGTCTCAAGTCATCCAGGCTGGAATGTGGTGTCACATCATGGCTCACTGCAGCCCCAACCTCCTGGGCTCAATCAATCCTCCCACCTCAGCCTCCTGAGTAGCTGGGACTACTAGCACATGCCAACATGCCTGGCTAATTTTGTATTTTTTATAGAGATGAGGTTTCACCATGTTGCCCAGGCTGTTCTCAAACTCCTGAGCTCAAGTGATCCACCCATCTCAGTCTGCCAAAGTGCTGGGGTTACAGGTGTGAGCCACCGCACCTGACCGGCCAACATTCTTTGTTTCTTGTTTTTTCTTTTTTCTTTTCTTTTCTTTTTTTTTTTCTGAGACGGAATCTCACTTTGTTGCCCAGGCTGGAGTGCAGTGGTGGGATCTCGGCTCACTGCAACCTCTGCCTCCCGGGTTCAAGCGATTCTCCCACCTCAGCCTCCTGAGTAGCTGGGATTACAGGTGCACACCACTACACCCAGCTAATTTTTGTATTTTGAATAGAGATGGGGTCTCACCATGTTGGCCAAGCTGGTCTCAAACTCCTGACCTCAGGTGATCTGCCCACCTCGGCCTCCCAAAGTGCTGGGATTACAGGCATGAGCCACCATGCCCGGCAGTCAATATTCTTAAATTAAGGCTTAGGAAGCAGTTGAACATGATGTTTCACTCTGCACTGTACCCAGCCCTGAGTCCTGAAGAACAAGACCTGGCTCATGTGGGTAGAAGCTGCTAAGCCAGAGAGGAATTTCCTGGTAGGGGCGTGCAGGACCAGGTTTCCTGTTCTTTCACCTGCTTGAATCACTGGCTTTGGCTTCCTTCCTCTATGAGGCTCTGTGATTAAGCCAACCCAGGCAGCTGAAGCATCTGTCTGGTCACTCCCCGCTCTGAGCCCTGAGCCGAGAGATCCAGCTCTCTGTGGTCTGATTTAGTCTTCCTGATTCATCTTCAGATAAATCAGCTGCTGTTATAGTTTCAGCTCTTACTCTGGGTAAGATGCTCTAATCTGGCCGGGAGTGGTGGCTCACACCTGTAATCCCAGCACTTTGGGAGGCCAAGGCGGGCAGATCACGAGGTCAGGAGATCGAGACCATCCTGGCTAACATGGTGAAACCCTGTCTTTACTAAAAAATACAACAAAAATTAGCCGGGCGTGGTGGCGGGCGCCTGTAGTCCCAGCTACTGGGAAGGCTGAGGCAGGAGAATGGCGTGAACCCGGGAGGCGGAGCTTGTAGTGAGCCGAGATCGTGCCACTGCACTCCAGCCTGGGAGACAGAGCGAGACTCCGTCTCAAAAAAAAAAAAAAAAAAAAAAGATGCTCTAATCTACCTGTCCAGAGCAAACATCTCTCTTATTCCTCGATCCTATGGTGCGGTGATGTAGATCACCACTCAGGGAGGAATGGAGGATATCATTCTTATCGTAGATCATCATCATCAACATCAGCATAATGGCATCATCATCATTATCAACATTATAACATCATCCTCAGCGGCAGCCGCAGCAGCAGCAATAACAATAATAACTGCTCTGGGAGGCCGAGGCGAGGGGATCACTTGAGCTCAGGAGTTTGAGACAGGCCTGGGCAACATTGCGAAGCCCCCTCTCTACAAAAAATAAAAATAAAAAAATTAGCTGGGCATGGTTGCACATGCCTGTAGTCCCAGCTACTTGAGAGGTCGAGGAGAGAGGATCGCTTGAACCCAGGAGGACGCGGCTACAGTGAGCCATGGTTACACCACTGCACTCCAGCCTGGGTGACAGAGTGAGACCCTGTCTCAAAATAATAATAATAATAGTAATAATAATAATAAACAACTCACATTGACCGAACAGTTTCTATGGGCCAAGAAATGGTTTTACAATGCATTCTCTCATCAAATCCTCTTAACAACCTGACCAGAGTAGATACCATTGGTATTCCCATTTTACAGATCAGAAAACCAAGGCTCAGAGAAATACAGAAACTTGCCTGAAGTCACACTGCTAGTGAGTGGTGAAACCAAGATCTGAACCTCCACTAGGCTGAATCCATAGCCCATCCTCTTGTTAGTAACTCTGCTACAATGCCATTGACTAGCTATTGACAATTATGATTAACATCTAGATCATGTTTGAGGGTTTACAAAGTACCCTTGAATCTATCATCTCATCTGCTACCACCCTGGGAGGGCCATCATTATTTCTGTCGTCATTTGAGAGTCCAGGGAGCCGAGGCTCAGAGAGGTGTAGGGACTTCGATAACCCATCAGTGGTAGACAATGGATCTGAACCTGGGTCGGACGCTGCAAGCTGTGCAGGCTGCCCTATTTTACATAGACACTTTCTGGAGTCTGGACCATTCCTCTTCAGTAAACACCTCCCACATACAGGACTTTCTGATGCAACCTGTGTGTGTGTTCCCAAAATAGCTGTTGAGTGACAGTCTAGCCTCCTTGATTTGAAGCTTGCAAAGACCACTGTTTTCACCATCACCCTTCTCTCCTTGCCTCTTACTCTCTTTTCCTCCTTATTCCCTTTTCCTCCTCTCTGCATCCTAAACACACAATACCAGGGTCAGTGGGACCCGCAGCCTTTGTTTTCAAAGTAAAGTGTTGAGAATTTCACCCCACAAATCTGTCATTTGCATACTGTTTCTTTGGGAGTAGGGGGAAAAGGAGACTGTGGGCCAGATATTTTCATGCAATTCTACTCATTATTTACGCAGACAAGGAGATATTTCAGTAAAACTGCACTCAACTCTGAGTGACAAGGTATCTTTCTGCAGTGCAAGGTTCAGGGAAATTGTAGTGAAGTTGACAGCTTTTTAATGTACAGTTGCTATTCCACTGAAATACGGCATGTTTTTATTTTGAAAGTACAAGATGACCTATTTATTAGCTGTGATTCAAGCTGAGTTTACATGCTGGGAAACACAAAGGGAGAAGAATAGCATATTTCTTTTGAGGGCCACAGACACCCTCCCCGCTCCCCGCCAACCACACATAAGAAAACATTGAAACTGAGTGTTCTGAATTGGAGTGGACGTATTTTCCTTGAAATGACAGCCTACCTTGGAATCACGGGAAAAAGTTGCCAATTACCTTAATCATCCTCCTCAGGGTAACAACAAGGAAGTGCTTAGGCTGCCTCGGTGCGCGGAGGCAGAGTGAGCAGTGAGTTCTGGGGAGACAAACAGCCCCGGATTCAAATACCAGGAACCCGATCTTCTTCAATGGCAAGGCTTGGGTCAGGCACGCCTGAGCTCCTGTTCCTCCAAGGGTGGCTGGTGTGTCTGCAGCGTCCACAGCCCTGGGCACTTGCTGGAGACGCAGAGTCTCAGCCCCCACCCCAGACCTTCCTAATCATCAGAACCTACATTTCAACAAGGTCCCAGGTAATCTGTGTGCATATTCCAGTTTGAGAAGTGCTGGGCCAGCCCAGAGTATCTTCTACCCTTTGTGCAGTTTAGGGAGGTTCAGTTGTACACTGTTCAGTTGTTCACTTATTTGGCACCTACTACTATGTGCCAGGAGCTGATCTAGGTACTAGGAATACAGGCGGTAAGACAGACATAGCCCCCGCCCTCCCTTGGGAGTTTCCAAGACAAGCAGTGATATGGAACAAGGAATTGCAGTGGGGATGGATTATAAGACCATTCTCTCCTGGACAGAATGGCATTCGCATCTTGATGGGATTGTAACTGGCAAAATTTATTCAATAAGAAAAAACAGGCTGGGCACAGTGGCTCACACCTATAATCCCAGCACTTTGGGAGGCCAAGGCACACAAATCACTTGAGCACAGAAGTTTGAGACCAGCCTGAGTGACATGGCGAAAACCTGTCTCTACCCAAAATATGAAAAGATTAGCTAGGTGTGGTGGTGTGCACCTGTGGTCCCTGCTACTCAGGAGGCTGAGGTGGGAGGATCGCTTGAGCCCCGGAGGCAGAGGGTGCAGTGAGCTGAGATCGAGCCACTGCATTCCAGCCTCGGCAACACAGTGAGACCCCATCTCAAAAAAGAAATCTCTGTGTTATAATTTATGCTGCATCATTTTACATAATCTTATAAACCTTTTCTTATAGGTTATTGTGTACTTGGAGATAATCATGCCCATCTTTTTTTTTTTCATCGAGGCAAAATTCGCATGATATTCGATCATTTTTATATATGTACTTATTTTTTGTAGAGATGGGATCTTGCTATATTGCCCAGTCTGGTCTTAAACTCCTGGGCTCAAGCGATCCTCCCACTTCGGCCTCCCAAAGTGCTGGGATTACAGGTGTGAGCCACCACACACGGCCAAACCATTTTAGAGTGTACAATTCACTGGCAGTTCATGCATTCACGATGTTGTACAACTAGCACCTCTGTTTTGAAAGTTTTTTCATCACCCCAGAAGAACACCCCAAAACCTTCCAGTAATCACTTTCCATTCCCCTCTGCCAACCCCTGCTAACCACTAACCTGCCTTTTGTCTCTGTGGATTTGCCTATTTTGGATATTGTATATAAAGGGAATCATAACATGTGACTTTTTGTGTTAGGGTTTTTAACATGTTTTTAAGGTTCATCCATGTCGCAGCAAGTATCAGTACGTCATTCCTTTTAATGGCTAAATAATACTCAATTGTATAGATATGCTGCAATTTATTTATCCATTCATTGAGGGGCATTCATGCTCATTAAAATAAAAAAGTTTTTTTTTTGTTTTATTTTTGTTTTTTTTTTTTTGAGACGGAGTTTCCCTCTTGTTGCCCAGGCTGGAGTGCAACGGCGTGATCTCGGCTCACCGCAATCTCCGCCTCCCGGGTTCAAGCGATTCTCCTGCCTCAGCCTCCCTAGTTGCTGGGATTACAGGCATGTGCTACCACACCTGGCTAATTTTGTATTTTTAGTAGAGTTGGGGTTTCTCCATGTTGGTCAGGCTGGTCTCGAACTCCCGAACTCAGGTGATCCGCCTGCCTCGGCTTCCCAAAGTGTTGGGATTACAGGGATGAGCCACTGCACCCGGCCAGAAAAGTATTTTAATTTAAAATAGGCCGGTGTTTATCTTAGGTAAAATGGACCATCTTGGTAAACGGCCCTTCGTGAAGCAACAATGCTCAGTTTGGATTATGTCAGTTATTGTCACTTACATATGTAGTAGCAGTTTTTCAAGATATTAACCCAAGACGTAGGAAGCATTCTTCCTGAGAAGGAGAACGCTATGGTCTGTAAGGCTAAAATTGGAGCATGACGTTGAAAATAGGATTCCAGATTACATGCATGGGGCTTCTGGCCACGCTTGAATAGTAGACACTGGACTTGAAAATCACTTGTTTGGGTCTGCAAAGCATGCATTTTGCACCCACAACACTGCCTGGAATCAGTGTCAGTTCTGGGCCATTTTCCCATTTTATTCAATCAACCGTTGAGTTCACACGCCAGCCATTCCTTAAGTGTCAATTCTGAGCTGGGCCCTGGATAGATGACAGTGGCCCTCCCGGGCCCACAGGCCAGGCTTCCAGACATGCCCAAGATGAGAGCTGAGCAGCCACCAGGGTGAAGGCTCCACCTCGTCCTTCATTGGATTCTGAGAACACCCTTTCCTCTTCCACTTCCCGTTTCCTACAGAGGTGGCTTTGCAGCTCCGTGGGAAATCAGCTTGCACATGGAAGCCCTGGGCATTAGCAGCAGCAATGGAAGAAGGTATTTGTGAGGCTAAGGCGCTCAGATGGGGTTTTCCAGCCAAGCAAACCTAGAGCCACCTGCGGCATTGCCAGGGAGACAAATGCCACATCTGGAAAGATATCTGCATAATCCACAGCTTGTCATTTGGGCAGGAAGTGTGCTCTCTCCTTTGAGAATCTGCCTTATTATGGGCTGGATCCATGCCAGGAAAGAGGAACGAGAGGGGAATGAAGCAGGAGCACATACACTCAGCACATTCATGCCATGGTTTGTCCTCTTGGCTCATGGCCCGCCTCCAGGGCCCCACAGGTTCAGGAGGTGCCTGTGGTTAGATTCAAGAGAGATGGCCATGGCAAGGCAGGAAGGCTGACCTGAGTCCTTCCGGCAGGGTGGCTGGGTCTTGGCTGTGGTCTCCCGAAATCGTGCAGTGTTTGGATCCATAGCGAGGGTGTTGTAAATCATTTGTCGCTACTGGTAAAATACTGACTTTTGCAGGTTATTGATCTTTTTTCTTTAAAATTTTTTAAAAAAAATTGTAGTAAAATATGCGTGACCTAAAATTTGCCGTCTTACCCATTTTTAATTGTAGAGTTACGTGGCATTAAATGCTGAACCGCATTAGATACTGTGTCATTGTGCCACCATCACCACCATCCAGCTCCAGAACTCTTTTCATCTTGCAAAACTGAAACTCTGTCCCCATTAAACAACTCCTCATTCCCCCTCCACCAGCCCCTAGCAACACTGTCCTATTTTCTTTCTTTCTTTTTTTTTTTTTTTTTTAGACAGGGTCTCACTCTGTTGCCCAGGCTGGAGTGCAGTGGTGCAATCTTGGCTCACTGCAACCTCCGCCTCCTGGGTTCCAGCAATTCTTCTGCCTCAGCCTCCCGAGTAGCTGGGATTATAGGCACGCACCACCATGCCTGGCTAATTTTTGTATTTTTAGTAGACACAGGGTTTTGCCATGTTGGCCAGGCTGGTCTCAAACTCCCAACCTCAGGTGATCTGCCCGCCTCAGCCTCCCAAAGTGCTGGGATTGCAGGTGTGAGCCACTGTGCCTGGCCTCACTGTTCTATTTTCTGTCTCTATGAATCTGACTACTCTAAGTACATCATAAAAGCAGAAGCCTACCATGTTTGTGTTTTTGTGTCTGGCCTATTTCACTTAGCCTCATCTTCATCCATGTTGTAGCTTGTGTCAGAACTTTATTCCTTTTTAGGGATAAATACTATTCCACTGTATGGATAGACCACATTTTGTGTATTCATTCCTCTGTTGAAGGACACTGGAGTTGCTTCTACCTTTAGGCTATTGTGAATAGTGCTGCTATGAAGATGGGGGCACAGGTTATTGGCTTTTGAAAAACAAAATAAATATGCTGGGCGCGGTGGCTCACGCCTGTAATCCCAGCAATTTAGGAGGCCGAGGCAGGCAGATCACTTGAGGTCAGGAGTTCAAGACCAGCCTGGTCAACATGGTGAAGACCTGTCACTACTAAAAAATGCAAAAATTGGCCAGGCGTCATGGTGGGTGCCTGTAATCCCAGCTATTCAGGAGGCTGAGACAGGAGAATCACTTGAACCTGGGAAGTGGAGGTTGCAGTGAGCCGAGATTGCACCACTGCACTCTAGCCTGGGCGACAGAGTGAGACTCGATCTCAAAAAAAAAAAAAAAAGAAAGAAAGAAAAAGAAAAACAAAATAAATAAGAGAATTTCTCTGCTCTTGTGTTCTCTAGTGCTCTTTTAGGGGAGGGGGCTTCCAACTGGGCAGGGTGCATTGGGTGCCGCTCTCCACCTGCCTCTCATCTCAGCCTGTAGTGACAGGCGTTTGCTGTTGACCCTTATGTAGCTGTTCCAATTATGGGTGCTCATTCTAATGTAATTGTCCTACAAATGATGCTGGTGGGGACTTTCCTCAGGATCTAGGTTTGCTCACAGGCATGGTGAGCACATGAGAACTTGATCCATGAGATATTTTTCATTATGGAAAAAAAAGTTCAGAAGAGCTTCCTTAAAATCTAGGAAATTAAAGAGTCTGCTCGGTCGTGCCAGAGAGCAGGGCTGAACCCTGATCCTGGAGCCCAAGGCTGTGGCCCTCAGACCTGGATCTCTGAGTCGTCTGGTCATGCGTGGTCCTGGTTTCTGTTTTCACCGAGAACACCAGCTCGAATGAAGCCCCGATAGATCGCGTGTAGTGCTTCACTCTTCACCTAACTACCGACGGTGCCTGCCAAAGATATGGCTCTCAAGGTCGGGCGTGGTGGCTCACGCCTGTAATCCCAGCACTTTGGGAGGCTGAGGTGGGTGGATCATGAGGTCAGGAGATCGAGACCATCCTTGCTAACATGGTGAAACCCCGTCTCTACTAAAAAATACAAAAAATTAGCTGGGCGTGGTGGTGGGTGCCTGTAGTCCCAGCTACTTGGGAGGCTGAGGCAGGAGAATAGTGTGAACCCAGGAGGCGGAGCTTGCAGTGAGCAGAGATCACACCACTGCACTCCAGCCTGGGCGACAGAGCAAAACTCCTCCGTCTCAAAAAAAAAAAAAAAAAAAAAAAGATAACATGTGGCTGGCTGACTGAGGGCTCTACTGTGTGGGAAAGCATGCCAAATGCTTTCAACATCATCTCATTTAAGTTAATCTTCCCAGCAGCCCTGTGAGATAGGAATCAGTTTCCCATTTTATTTTTACTTTTTAAAATTAATTTTAAAAATAAATACAGGTGTGGGGAGCGGGGGTCTCCCTATGTTGCCCAGGCTGGTCTCAAACTCCTGGGCTCAAGTGCTTCTCCCGCTTCGGCCTCCCAGAGTGCTGGGATTACAGGTGTGAGCCACTGGGCCTGCCCAGTTCTCCCATTTTCCAGAGGTGAAGACTGAGGCTCAAGGAGGTTAGATGATTTGCCCCAAAGTCTTAGGGTAAAGCAGGAGAGCCAGGATTCAGACCCCAGTCTGACTCTCTCCAGATTCTACACTCTGCCACTGATTCTGCATTTTATGTTTTCCCCCCTTAAAATCAACTAATGAGCAGAAGAAACTTGGTGCAGAATGCAGCTGGAAGTGCTGGGCTTCCATCTGTCAGTTAGAACCTGCCTCTTTCTGGGGATGCAGAGAGTGAACTGGGTGGAGTTAATGATCATTGTTGTGTTAGAGGACCTCTTCCAAGAAAGGAGAAGTCATATTATTCAAATCCCAGTTTCATTTGAAGCCTAGCAGGTAATCGAAAGCAGACTTCAGACTAGTGTAAGGTGGCCTGCCCTGACTAGGCTGCCTGGGGTCTTGTCTTCACTCGCCAGCTTGGACGTGATCCCTGCTCCTGCCACCAGGAGCGCGTGGCCTTTTCTTGGCCATCCCCATCCACAAAGCAGCATGCGGAGTGGCTGCGGTCGGTCCGCGTAGATCAGCACGTCGGTTACACACAGCGTGTCCGCCGTGTGTTCGGACCTAACACTCCTCTCAAATACACACTAAGCTGCTGACAGCGGCAAACGCGGGGACTTCAGACACCTAGCGCAATGTATATGTTGAAAGAGTGGTTTTCTAGAATACTAAAAGGTAGAACATACCAGAAAATTGGGCTGATTAAAGAACCAACCTGCTACTTCCTCTCTGTACTCAGCCCTAGAATATTTCTTAATAAAACCACCCAACATTCAAAGGATATCCACTGGAGGAAAGACCTACTTAGGAGTCCAGTTTACAAGGCAGTGAGATTATTTGTTTTACAGCAGCCGCTGTATTATGCAGTTAGGGGCTGCCAGGGGAGGTACCCATTGGTAATGTGGTGACAATGTTATGTGCTTTGTTTGGGAGTGTGGCTTAATTAGATGACAACTTGGAGGTGCTAGCTGTTCTCAAGGTAATACTGGTCTCCTGGGCTGAGGACTAATTTAGCTTTTTCGTTTAATTCAGAAATGGGGAGAGGGAAGAAGCTCAGGTTGTACTGGATCAAGATACACACACGCACACATGCACACACACACACGCACACATGCACACACACACACTGTTACTATATGTACATCACAAAACTTTGGTTGCATGACCCTGGGAAGGATTGTGGCCTCAGACAGAGTAGGAGAAGAATGGAATGACTCTCACATTCAATTAGGTTGATTAAAACACATCACTGCTGAGGCCTTTCTCTTCCCTCATGCACCATAGCAGGCAGTGTAATGTTGTGTTAAGGCACAGCTTTGGCTCAGGCAGACCAGACATTGGGCAGGTATTTACTGAACTTCTCTGAGCCTCCATTTCTTTATAAAACAGGGATGGTAACATTCACCTCCTGGGCTGGTTGTGAGGATCCAGCACTTGGCAGAGTTCTTAGAACACAGGAAATGCTCCCCAAATGAAGCCTCTGTTTTGTTTGTTTGTTTGTTTTTGTTTTTGCTTTTTGAGACAGAGTTTCGCTCTTGTTGCCCAGGCTGGAGTGCAATGGTGCAATCTCGGCTCACTGCAACCTCCACCTCCCAGGTTCAAGCGATTCTCCTGCCTCAGCCTCCTGAGTAGCTGGGATTGCAGGCATGCACCACCATATCCAGCTAATTTTTGTATTTTTAGTAGAGACGGGGTTTCACCATGTTGGCCAGGCTGGTCTTGAACTCCTGACCTCAGGTGATCCACCCACCTCGGCCTCCCAAAGTGGTGAGACTACAGGATTGAGCCACCATGCCTGCCTGAAGCCTCTGTTTATTATGAGCAGTCGGGGAGTGGAGATACACGAAGAGACCAAGGACCGTGCCTCTAGAATAATTGGGAGATAGGCACCTATGACGTGGAGATGAGGTTATGGGAAAAGCCCAACAACTGGGCTGTGGACAAGGGTAGGGCACCGTGGAGGTGGGAAGTCAGAGAAAGCTTCACAGAGGGGGCCAGTCTGGAGGTCAGTTTACAAATTTCCTTTATGGTTCATGAAACTATGATATTTATGCCATAAAGTTGATCCATTTTAAGCATCCAGTTTGGTTGATTTGGCAGTTATGTGCAATCACGTAACCTCCATCACAGTAGAAATAAAGAACAATTTCCCCACCCAAAGAAGCTGTCTTTTGCTCCCTTGCACTCACCCTCCTCTCCTACTCCTGGCTGCACTCACCCTCCTCTCCTACTCCTGGCTGCACTCACCCTCCTCTCCTACTCCTGGCTGCAGCAACCACTGATTGCTTTTTGTTGCTACAGTTTTGTTCTTCCTAGAATTTGATATAAATGGAGCCATAGAGTACACAGGTTTTTTTTTTTTTTATGTTTTACTTCTTTCATTAGCATAAGGCACCTGAGATTCATCCATGTTGTGGCCTATAGCAGTACTTCATTCCTTTTCATTGCCAAGAAGTTTTCCATCATATGGGCTACCACAATTCACTTATCCATTTGTTCAGTTGTTGAACATCTGGGTTGCTCCCAGTTTAAGGCTGCTATGAATAACCTGTGATTTCCAGACAGACACTTTTGTGGGCATATATTTTCATTTATCTTGGGCAAATACCCAGGAACGGGATTGTGGAGTTACATAATAAACGTCTGTTTAACTTTGCAAGGTTCTGCGATATCATTTTCCAAAGTGGCTGGACATTCCACGTGGCTACCAGCAGGGTATGAGCATCTCAGTTGCTCCCCGTTCTCACCAATAGTTGGTATTGTCAGTCTTTTTATATTTAATGGTTGAATTTCCAGGGATGATTAAGAGTTTTTTTGTTTGTTTGTTTGTTTGTTTGTTTGTTTTGAGATGGAGTCTCGCTCTGTCGCCCAGGCTGGAGTGCAGTGGCACTATCTCAGCTTACTGCAAGCTCCGCCTCCCGGGTTCACGCCATGCTCCTGCCTCAGCCTCCTGAGTAGCTGGGACTACTGGTGCCCGCCACCATGCCCACACCCGCCACCACGCCCGGCTAATTTTTTGTATTTTTAGTAGAGACGGGGTTTCATCGTGGTAGCCAGGATGGTCCTGATCTCCTGACCTTGTGATCTGCCCGCCTCGCCCTCCCAAAGTGCTGGGATTACAGGTGTGAGCCACCACGCCCGGCCGATTAAGAGTTCTGTAGGCAAATGAGGTAGGGAAGATATTCCAGGCAAAAAAAAAAAAAAGCATTTGGAGAAGCAGGGAAACAGGGAGAAGGATGCAATGTGTGAGAACTACAGGTCAGTGAGTGTTCCTGGGGCAAAAAGTGGGGGCCTGGCAGTGGAGAAGTTGGGAGAGCAATAGATGGCCTCAGGATGTGGACAGAGGCTGGACATGGGTCTAGACCATTAATAATAAAAACAATGACTGCAAACACTCATTAAATTCTGCATATCAGCCACCAAACTTCTGTGAGATAGGTCCTCCTATTATCCCTTTTCACGGATGAGGAAACTGAGGCATGGTTCATTAATGTGCCTACCTACATACAGCTGGTAAGCAGAAGAGCAGAGATTTGAACTCTGTGGTCTGCCTAGACAGGCCATGAGCTTAACCACGGCACCACACTGCCCACCAGGAAATTTTGGTTCTGATACTGTAGGCCATGAGATGCCTTTAAAGATGTTAAGTGGGGCAGTGAAATGAACAGACCTGTCTTTATGCAAGACCATGTGGCTGCAGAGAGAGCCCGGATTGGAGCGGGTAAGCCGGGAGGCTCAGAGACCCAGGAGGAGGCTATGGCAGTTGTGTGAGTGAGAGGTAAGCAGCAGAGGGCAAGAAACAAATGAATGGGTTGGAGAGCTACTTAGGAGACAGCCTGATTGAGTATGGAAGATGAGGAAGAGAAGCTAAGGATGGATGTCAGGATTTTGGCTTGAGCAATGGCAGTGCCTCCAACCAAGATGGAAAATTCCAGAATGGAAGCAGGTCTGTGGAAAGATCATGAATTGGTCCGGGCACGGTGCCTCACACCTGTAATCTCAGCACTCTGGGAGGCCAAGGCAGGTGGATCACTGGAGGTCAGGAGTTCAAGACCAGCCTGGCCAACATGGTGAAACCCCGTCTCTACTATGAATACAAAAAATTAGCCGGGCATGGTGGCATGCACCTGTAATCCCAGCCACTTGGGAGGCTGAGGCAGGAGAATTGCTTGAACCTGGGAGGCGGAGGTTGCAGTGAGCTGAGATCGCGCCATTGCACTCCAGCCTGGGCAACAAGAGCGAAACTCCATCTTAAAAAAAAAAAAAAAAAAAGAAAGATCATGAATTGGATGTGGGTAGTCGGTCTGCCACAAACAGTGGTCTTTTAGCGCTGGTGGTTTTAACACTCAAGTGAGGGCCCGGAAGGCCCATGACATTCAATGATTCATAGTTTCGCGAAGATTCAAATTTGAATATCCTGCACTGTGAGGTGTGTCTGTGTGTACAGGAGTCATTTGAACTAGTGAGTGTACCTCGTCAGCCACCCAGCATCTACACTGCCACCTTACTCCATAGTTCTCTCCTCTTCATTGTGTGACACTCATGAAGATTCCTTGTCCCTTTCTTGATCCCCACCACGCCCCCTAAGTTCAGGGCCATCACTGTTTGCTACCCGAGCCAATCCTGGTTGCCTTCATTATGGCATCTCTCCACCAGCCCTCACCCCCTCCACTCTGCCTCCCACCCTGAGTCAAGGAGATTTTCTTTTTTCTTTTTCTTTTCTTTTTTTTTTTTTTCCAGAAGGAGTCTCACTCTGTCGCCTAGGCTGGAGTGCAGTGGTGTGATCTCGGCTCACTGCAACTTCCGCCTCCTGGATTCAAGCGATTCTCCTGCCTCAGCCTCCTGAGCAGCTGGGACTACAGGTGTGTGCCACTATGCCCGACTAATTTTTTATATTTTTAGTAGAGACGGGGTTTCACTGTTAGCCAGGGTGGTCTCGATCTCCTTGACCTCATGATCTGCCTGTCTCGGTCTCCCAAAGTGCTGGGATTATAGGTGTGAGCCACCGCACCCAGCCTGAGATTTTCAAAAGAACAAATCTGGTCCCATCGCTCCCCCATTGCGAGCCCATTAGGGCTCCCCTTGCTGTCTGCAGGGTGGGTCACAATGCATGTGTCTCCTCCCAGTTGGTGTGCCCTTGTGGGGAAGGTCCAGGGCAGATAGAGCTCTTCTGCAGTTCGTGCCTTGACCAGAGCATCCACTGCCTTCTCCTAAGCGGAAAGTCAAGCCTGTTGAGAACATTCTTACAGCAGCCAGGTGGCGTTGGTTTGGGCACTGATGTTATAAATAGGCAAGACCCCTTCCCGTGCCCCTGCTTTGCAAAGAGCACCTGGGCTCAGCTCTGATTACCTTGGGTACTGCAGCCTGAAGAGGAGGGGGCCAGGTTGGTGAGCAGTCCAGAAACCACAGGAGGACCAGTTGAAGGAGAAGAAAAGGCCAAAATAGAATTGGAGCATGATTTTCAAGTCTCTGAAGAAGGTGGCTTTTCTGTTTTACTCCAGAGAGAGCTATTGAACTGCCACTAACATTGGATTCTGCACCAGGAGTCAGGCCTGTGCCCAGCAACTAAGAATCAGGACTAGGACCTCGGTGGAAGCTCCAGGGAGGCAGACTCCAATTGGATATAAAGAAGAGGTGCCCGAGAGTGTGACGGATCTGTTGCTGAGATGGGGTGCCTCATGCAGCAGGGGTGCTCTGTCCCAGAAGGAACTAAACAGCCTGGAGACCCACTGACTCTGCAAGGAACATTTATTGGACCTGAGCAGGAGGGAGGACCAGATGACCCTTTCTGACTCTCAAATTCTTTGACTCTAAGAAGGAGTTCCATTCCTAATATACCTGAAAAGCTCTTAGTGGCGCTGCCATTAAGCAGAGTTAATGGCAATAAATTCTGCCATTGTATTTCTTGGCTAAGCAGAGAAAAGCATTAGACTCATGGTGTGTGCTCAGTCAACACGAACCACTTGGCTTTTCTTTTGCCAAGCAGCAAGTTAGTGAAGCTGGATGAACCTGGGGCATGGACCTGACACTCAGCCTTCACTCTTCCCTTCATGCCCTCAGTGAATCTCCATTTCCTCTTCTGTAAAAGGAGGGGAGTAACAGTGATTCCTAAAATCCTTCCCAAATTTAACGTTCAGCTTTTTAAAAAGCCAATATAGGCCGGGCGCAGTGGCTCACACCTGTAATCCTAGCACTTTGGGAGGCTGAGGCAGGTGGATTGCCTGAGCTCCGGAGTTCGAGACCAGCCTGGGCAACACGGTGAAACTCCGTCTCTGCTAAAATACAAAAAAATTAGCTGGGCAAGACGGCATGCGCCTGTAATCCCAGTTACTTGGGAGGCTGAGGCAGGAGAATTGCTTGAACCCGGGAGGCGGAGGTTGCAGTGAGCTGAGATCACGCCATTGCACTCCAGCCTGGGCGACAGAGCGAGACTCCGTCTCAAAAAATAAAATAAAATAAAGCCAATATAATTCATATATCTGGTGGAAGGAAATATATATCATGTTGGTTCCAATTGAAGCCAAAAGATTCATTTAAAAACCCCACAGAAACCGTTTGTTTTCATAAAAAGGGCTTCAGTGTGGGGGCTGGAGCCAGGGGCACCAGGTAATGAACCCCAACCCTGTATCTTGCTGCCCACTCTTGTAGCAATTCTTGGATTCTTGGGTAGGAGTCAGAAAGCTTGGATCATTCTGGATGTTTTCTCCCTTAATCAATCATCTTTTGGTCTCTCACTTCTGAGTACGTAAGAGCCATTTGCTTTTCACATTTACAATACTTTCTTTTGGAATGTTGTCCCTTACTGATTCAGAGAAAGGAGGACATTTGTTTTAACAGATTTGAATTTATCAGCGTGTGTATTTGCACCAAAGCATAATAATAATAAATTACAGTCCTAATAAGTAGGTTGCCCAGAAGGAGGGCGGTGGCACCCCCAATAATTGATGTACATTCTTTGCAATTTAGGGGCATCATAATTTATCGGGGTTCATTTTTTTTGTATCCAATTTGAAGAAAGGCAGCTGTGTTTTGTATGCAATAAACTCTGCCATTGTACTTCTTGGCTAAGCAGAGAAAAGCATCATAATTTTTTGCCTATTTCCTAGTTATTACTGCAGTATCTAGTAGCTTCTTTATGGGAAAGAGTTTATCAATATTTCAATTATAAACCCCAATTTTCAGGAGGGTTGTAACTCATCTATTTAAAAATCAGATCAGGCTGAAAACACAGTGAGTAGCTTGTCATCCCAGGAAACCGAGGGCTTTCTAAAATATTAAATAACCAGTGTAAGTCAGTTCGATTTCTTTGAACTTTTAGGGTAAAACTTTGGTTTTACTTCCCCACATGAATAAAGTGGAACTAAGCTTCTTTCTCCATAAAACGTGTTCAGGTGTTACTGAGGTTTCCATTTGCAAGTAAAGGGAACAGGTGCTGAAATCGGCATCTCTGATATTGTTCATTGGTTGGTGTGTTCTGGAAAAGCTGCCCACACATCACATTTTTTACCAATTGAGTGATAGTTTGATACAATGCCCTTTTGAATGGAACCACGTGGTGAATCCTTTTCTAGAAGTGAAGACTACTTCAGGAAAGCAAGTAAGCACTCCTAATTATGCAACAGTATCCTAGCTTTGAGAAGGCAGACATACCTATAACGTAGCCAGGGGCCAGCATTGCCCTTGTTATTGAGTGGATGGGGACAGGCCAGCCATCTAGTGGCCCAGCCCTCCTGGTAGACATGTGGACCTCAGGCACCTAAGGCCATCTGTTGACTTCAATCAGTCAGTGACTTGAGCCAATTCTCCCCACCCAAACCACACACTGAGGCACTTCTTTCAAAGTCCCCTTAAGTCAGAGAGTGATCACTTAGACCATCCCAGGATTACCTGAAGTGAGGACATCACAAAATGTCATAACATCCTACAAAAAAAAAGAAAGAAAAGGCAATAAATTAGCCTGCACAAAGAACTCCAGTCCATGGGAAGGCCCAGTGATATCTTGTGAAGTTTGTTCTACTCGCAGATCCTAGCTGGCCCTTTCCTAGGCTTTATCAGGCCTGGGACCTTGTTGATGGCAATACCATCTGTCATTGCAGCAGAGCCCAGTAGTGTGGGGTTCTTACCTTAAAAAGTGGAACTGGCTGGGTGCTGTGGCTTACACCTGTAATCCCAGCACTTTGGGAGGCCGAGGCGGGTGGATCACCTGAGGTCAGGAGTTCGAGATCAGCCTGGCCAACATGGCGAAACCTCATCTCTACTAAAAATACAAAAATTAGCCAGGTGTGGTGGCGGGCACCTGATATCCCAGCTACTCGGGAGGCTGAGGCAGGGAGGACTGCTTGAAACCAGGAGGTGGAGGTTGCGGTGAGCTGAGATCGTGCCACTGTACTCTAGCCTGGGTGGCAGAGCGAGACTCCTGAAAAAAAAAAACAAAAAAACTTCGAGACCAGCCTGGGCAACATGGCGAGACCCTATCTCTACTAAAAATACAAAAAAATAGCTCTGTATGATGGTACATGCCTGTGGTCCCAGCTACTCAGGAGGCTGAGGTGGGAGGATCGCTTGAGCCTGGGAGGCGGAGGTTGTAGTGAGTTGAGATCGCACTACTGCACTCTGGCCTGGGTGACAGAGCAAGACTGTCTCAAAAACAAAACAAAACAAAAAAGCAAAACGAACCCCAAATGTCTCTCCACTCAGCTCCCAACAGGATGCAATTGTCAAGGAAAGGCTGTAACTCTTAACTGTGGGGTTTGGGGAGGCCACAGAATGTAGTGGCCAGGATGTGGGCTTTGAGGTCCACAGACACAGACCCGAGTTCTCATCCAGCGTCAGCCACTTATTAGCTGTATAACCTTGAGCAAGTTATTTATCCACTCTTAGTTTTCCCTTCTCTAAAATGAGGACAATTACACATTCCTGGTGGCACTGCCGTGGCGATTCAATGAGGAAATGTGAGTGCTGGGCCTGGCACTCGTCCATCCACGAATATTTTATGAAGCACCTGCTGAGTGTCGGGTACTATCCTAGGCTCCGTTGAACGAGACAGGTGAGCTGCCTCTCTCGTGGTTACATTTGAATGGAGAAAGACAGACAATAAATACACAGCCGAAAGGTAGCATCGCTTATAGTAAGTGGCTGGGTGGGGAAGGCAGCTCAGAATGGGTGACTGAGGAGGGGCTCTGTCCACAGTAGCTGTTGTCCTGCCCCCCATCTTGACATCTGCTGCCCCTCTCCCAGCCTCATGTGCCTTGTCACGTGCCTGTGCCTGTTCCCATTTGTACCCCATCTTCAGCCAGCGCTTGACTCATTCATCTTCATATTCCCTACGGCGCCTCCTTGGTATGGCGCCAGGCATGCGGTCAGACTCCAGAAATGTGTTCAAATGAACCTTCTGAAAATACTAGACAGGGGCAGTGCCTTCTAGCCCTGTGGGTGCACAGAGTCCTGGCCCTGGAGCCATCTCTTATTCAGTGATGGACTTGAGCGCCCGTGCAGAATCCCATTAAGATTTCCATAGCCTGGCCCCACTCAGCTCCCTCAGTCCTAAGTCCATTTCCTCTTCCTCTGGTCTTCATGGAAAACAGCATCTCAAAGAAACCATTCAGTTTGGGCAATAACCACCTGGGAGATGGGAAGAGGCTGCTGATCCAACTGGAGATTTAAAAAAAATTTTTTTTTTTTTTGAGACACGGTCATACTCTGTTGCCTAGGCTGGAGTGCAGTGGTGCAATCTCAGCTCACCGCAACCTCCACCTCCTGGGCTCAAGCGATTCTCATGCCTCAGCCTCCTGAGTAGCTGGGACTACAAGTGTGCACCACCGTGTCTGACTAATGTATGTAGAGATGGGGTCTCACCAAGTTGTTGCTCAGGCTGGTCTTGAACTCCTGAGCTCAAGTGATCCACCTGCCTCAGCCTCCCAAAGTGCTGGGATTACAGGCACCTGGCCCCAGGCAGATCTTTAAAAAGACCCATGACTGGCCCCTACTGGGACAGCAACTCAGGGCAATCCTTCTTATGTGTGCAGGAGCTGACTGAGCCCCCTAAACCGGTCACCCCCACCCCTGAAGATGAGGAAGATGAGGCCAAGGTTTGCGTATTCTCTGGATGAAGCCCTCGGCCTGGGTCCAGTTGTGTGATCCTGAGGACTCGCTCCCACGCATGCCCGCCACACTCAGAGCCCTAGGAACTGACAGGCGGCCGCATCTTAAGACGGGGACGGGGGTGGGGGGGCGGGGGGAGAAAGGATTAAAATCGAGATTTCGCTATTATTTTTCTCTGATAAAAGTGCAGCGAGGAATAGCTCGACTGTGTCACTGCCTAGTTTTTCTTTTGTGTTTTTTGCTTCCTGCTTCAATATCTTCCTCCAGCTGCTCATGTCTCCTTTTCTTTTCTCCTCACTTTGATCTATTCGTTTTCCCCAGAAATGGGGTTTATAAATCATTGTAATGCAGCCTTGGGAAAGATGGTGCTTAGTGCAGGGAGAAATACATCGCCGCTAACAGCCCCGGCAGGGAGAAAAACTCTCGCCTTGTTGCTGGAATCTGGCGACAGGTTACTGATGGTATTTGCTTTTTATGTCTGCACGCGTGCCATCGGGGCAGGGCCGTGGGGAGCGTTCCGCACGCCACCTTGGTAATATTTCAAGTCTCCTCCGGCAGTCGAAAACAAACTGCTCCTGCCTGCTCTCAAGGAGGCAGAGAGAGAAAGGGAAGGGAGACGCGAAGGCGGGGAAGGAGCATAAAGACGCGTGCCTGTGATTCTCTGGATCCCACCCCAGATAAAATCAGCTCCTAAAACACCCCTTTCCCTCCCTGAAACCCTCTGCACATTTGGATTGACTTAATTAATCTGGTGTCCCAGATCGTCAGGACCGACTCTCCCAGGCACAGTTAGGAGTCTAACAGCCCCGATCCCTTATTTCCGAAGGCCCGGGGCCTCCCTCCCTCGTCATATTTTATGATCCTATTTTCTCTGCAGCTCAGAGCAGTAGAGAAGCGTGGGGCTTGAGATGTGGGCCTCCTTCTTACTCAGAGCGGCCTTGCGGTGCGTGTGAGATCCGGGGCGAAGGAATGAAAATCCTGCGAGGCCTTAAATCAGAACATAAAGAGGGACCCCGTTATCCCGGAGCCAGGGGCGCTTGCACAGATCCGGGCCCCTGGACGGGCCTGAGATGCGCAGAAGTGCAGCTTACGGTCGCAGCGACAAGCTTTTGATTTCTTCTTCACCGACAGGCCTCTCCACCTTTGTCTCCCTGGCGGGGGAGGGGGGGGGGTGTGTATGGAAGGCTCAGCTCATCCCCACTTTCCCGCATCTTCTTTTCTCCACATATGGAATTTCGACTGAATTTTCCCATCGTTGCTGCATCTGTCCACTTCATCTTGCCTGTGTGGGCTAGGTTTCATCCTAACAGTGATCAGCAGAAGAAAATGTTTATTCCTCTTCATAGGTCAGGTCCGCACAGGACAGAGTGAAATGGAGACAGTGAGTTGGGGAATTAGCATTGGGTAGCTCAGCACTGTCCGGTGGAACTTTCTGGAGGGAGCTCTCCCTCCTGTGTCCAGTAGGGTCACTACAAGCCGCATGGCTAGTGAGACTTAATTATAATTAATTTAAATCTAAATAGCACTTGCGGCTGGCAGGTGTCGTGTTAGGCGGCACAGATGTAGCCAGGCAAGCTGGAAAATTCAAAGGAGACGCTTCTGTTGGTGATACCTTGTTATACCTGGAACCACTGTTTCCAGCAGGCTAACACTAAAACACTGAGGCATGTGCAAGGAAATAAAAGGGTGAAAAAAGCATGAAATGGTTGAACCCTTTTGAAGTCACACTCTTCCTCCAAGTACACTCAGGGGTGAGGATAGTCGCAGACTTGATAACCAGACCAGATCGTGGGAGAAAATTTCCTTCGGGGTAAAAATGAAAAGATAGTCTGGGTAAATTGTGACTTGCCCTTCTGGTGGCAGCCCAGTCTACAGCCCTGAAACTATTTTTTTTTTTTTTTTTGAGACAGAGTCTCGCTCTGTTGCCCAGGCTGGAGTGCAGTGGCGTTATCTTGGCTCACTGCAAGCTCCGCCTCCCAGGTTCATGCCATTCTCCTGCCTCAGCCTCCCGAGTAGCTGGGACTACAGGCGCCCGCCACCACGCCCAGCTAATTTTTTGTATTTTTAGTAGAGACGGGGTTTCACCGTGTTAGCCAGGATGGTCTCGATCTCCTGACCTCGTGATCTGCCCGCCTTGGTCTCCCAAAGTGCTGGGATTACAGGAGTGAACCACCGCGCCCGGCCACCCTGGAACTAATTTATCCCATGCACCTAATGTGGCCTGGATGAATAGGGTGTGTGTGTGTGTGTGTGTGTGTGTGTGTGTGTATGTGTGAGTGTATGTATATGTATTTGTGTGTATATATGTGTGTATATGTATGTCTCTGTTTAGGTGGGTGTATGTGTGAGTGTGTGTAGGTGTGTGTGTATGTGTGTGAGCATGTGTGCATGTATGTGTATGTATATATATATGCCTGTATATGTGTGTGTATGTATATGTGTGTATACATGTGTATGTATGTGTGTATATGTCTCATGTGTGCATATTTATGTGTATATGTGTGCATATGTGTTTGTGTATGTGTGTTTACCTGTATGTATGTGTATATGTGTGTGAGTGTGTGTGTATGTGTGTGTATGAGTGTGTGTGAGAGCGTGTGTGTATGTGAGAGCGATGTGTGTATGTGTGTGTATGAGTGTGCGTATGTGTGGGAGTATTGTGAGTCTGTGTGTGAGTGTGTGTATGTGTGAGTGTATGTGGGTGTGAGTGTGTTAGTGTGTGAGTGTGAGTTTGTATGAGTGTGTGCGTGAGTGTGTGTGAGTCTGAGTGCATGAGCGTGTGCGTGTATACTTCTTAAAGACCTTCAAGACACTTCTCCTGACATCCAGGTCTTCATGCATCCTTCCATGCAGGGCATCGCACCCTGAGGACTTTGTAAGCAGAAGGGCTTCCTGACCAGCCCCTTTGGAGTGAATGGAAGAGTGTTTATGGATGTACCAGGGGATAGTTCAGAAAAGCTACTCCATCCATTTCCTGCTGTTGCTCTCTCTGCCTTTGCTCTTGCTCCAGCCCTTCCCCAGTTCCCGGGCAGTTCAGCGGTCAGACTGCCTGGCCACCTCCCACCTCCTCCACTTTATGAGGCACAGGGCCTTGGGTAAGTGACTTGACTCCCCAAAGCCACTGTGTTCTCCTCTGCAGAGTGGAAATGATAATAGCACCCACCTCAAGAATGTTTGAACGTCCATCAGCAGATGAATGGATATAAAATATGGCCTATCCATATGGTGGAATATTACTTGGCCATTAAAAAGGAATGAAGTACTGATCCATGCTACAGCATGGACAAACCTTGAAAACATTATACTAAGGGAAAGAAGCCAGATCCAAAGGACACATATTAGATGATTCCATTTACAGGAAATATCTAGAATAGGCAAATCCATAGAAAATGGATCAAATAGACCAGTGGCTGCTAAGACCGGGGAGATGGGGGTGTGAGGAGTGGCTGCTCAACGGGTATGAGATAACCTTTTGGGGTGATGAAAAAGTGTTGGCACTAGATAGAGGTGATGGTTGTGCAACATTGTGAATCTACTCAATACCACTGGATTGTGCACTTTAAAAGGGTCAATTCTCTGTCGTCCAGGCTGGAGTGCAGTGCAATCTCGGCTCACTGCAACCTCCGCCTCCTGGGTTCAAATGATCCTCCTGCCTCAGCCTCCTGAGTAGCTGGGATTACAGGTGCCCGCCACCACGCCCAGCTAATTTTTGTATTTTTAGTAGAGACGGGGTTTCACCATGTTGGCCAGGCTGGCCTCAAACTCCTGACCTCAGGCGATTTACCTGCCTCAGTCTCCCAAAGTGCTGGGATTACAGGTGTGAGCCACTGTGCCTGGCCAAAAGGGTCAATTTTATACTACGTAATTTTCACCTAAATTAAAAAAAAATTAATGTAAAAAATGTATGCTCATTTATTTACTCAAAGCCCTCCGCACAGTGCCTGGCACAATAGCAAGTGCTGAATGAAGGTTGGCTTTTAAGAACAGTAACAGTGACACAACTCACCTCCAGTCTTTGGAAATCACACTTCTTATAGATGGAACATGAGAGGAGGAACTGGGCAAAGCGCCCCTCGTTTTGGGGTTAGACAAAACCCACGCATTGGACGAGGTGTGTGGCCAAGGGTGTGCCCGGGTTCTGGGACTGCTTTTGCAGGTCTCTCTGTCTTACGCCAGGATGAGTTAAAGACCCCTGGTACAGCCCGGTGCTGCCAACTACAATTTGGCTAATGCCTTAATTGCATCTGCTTCAGCGGCCTTCCTTCTGGCTCGGGGACCATGTCTATTTCCCTGCTCCCTGGTCCCCAGCAGCCAACTAGGGCAGGCCCCAGCAGCAGAACAGCTTGATTCCTTGAGCCCAGGGAAGCTATAAATCTAGAGCTTTAATCATGTCTTCATGATCATTCAGCAAAGAGCGACCGAGGATTTATTCTACCGGGACGGCCAAGGGAAGACTGCGGGGGTTTGTCGTGGGGGATATTGGTTTAGCAAAGGCAGAACTGCTCCCCTGGGCCCTTCCCAGGCCTGGCCGATGAACGATGACACCAATGGCCATAACAAGGCAATGACAGTGTGTGCGGGCAATGCTTTGTTAAAGACAGACAGGCTTCTCAGCCAAGGCCTTTGTTGTGCCACTTCATCCGCCTCACAGAGTGGCTGCGATTTCCCCCCGTTTCTGCTCTAGAGCCTGCGTCCTTGAGAATGCAGTAAGCATTTTTTAAACGCCCCAAGGGTCCTTTCCAGTTTTCTCTGCAAATGTTAAGGAGGAGGAGAAATCAAGGAAATCCAGAGAGGACTCTGTGGTCCCTTGCACACGGCAGGCACCTAATATCTACCTATTGAACATCTCCGCTCCTTCATTTTATGGGCGAGAAGAAAGAGGCCCAGAGAGGTAGCGATTAGTAACTGTAACACAGCTGGTCCCCCAATTCCCAGTGTGAGCTGGCTGCTTCAGTGCCTGGCCTTGTTTACAAACCGCAGTCTTGGAGTCGCAGAAAGGGAATGGGTTCCCCTGGGACGGAGGGAAGAAAGCCAGCCCCAGTGCCTGTGGCTGATCTCTAGGACGTGTTTCTTGTGAGTTACTCTGGAATAATTCTAAGTACGTGCAAGTGGTCCTGCTCCTCCGTTTGTTTGCTTGTTTTGTTTTTCCACGATGAGGTGCTGCTTCACTCATTTATCTGCCAGGCACAAATTGGGACATTTTCATAGCAGAAGGTGTTGGTTTCCCTCCTTTTTAAAATGGCTGTGACTCGTTCCATTACATAGATGTCCCATAAATGTAGGCTTCTGTGCCCCCACTCCAACAGCACCTCCAGCAATGGCCATTTCTATCATCTCCAGGTTTTCAACGTCATAAAACTACACTGCAAGAACACGTTTGTCTTTGGGAGGCCGAGGTGGGTGGATCACCTGAGGTCAGGAGTTCGAGACCAGCCTGGCTAACGTGGTAAAACCCCGTCTCTACCAAAAATAGAAAAAAATTACCCAGGCGTGGTGGTGGGCGCCTGTAATCCCAGCTACTCAGGAGGCTGAGGCAAGAGAATTGCTTGAACCTGGGAGGCAGAGGTTGCAGTGAGCCGAGGTCGTGCCACCGCACTCCAGCTTGGGCAACAAGAGCGAAACTCCGTCTCAAAATAAAAATAAAATAAAATAAAGAACACGTTTGTATATACATGCACTTTGTATGTAAGTTTATATATATTTTACAGAGTGAACTCCATGAAGATAGGCCTGGGTCTGTCTCTCCAGCACCAGGTCCAAGGCCTGGCACATAGTGGATGCTCCAGGATTCATAGATGTGTGTATTATTGCGGAGCACCTAGCTGCTATCCAGCAGTCCAGAGTGGGCTGGATAGCAGGACGGGGAGAGGCAATGAGTCAGGAGCATACAGAAGAAGTATATAAGCCAAATAGAGGAGGAAAGGGTGCCTGGGCGGGCTGGGAACGGATGGAAGGTGGCCACTCTCAGGTGCTGTGGATGACGTCGCAAGTCAGCCAATCTTTGCGAAAGGCACTTTTCAGCACCAATGACATTTTAAAATGTGAGTACCCTTTGGCCCAGAAACTCCCCAGTTAAGATTTAAGCTCCAGAATTATGTGCACATATATACAAACATGTTCTTGCGGTGTGGTTTTAGAGTGTAGAAAACCCAGAAACGAGAGAAATGGCCATTGCCTGGGATGCTATCTGGGGGCAGAAGCTTATTTTATGGCACATCTGGGTAATGGAAAGAGTTGCAGGCATTTAAAAAGTCAGGAAGCTGGGACAAATTGCTGAATGAAGTCGGAAGCTTGCTGTCCCCTGGGCCACCCCCACCTGGATACCTGAACGAAGTGGTCTTTCCTCAGGTGTCCACCACACAGCAGAGGTTACTCACAGTAGAGGAGGGAGCCTGGCCCCGGTGGAAGACCCCCAGTGATACAGCAGGAAAGGGGTCACCGGGCTAATGACGCTAAGGGGGAGGGGATGCTGCCTTACCTGGGGACCAGCAGAGATGGTGGAGAGTGGTGACCCCAGTGGGCACCGTCTCTTCCCATTCAGCCCAACCACCCAGGGCTTCAGAAGCAGGCCTGAGCCTGGAGGCAACGGGGAGTCCAGGCCCAAGGACAGCAGCGGAGGTCCCTGGTGTCCCTGCTATCTGTGCATGGGGCTGCTGACAGGAAGGACACAAACACTCACCTGGCTTGGCCTGGAAGGGCCCTGAACTCGGCCCAGGATGCACAAGTGTGGGTGGATTCCACTCCAAGGATACCTGGGCTGGGAGCCGCCTGATGGTTTTAGTTCCCGGTCATGGCTGGGTGACAGGCAAAGGGGTCGGATGGGAATCACGGAAAGAGGCTGCTTTCCCTCATTCCGCATCACAACCTGCTGTGCTTACAGTGAACGTCTCCATAGAGAAAAGCAGTTTCTTAGTGACTGACAACAACAAAGTTCAGGTATTTCCCAGCAAATGGCACCTAAAACCACTGCAAGCACTGTATCCTTTCATATTTTAGGGAAACATGCACATCTTCCCATCAGTAATGAGTGTATTGACAGCCCTGATAACTGAGTATGCCGTGGGCCAGATACAGGGCTCGGTCTCTGCCGCCTCCTCCCAGAACTCTCCCAGCATCTCCCATTTTACAAGCGAGGATACCAAGTCTTGGAGAGGTGAAATTGCTCACCCCAATTTAAAAAAAAAACCGGACGAGGCAGAACTGTGCTGTCTTCAGAGCCTGTTCCTGCAGGCCACACAACTGTGGAACAGCACAGGCCCAAAGGGTAACAATGCAAGCCTTGTGCAAGCCCTCTAGGTGGTTAAATGTTCTAGAAGCCACATTCAATACGTAAAAAAGAAACAAGGGAAATTAATTTTAATGACATATTATTTAACCCACTATGTCCAAAATACTATCAGTGCAATGTGTAATCAATATAAAATTATTAATGAGCCCGTTTTCCATTCCTTTTTTGGCCTGACATCTTGGAAGCCTGGAGTGTACTTTACACTCACTGCACATCTCGATTCCAGCCTGCCGTGTTTCAAGTGCTTAGTGGCCACACGTGGGCTGTGGCTATTGTATCCAAGAGCATCACTCAGGAGAAAGAATGGTGACTGTTTCATTGACTTGGAAATGCTGGGCCGGGCGCAGTGGCTCATGCCTGTAATCCTAGCACTTTGGGAGGCTGAGGCGGGTGGATCACCTGAGGTCAGGAATTCGAGACCACCCTGGCCAACTAAAAATACAAAAATTAACCGGGTGTGCTGGTGCATGCCTATAATAATCCCAGCTACTCGGGAGGTTGAGGCAGGAGAATTACTTGAACCTGGGAGGTGGAGGTTGCAGTGAGCCAAGATTGTGCCATTACACTCCAGCCTGGGCGACAGAGCGAGACTCTGTCTCAAAAAAAAAAAAAAAAAAAAGAAAAAAAGAAAGAAAGAAAAAGAAAAGAAAATGCTGGCTTGACAGTTCCCTTGACTTCTTCCCAGTGCTTTTGTGGCAAGTTGTCTGAAGGAGTCTCTTAAAAGTCGAATTCACATATTCTTTTGCTTAATTCTCCAGCTTTTGGGGATCTTTACTATGGAGTTCGATTTTGGGTACTCTCTTCTACTGAAATTCATTAGTCATGGAATTCATGTGCGAGAGTGTTTCCTGAAGTCTTGTTTGCATTGCAGCAGCAAAAAAACAAAAATAAAAAATAAGAAACACCTGGTCATGAAGGTTGTGTTGGGGGAACAGTAAATCTACCCTGTGGAGTATGATACAGCCAGGAAAAGGCACAAGTTAGACCTAGATGTGGGCCTTTGATCTATGTTTGAGGGAGTGGCAAGGTGCAGATCCCACGTGTGCAGGGGAAATGCCTGCACTTGTAGCCGTTGGTATGTGTGCCCAAGTTCAGGTGAGGGAGGCACAGAAAGACACACCCTGGTGTTCACTTGGGGGACCTCAGTGGGTGAGATGGAAAAAAAGGGGTTGTTTATTTTGCCTTTATACACATCTGATTGACTTGTACAACAAGCATGAAGTAACTTAAAATAGACTACCCATAACGTTTTCTAAAAAAGTCTCTTAGTTCTGCCAAACTCTGCCTGAGTCCTCAAGGCAGAACAGGCAATTCTCTGCTCCTTGTCCCCAACACTTCATGGGAGCTGTTAGCTTTTAGAAACAAACAGGATGAGCTGGGCTGATGGCACGAGGAGACATAAAAACTTACCGGAGGCAAGTGGTTCAAAATAAGGCAGTGATGAACTGACAGGAGGAAGGGCCTGCACCAGAAACCTGAGAACATTTTGGTCTGCCTTTACCTGTGGATAGCTGACATTAATACCATTTGAACTTGAAAATCCATGGCGGGGGAGCTTAAGCTATGTCACAGAGGATTCTTGACTGCAGAATGTCTAGGGGTGGGATGCAGACATGAGCACTTTTTTTTAAAGACATGGTCTTGCTCTGTTGCCCAGGCTGGGGTGCAGTGGCTCTCTGCAGCCTTGATCTTCCAGGCTCAAGCAATCCTCACTCCTAAGCCTCCTGAGTAGTTGGGATTACAGACGTAAGCCTGGCTGACATGAGCATTTTTTTAAATGCCCCTTGATGATTCTAGAGAGCAGCTGGGGTTGAGAATGTCCACTTTACTCTCACGACAGGACCCATCCCGGGATGCCTTTAGACAACGCTTTGATTGACACACATTCAGGTCAGCTGCAGTTAGCAGGATTGTGTCTCCACTGCATGAAGCCAGGCACCCTTATACACCAAGTCCCAGGAGGAGCACAGTTCCTGGAACTTGGGTCATGGGATGGGGACATTCTGCAAAGCCAGATGCCAGAGAACAAATGTCGCATTGCCCTCTGCACTATGTCGGCAGTTGGTACTCTCTTCCCAAGGACCCGATGTCAAGTAATTTCCTGCACATCCGGTCCTTGGGAAAGAAAGACTGGATCGGTGTGGGGACACCTGGCAGAGGTGCCCCAAAGAGCTATTTTTCCTCTTCAAGAAAATAGCTCAGAGTTAGTTCCCCCGACCTCCCGGCTTCCTCCAGAAGCCTGTCTGGCCCCTCCTCACCACATCCCAAGGACTTGCCCAGTAGAAGGGGCTGGTGGAGATGACCTCTGGGCTCCTCCACCTGCTCTAATTCTTTGATTCAGATCAATCAATGACATTTGTCACAGCCAGGTGTCCTGGGGCTGGGAACAGCCTTTGTTTTCATTTCAAATTGTAAAATACAGGCCAGGTGCAGTGGCTCACACCTGTAATCCCAGCACTTTGGGAGGCCGAGGCGGGTGGATCACCTGAGGTCAGGAGTTTGAGACCAGCCCGGACAACATGGTGAAACCCTGTCTCTATTAAAAATACAAAAATTAGCCAGGCGTGGTGGCATACGCCTGTAATCCCAGCTTTTGGGGAAGCTGAAGCAGGAGAATCGTTTGAATCTGGGAGATGGAAGTTGAAGTGAGCCGAGATCGCACTACTGCACTCCAGCCTGGGCAACAGAGTGAGACTCCATCTCAATAAATAAATAAATCATAAAATATACATAACAAAATTTACCATCTTAACTATTTTAGGGTGTGCCGTTCCACAGTGTTAAGTACCTTCACATCGTTTGTGTAATGGATCTCTAAAACTCTTTTCATCTTGGAAAACTGAAACCCTGTCCCCATTAAACAACATCTCCCCATCATCCCCCTCCTCCCCTCAGCTCCTGGCAATCACCATTCTCCTTTCTGTCTCTGCTAATTTGACTGTTTTAGGTACTTCATATAAGTGGAATCATACTTTGTCCTTTTGTGACTGGCTTCTTTCACTTAGCACACTGCCGTGAAGGTCCATCCACATTGTAGCATGTGTCAGAATTTCCTTCCTTTTTAAGGCTGAGTAATATTCCCTTGTATGGAGGGACTATATGTTGTTTGTTCATTCTTCCATCGATGGACACTTGGGTTGTTTCCACCTTTTGGCTATTGTGAATTATTCTGCCATGAACATGAGGATGAACATATCTCTCTGAGTTTCTGCTGTCACTTCTTTTGGGTATCTACCCAAAAGTGGAATGGTAGAATCACACGGTAATTCTATATTTAATTTTTTGGGGAACCACCATTCTGTTTTCCACAGCAGCTGTATCCTTTGGCCTTCCCACCAATGGTGCACAAGGGTTCCAATGTCTCCATATCCTTGCCAGCACTTGTTATTTTCTGGGTTTGGTTTTTTTCTTTTTTTTAGTAGTCACCATCTTAACAGGTGTGAGATGGGGGGAACATCCTTGTCAAAGCTCTGTTCATGAAGTGTCCTGAGATAAGGGGCACACAAGCAGATGTGGATCTGATGAGCTCACTCCCCCTCCTGCATCCAACCCTTCAAAGGCCCCTTGCCTTAGAACTGTAGATTAGGGCCGGGTGTGGTGGCTCACACCTGTAATCTCAGCACTTTGGGAGGCCGAGGCGGGTGGGTCACTTGAGGTCAGGAGTTCGAGACCAGCCTGGTCAACATGGCGAAACCCCGTATCTACTAAAAAATACAAAAAAATTAGCAGGGCCTGGTGGTGCGCACCAGTAGTCCTAGCTACTCAGGAGGCTGAGGGGGGAGGATTGCTTGAGCCCAGGAGGCCGAGGCTGCAGCGAGCCGAGGTTGCGCCACTGCCTCCAGCCTGGGCAACAGAGTGAGACTCCGTCTCAAAAAACAAAAAACCACAGATTAGAACCCTTCAAACAGGCCACAGTCCTCCCTTTTCCACTCCAGCACTTTCCACTCCAGCCTCATTCCAGGATGCTTTCTCTGGAATAGGGAACCTCCCATGCCCCACCTGCCAGCCCCTGCCCTGGGCCCACCTCGTACTCACCCAGCACTTCCTTACTCTCCATTTAGTTCTCAACTCAAATGTCCCTCCCTCCAGGAAGCCTTCCCTGACCACTCAAGAGCAGGCCACAGCCCTTGCCCTGCATTTTCTAACAATTGTCACAGGGGTAATTCAATGCTTCGTCCTGTGATGTCTGTCTTTCCAGATGGGATGTAAGCATCGTGAAGGACTATGATGTCTCTTTTGCTCACTGTTATATCCCAGGACCTTTCACATTGTAGGTGCTCGGTTGGTATCTTTTGAAAGAATAAGCACACACACACGCACACACACACACACACACGCACGCACACACGGCACCCATGTGGTCAAGTTTAACTCTCAGCCTATGTATACAAACCAGGACAGCCCTTTTCAAATGGGAAGAATCAAAATAACTATAACATGTGTCCTATTAAAAGAACATTTTCCAGCCCCCAGACCTGGAAAATGATCTGGGGAAAGAGACCTGAAGAAAGAGAAGAAAGTCTCTTCTCTTTCTCCAGTAGGTATGAATTCACTCATCTTGGCCACTTCCATCTTTATAATGGAGCCAAGGAGCTCTCTAAGAAGAAACAAAAAAGGCATGCTCCCTTGTTAGCAAAAGGGGTGGGGGTGGGGGGACCCAGCACTTGCCAGGGTAGAACGAGCTCTCTGTGAGAAGCCGGAGTACCAGGGGCGGAGACCCAGCCATGAGAAGGGCTGGAGGACCAGCTCATGCAATCACAGAGATATTTTCCCCCAAGCGCCTTACAAAAGCAGATAAAGGCATGATAAAAATACCTTCCATTTCCCCCCTAATTTGTAGTTTTCTGGTGTTAGCAAGGCTTATAAGACACATGCTCCCAATTAGCTGCTCCTCTTAATTTAAATGCTTCATAAATTATCTCCTGTGCGTGTGGATTATCACTTCATAATGCGAGTTAGCATTTAAATAAATAGCTGTGGTGTAGAAAATTAGAGAGGTTTACTTCTGAGGCGCTGGCATAATGAAGGAAAATACCACGGCAGCTGAACAGGGGCAGAGGGAGGAGGCGAGGGGACATAGAGGCACATCCGTGCTTCCCAGAAAAGGGGAGTTATCTGCAAAGTCCATGCATCACTTATGGGCTTCAGCATTCTCTTTCAAAAAAAGTATTTCATTTGCCCACCTTTTTAAAAAAAAACTTTTAATTTTGAAATAATTACAGACTCACAGAGAGGTCTCACTTACCCTGACCCCAGTGCTCCACCCCGGCGGTGACATCTTAAACATCTAAGAAATAGCGAAACCGGGAAATGGACAACAGTCCATCTGCAGGCCTTATTCAGACTCTGCCAGTTGCTCCGTGATTTTTTTTTTTTTTTTTTGAGATGGAGTTTTGCTCTTGTTGCCCAGGCTGGAGTGCAATGGTGTGATCACGGCTCACCACAACCTCCGCCTCGTGGGTTCAAGCGATTCTCCTGCCTCAACCTCCCAAGTAGCTGGGATAACAGGCATGTGCCACCACACCCGGCTAATTTTGTGTTTTTAGTAGAGACGGGGTTTCTCCATGTTGGTCAGGCTGGTCTTGAACTCCTGACCTCAAGTGATCTGCCCACCTCAGCCTCCCAAAGTGCTGGGATTACAGGCGTGAGCCACCACACCTGGCCTTTGCTCCATGATCTTTTAAAGAGTGGTCTTTTCGAAGCCATCTCCGTGTGCAGCAATGACAGTCGCAACAGTCATTGGGTGAACACTTATGCGCCAAGTCCACGTGCCTCCCAATCAGTGTCTCGCTGAGTCATTACAGCAATGCTAGGAGGGAAGTGCCCTGGTTATCCCCATTTTACAGATGAGGGAGCTGAGGCTCAGCAGGTTGCGCCTTAGTAGAGGCCTCCAGCTGGTAAGTGATGGAGGCAGGATGAGGACCCAGGTGACAGTCATTGTGGATCCTGAGTCCTCAGCCCTAAGTGGCTACCGAGGTGGTGGTGACAGTGCTGGGAAGAGGTGGAGTCCAGTTGGCCTCGCATCCCAGTGTTCTCTCTGCTGGCATGTGTGGTGCCCCCTGGGCAGTAGGGTCCTGAAATCTGGATGGTTATTCTTTTTTTGAGAAAGAAATTTGGGCTGTTTCCCAAGTGCGTCCAATGCTTGGAATATTTGCTGATGTGTGATGGACACAGCAGCAGGCCCACAGTAGAGCCATCGCAGGCTCTGGGCATGTCTGCCTTTGTGCGCCCGTTTAAAAGATTATTTAATGTGGCCGGGCACGGTGGCTTACGCCTGTAATCCCAGCACTTTGGGATGCCAAGGTGGGTGGATCACTTGAGGCCAGGAGTTCCAGACCAGCCTGGCCAACATGGTGAAACCCCATCTCAACTAAAAGTACAAAAATTAGCCTACTCAGGAGGCTAAGGCACTAGAATCACTTGAATCCAGGAGGTGGAGGTTGCAGTGAGCCAAGATCGGGCCACTGCACTCCAGCCTGAGCGACAGAGTGAGACTCTGTTTCAAAAAATTTTTTTTAAATGATATTTTATAAATGGATATGTTTATTTTTTTTCCTTATGCTTGGAAAATAAATTAAAACACTTGTGTGGGCCCCTATAAGGACGGTGGGCCCAGGGCACTGTGTCCCACTGCCTGATGGGTGAGTTGGCCTCACATGCAAGGCATATGATCCAGAGGTTCAGAGAAGCAGTTAGAGCAATGTAATCAGTTGGGAGAACCACAGACCTCAGAGGATTCAGCCCTGGAAGCTGTGACCCAAAGCCCACTGGGAAGTGATGCTGAATGAGAGGCAGAAGTTGAGAAGGTCCCGTAGAATAATCTGGAGAAGGTAGCTATGAACCCAGCTCCCCAGAACTCCGTTGCAGGAGCCCCAGAGCCTCAGAGTCATCTTGGGGCACCCTGCCTGCCCACAACTCTCTGGTGGGAGAGAACTGGGGTCCATCCACTTCTTCCTATTCCTTTAAGGACCCCCCCCCACCGTTGCCCACACACACACATCAAGTGAATGGCCACCCCCTCAGGTCCTGCACAGACTTCCAAAGCCACTTCTCAGAGTTTCACGTTTCTTTCACTTTGGGATCTTTTTATGTTGTGCTATAAACATAATCAGGTAGGTTGGTGATAGGAGAGACTTGGCCAGCCCCAGGTTACAGCTAACCCAGCTATTACAGGATTTTTCTATGCAGGAGCATTGTGAGAGAGGGGGGTTGTTTTTGTTTTGTTTTGTTTTGTTTTGTTTGTTGAGACAGGGTCTCACTCTGTTGCCCAAGCTGGAGTGCATTGGTGCCATCATGACTCAATGCAGCCTCGAACCCCTGGGCTCAAGCTATCCTCCCACCTCAGCCTCTGGAATAGATAGGACTATAGGCATGTGCCTGCTACCACGCCTGGTTAATTTTTGTATTATTATTATTATTTTTGTAGACACAGGATTTCACCATGTTGCCCAGGCTAGGCCCAAACTCCTGGACTCAATCTGCCTGCCTTGGGCTCCCAAAGTGCTTGGATTACAGGTGTGAGCCACTGCACCTGGCTTCACTGGGCATTTTTATTTGCTAAATCTGGCAGACTAGCTGGCAGCCCAGCACCTGTGCAGACCTTTGCAGATCCCCCCGCCGCCCCCATGATTCCATCCCACCACCACATGTTTTCTCCTTTCTGTTACTCAGAAAACATCAAGTTTTAGGGATCAGGAATTGTGTCTCTCACTTCAATATTCCCAGCACTGGGCACAGTCTCTGGCACACATCTGACACTGGATATCATCTGTCAAATATGTGTTGAGTACTGGCACTCAGGGAGGTCTTTGTGAAGAGATGGACCAGTCATTTAGGAAGTAATTTTCAAGACTCTTTATTGTAGAATGCAAAAGCCATTCTATAATTAGCTGCATTGTGGCTAATCACATGACTGTTTCCACAGTCTACTTAGGCATAGCACAGTGATAAGTGTGCTCATGATGTAGGCAGGTGTGAACACAAACATAACCACCATCGTTGGCCAGGTGCATTGGCTCACGCCTGTAATCCCAATGCTTTGAGAGGCCGAGGTGGGAGGATGGATTGAGGCCAGGATTTCAAAACCAGCCTGGGCAGCATAGTGAGACCCGCATTTCTACAAACAAAATTTAAAAATTAGCTGGGCGTGGTGCAGCCATAGTGGTGCCTGTAGTCCCAGCTATGCAGGAGGCTGTGGCGGGAAGATCACTTGAGCCGAGGAGATCGAGGCTGCAGTGATCCATGACTGCACCACTGCACTCCAGCCTGGGTGACAAAGGCTGCACTCTAGCCTGTCTCTAAAACAAACAAACAAAAAACAATGGCTCGGATTAACTCAGTGTTTGCTGTGTGCCCGGCTCTGGGAAAGCATTTGTATTGAACCGTATGAAATTGCTTCTTTTTCCAGTTAGGGCCATGTCTTAGTCCGTTTTGTGTTGCTGTAAGTTAACACCTGAGGCACAGAGTGACTGATAAAGAAAAGAGGTTTATTTGGCTCTGCAGGCTGTACAAGACGCATGGCACCGGCATCTGCTCAGCTTCTGGTGAGAACCTCAGGCTGCTTCCACTCACAGCGGGAAGCAAAGGGGAGCCGGGGTGTGCAGGGACCCCTCTGTGAGAGGGAGTCAGGGGTTGGGGGAGGGAGGTTCCAGGCTCTTTTTAACAAACAGCTTCCAAGAAACTAACAGAGTGAGAACTCGTTCACCCCTAAGGGACGCATTAATCTGTTCACGAGGGATCTGCCTCCCACCCAAACACCTCCAACGTCATTCAGGATCAACTTTCAACACGAGGCTTGGGGGAGCAACCATCCAAACTATAGCAACCCGCAAAGTGGGCACTGTGGTATGGGTGCCAGGCATTCCCTCATCTAAGCGCCAGACACACCCTCAGAGGCAGTTACTATTTGGCCTCCCTATTTTACAGCTGGGGAGACTGAGGCAAAGAACAGTGATGTAACTTGATCCAGATCGTCCTGATGAGTAACAGAGCTTGGATTTCAACCCAGGCAAGTTGTAGTTCTCAAGTCCGGACACGGATTCCCTTCCAGACTGTATACTCATCAGGATACCTTCCTGTCTGTGGAGAGGGTGGTTCCAGGCCAAACCAGACGCGTGAAAGCCAGATGATCCCTAGTTGTGTCCCTGGAGCCTTCCCCAGTGCAGGCGAAGGGCAGCTCCTAGTCTCAACCAGAGCTGTCGCTGACCTTGGAGTTCTATTTTTTTTTGAGACAGAGTTTCACTCTTGTCACCCAGGCTGGAGCGCAATGGTGCGATCTCAGCTCACTACAACCTCTACCTCCCAGGTTCAAATGATTCTCCTGCCTCAGCCTCCCAAGTAGCTGGGATTACAGGCGTGCACCACCACGCCCGGCTAATTTTGTATTTTTAGTAGAGACAGAGTTTCACCATGTTGGCCAGGCTGGTCTCAAACTCCTGACTTCAGGTGATCCACCTGCCTCGGCCTCCCAAAGTGCTGGGGTTACAGGCGTGAGCCACCGCGCCTGGGCTGATCTTGGCTTTCTGAACACAGACTTCCCACTGATCACATTGCGTCCTCTCCTCACGAACCCGAGTCTATTTGCCGGCCCTAGAGATGTAGCTGGGGTGCCCTGCATGTGTCAAAAACTGTTTTATAGATTTTGGGTTGTCTCTTGTAAGGGTTTGCATCTAGAAAAAATCTTGCTTGATTAAAAACAAAGCTCATTGTGCATTTTCCAATCTGTATCTTTTTGCTTTGAGTAGAGAATACATGTGGTCTGGTGGGTGCCTTGCTCTGGAAGAGTGTGGTTTTCCAAGCCTCTGTTCTGTTTGGCTTTCTGTTGGACAGTCATACACTTACGAACGCCTCGGGACATCATTCATTTATTCACTCACTCACTCGTTCACCCAAACACGTAATTATAAAACTGCGACTCCGGATCCCTTCATCCCAGGAAGGAGCGTGACTCAAGTGAAATGGGATAAATGTGGGGGCTGGTGGGGCGCAGGGATGCGGCTAGTTCACATTGCTCAAGTATGCAGGGATCAAAGGCCACCGTTGGAATGTTCCAAGACCTTTGAAGCTTGCAACAAAGGGGTTTCTAAGAAAGTTCAGCCCTTAGGACCAGGGGGGGAATGCACAGATGGAGCTGCTGGGGGTTGGTGGCAGGGCCACTCAGTTCGGGTGGCGGCGGTAGAGAATGATTAGGGAATTACCAAGTTATTGACCAACAGGCACACAGGGCCAAAGGTTGAGAAGAAGGCAGGCAAAATGGTGCGCGTGACTCAGGGCAGGTTGTTTGGGGGGTATCAGAAATGCCTGGAGGAAGTTTTCTCTGAAATAGTCAAAATTGGATCCGACGGCTTATGTCTTTCCAACTGATCTACTAATCATATTTCTTCAAATTTTATATCCCTGACCCTTGTAAAAGGATTGCATTGAAGGCGTGTTTTAAGCTGCATTTTAATAAGTCAATAAGAAAGCTCAAAATTATTTAAAGCTTCTTAAAGAGGATTATATTTGATTTCTTGTGGGAATTCTGGGGTGTGGAAGAGAAAGAGGCTCAGTCCTTCTGAGGTTGTTTAACATGAAGGAAAATGCATCATTTCAGACAAAAACTTTTAACTGTTTTGTTGTTCCAATAGAGATGATTTAGGACAAGGAGACTTTCATTATCTGCTGGCTGCATTAACCGAGCCTGAGGTCTTCCAGCGAGAAGAAACTGCATTTTAAACTTTCCAGCAAATGTGAGGCCCTCCTTTGCAGTTTATTCCCTAACCTTTAAAATGAGAGTTTTCTGATATTCTGAAAAGGGCAGTTGGATTCCCCAGGTATCTGGAAGAGCCCAGCCTGGGTATCATGCATCTTGGGAAATAGACACTGGGCCTGAGCAGATGTTGAATTCTTGCTTTCTATGGCTGCATCTACCACTAGGCCCCTTCGCTAAGGCTGGTCTGCAGTTGGGAGCGTTACAGAACCCAGGCTGGTTCCAGGCCACAGTCTCCCTGCTGAGGGGATGCAGAGCCCACTTTGGGACTGAGCCGATAATCGTCTCTGAATTGCCTTCGTTTTTGCCAGTCTTGAATGCCTCAGTCAAGGGGTAAATCCACAGGAGTTAGGCAGGGAGAAGTGTCTCGGTTAGGAGCAGGAAGAACAAAGAAGCCACATGAAATTGGGCTGGCAGCTTTCCCTACATCCAATCAGCTTTGAAGATATTTGGGTCTGAAGAGCTCAAGCATCTTGCATTTGCCACAGAGGCCTGAGCATTGCTCTCCTAGTTCAGACTCTTGTCACCTCCACCTGGAGTGCAGAACCAGACTCCTGGGTACCCCCACCCTCTGCTTTCTCCTCTACCCCATCCTGTGCGCACTGGTAGTAGTCCAGCTTTCCCAAACTGCAGTACTGATCCTACCATGGCCATGGAACCACAACCATCCCTGGCTCCCTATTACCTCTCAAAGAAGATAGCCTGGCACAGCCTGGCCCCATGACTCACCTTCCGTCTGGTCTGCTGGATCATTTGCCGCTGCCTGCATTTCTGTCCAGGCTTTTCTGCCATCTTGGCCTGCTCTGTGAAATCCTGCACCATAGCTCTGCATTCAGCATTCCAAGTCTTTCTCGAATGCCACCTCTTCTGGGAGGTCTGGCCCGAGCCTGGCAGGCAGATGAGCTTGCTTCTCAGAGTTCTCGTGGCCTGTAAGACTTCCCTTGTGGCGTTCCTCTATGCCCAGCTGTTCTGTAAGTGTCTATCCTCTGCTTGGTCCTGGGGTTGGTTGCTTCCAGGAACACCCTCAAGATTGACTATCAGAAAAGTCTAACTCAACCCTTACTCACTGTGTCCCATACCGCATGCTCTGAGAAACCTTCCCCTAGTGACCCACCCTCCTCTTGTGGGGCTGGATGGTGAGCTGTCTTCAGTCTCTGGGTCCCCAGAACTTTGCTTATGTCTGTCTTCAAGCTCTGATCTTCCATCTCCCCACAAGCTGTAATAGGGGCACACAGGTGGTGTCTGTCTGAGCAGATGGGTGTAGCTCATCTAGATGCAGTGCTTGGTACTGGGATGGTTCCCACGAGGTGCTGGGTAATGAGTGCTGTGACCTTACTTGGAAATAGGGTCTTTGCAGAGGTGATCAAGTTAAGGCTCTCAAGATGATACCATACTGGATGTAGGGTGGGCCCTAAACCCAATGACTGGTGTTCTGACAAGAGAAAGGGGAGGGAGATTTGAGGCACAGAGACACACAGGGGAGAAGGCCATGTGGAAACAGAGGCAGAGATTGGAGTGATACAGCCACAAGCCAAGGAGCACCGCAGACTGCCAGCAACCACCAGCAGCCGGGAGAGAGGCCTGGAATGAGTCCCCCCTCGGAGCCCCAGAAGGAACCACTGCTGCTAACACCTTCATTTCAGACTTCTGGCTTCCGGAGCGGTGAGATTTCTGCTGCCTTCAGCCACCAAGGTGGTGGCGATTTGCTGCAGCAGCCACAAGAAACGGATACAGAGGCGATGGTTTGGGGCCAGGAATGCATGATCAGGTCTTCCCAGCCGCTGGTGCTGTGACGCCAACCTCCTCTGGTCTTGGGGCTGCCGGAGCTGCAAGCAGCCTCGTACATCTGCCTGTGTGTCTCGTGCCAGGCTGACTGGTTTCTCTGTGTGCCAGGATGCTCAGAAGCCTGGGAGGCACCAACAGTGGGGCCAGGATGAGGGACACCTAGTTGATTACTGAGCTCTGCCTCTGGCGATTAGCAAGGTGACCCTGGGCACATGTCACCTCTCTGACTAATCTGTAAACCCGGCACAAGAGTAGACCTGCTTCACAGGTCATAACGACGAGCCTTCTGTTCATTCATTCAGCAAAGATGCATTGAGCACCTACTACGTGCCAAGAACTACAGGCCCTGGAGACAGCGCAGTGAGCAAACCAGCCACCAAACCCCATCCCACAGAGCTTGTTTTAGGGAGAAGAGAAAGATGATGACCCAAATTCATCAGTAGAATACATAGCGAGTTGTTGATTGGTGCTACAAAGAAACACAAAGCCAGGCAGGGGTGCAGTTCCCAGTGGGAGGTCGGGTCAGGAAGGGTCAGGGGTCAGCAGGGGTCAAGCGCCTAGCCTTGGGCAAGGCATTGGGCACATAGTAATTGCTCAGCACACATGAGCTGTCTGCACTCCAGGCTGGGGGCCTCTTCCATTTCTCCCCACAGGATGCTCTTGCCTTCTCTTGCCCTGCATTGGGTTCCAGTGCTGCCTCCTGGCTCCCTTTCTTGAGCATCTGAATGCCAAGGCAGGTGTCTAGGGGGTGAGTAGGGAACTGGGCCAAACTCTGATGGAGATGTGGGAGGCCGTAGGCTCAGACGGGCAGCCTAGGAGTCCAGACCCTCTGAGTCTGGACCAGCATTCACGAGGGAGGAGCCACTGAGACAACCAATCTGGGGGCAGCGGGGCCCTGCCACAGCTGCCTGCTCTCTCAGTCATTCTACTTGCTTTTGTTTAGAAGATGAGAAAGTCCAAATGTTTGCAATTTCTTTGAAAACTAAGACAGGAGATTAAGGAGTCAGTGTGGTGGAATTTTTTTTTCCTTCTCGTCTACCCAACCTAACCAGGTGATATGGTTTGGCTCTGTGTCCCCACCCAAATCTCATGTGGAATTGTAATCCCCACATGTTGAAGATGGGGCCTGGTGGGAGGTGACTCGATCATGGGGGGTGGTTTCTGCCCCATGCGCCTCTTCCCTTTGCTGATTTTAGCCTGTAGCTTTTTACTATCATAAACCATAACCGTGAGTACAGTGGCTTTTCTGAGTTCTGTGGGTCCTTCTGGCAAATTCCTGAAGCTGAGGGTGGTGTTGGGGAGTCCTGAATGGCAGCCAAGCCTCAGCCTCTGCTTACCCTGCACGAGGCTCACAGGTGAAGACGCGGCACTGGTTCCCCCCATTTGTTCTGTCAGTGCCAGTGGCTCCGGGTGTGCATTCAACCCTCCAGACTTCAGAGGCTGTACTCGCCGAGAACAGGAGCAAGTTCCTCTAATAATCAGCCTCCCCCTTGGCTTTTATTACTTTGGGCAAAATAAAATTTGCTCCCAAGTAAGCAAAAGCTCCCTGACAGCCCTGTCGGCGTGAGGTGTCCTATTTGAAAAGATATAAGAGGCCAGGGACAAAAAACGCGAGGCTTCTCCAAGGCAGATGGGGCCCGGCGTGGGCTGGAGGTGACGAGGAGGGGACTCAGAATCTAATGAAGAGGAGAGGGCTGGGGCCGGAGATGCTCATCTCAGCCTAGCCCTTTAAAACCAAAATGATGGAGTTCATTTGCATTTAGATCTCCTTGGCTCCCTCTTTTCATCTAAAGACAAATCCTCACAAAAGGCTGCTTAATTAGACCAAATTAGATTTCCGCTCTGCAGCTTGTCATTCATTACAGAATGCTGTTCTTTTTCTATTTTGGTAATTATAGGCTGGTCTATAAACCAGTTTGTAAGCATTCACTCCAGCCATTGAATATGACTAGCATTCCTGATTTTGTGCAGAGAGGAGGAAAATTATTCAGTTGCACCAAATCTGTCTATTTTATAAGTTGGATCAAGACCATCGCTGGAGTCTTTTACAATAATGGGTATTCTCACTCCTAATTCTTTAATGATTAATTGTAGGAGCAGCACAGGGCTTGGTAATTTTCAAGACTAAAAGCTAAGTACAAATAGATTTTCGCATGTAGCAATTATGCCACATACTCAGAATCTTTACCTTAGTGATGCAACCCCATGGCATCTAAGAAGCCACCCATTAAAGCATTTACAGCACAACCCCTCATGCCCAGCTCACAGTGCTCAGCCATCTTTTGCCCTGGGTACCCTCAGGGAGCTCAGACCTTTTCCCCCATAGTTCATCCCACCATTGTTCATCCTACCATCGTGCATCCCATCCTCCCAACCACAGAACCACAGAGTTTCCAGTTTTCAGTTTCAGATACAGACACAGCTGGGTGGGTGCATGGGGGAGGGCCTTGGGGGGCTGGGCCTGGTTTGGTTGAGCCAAGGTCCTCCTTGTGGCGTTCTTGAAATACTCTTCATTCATCCAACCTGCTGCAGCGCATTGAACCTGCTGATCCAATCACCTCCCACCAGTGATGCTCCTCCGAGTGGCTGGAGGGATGTGCTGCAGAGCCATGGCCTGAGTTCCCTCCAAGGATGGCCCCGTTGGCTTTGCTCAGGCCATCCTGGTTGAAAGCGTGTGGGCAGGTGGGCCGAGCTGGCCACCAGGGACAGATGTTGCTGATGGAGTTTGGACACGTAGCATCAACTCCCTCTAATAATAGTGGCCACATTTTCCTACTGCAGATATTTAGAATGGCCTACTACGTGAGAGGCAGTGAATATTCTCATCTGACACCAAGCCTATGAATTGGGTGGTGTCCAGAGACAGGCTCAAGGGTGAGGTCCTTGGCCAAAGTGACGCGGCTATCAAGCAGGAGAGTGGCAGTGGAACCCAGGTGAGGCTGGCTCTGAGCTCTCCACTGTGCGCCTCTGCCTCCCTGAGCAGGAGAAGCAGATGATGCGGCTCTGGATGACACGGATGGAGACGCGCTCCAGATAGGAAATGGCAGAGCTGGTGGGGGGGACCCTGAAAATCAACCGGCTCAGCCCCCTCATTTTGCAGATGGGACCACTGAGGCCAGAGAAGAGGAGAGGGGGCCTCCTCGGCTGCTCTCCTGGACCGCCCTCCCCAGGAGCCACCAGACTCCCTCTTGCTCCTGGTCCCTGCCCACCTGCTAGTCATGAGGTGGGAAACTGCTCAGCTCCCCTGCCCACCCACCCTGCTCTGGGTCCAGAGACTCCAACCCTGTGGGGTCAACAGCAGGGCAGGAAAGGGCTTTCCCACTTTTTGCCCTCATAGCTCAACTCCCTAGGGAATTTGAGAACAGATTCCAGACCCTGTTCTGGAAGACCTGCCCCAGATGGCCCAGGCCTGGGAGGAGTAAGCTTCCATAGTAGTGCCTGTGTGCCCCACCCCTTGGTGCTCAGTCACGTGAGCATCCCAGAGCATGTGCTGAAGACCTACTGTGTGCCGGGCACCGGAGACGCCACAGCAAATGAGACAGGTCTGTCCCGTGCTCACCCAGCTGACCTGCCGCAGAGTGAGACGTGGCAGAAACCACCATTTGAATGATCCATTCATCTCAAAGACGTGGGTCCAGGAAGGAAAATAGGTGACATCCTGTGGCTGGGGTTTCTCACGGAGGCTACAGAGTCCGGGGGCTTCTCCAAGGTGGTGACATTTCAGCTAGGAGTTAGCGGGGCCAGGCGCCGGTGAGGAGAGGGATGTGTCAGCCTGAGCACAGACTTCATGCAGGAAGGGGCCTGAAAGTTCCAGGAGCCGAAAGAAGGCCCAGGGCAGAAAGCGGACGGTGAGCGAGAGGGCATAAGATGAGGCCAAGGCTAGGAGCAGAGGTGCCCCCATTGTGGTCCGGGGGCCCCTGTTATCAAAACAAGCCACAGACAGTCCCCGTGTATCCACCTTGGGTTGCTTATTTCTTCACAGCAGGCTGAGATCTGTTAGCTCGAAAGCACACTAGCACCAAACAAAATCTTACACATCCAGTTGCTTTAAAATATCTCCAACAAGCAGAATTTTAGCCATTTAGAGCCCACCTGCTTTGCACACCCACAAAGCCACACTCGTGTCTGCCGGCCATGGATACGACAGAGCCTGGGGACTGTAAGACCCCAAGCTACTGCTGCCCTTGGGAGCTCTCTGGGCCCAAGACTCCCTGCCGCGCTGCTAGACGCTTCAGCCCTGTCTCCCCCAGAGCGGCCTCACCCTCCTCCTTCCTGGATGGTGGCCCCTCACTGTCACCTCTGGACAGTCTCACAGACATCCCTCCTTGGGGACTTCCCCTCTCCTGAAACCCCATCCAAGTCCTGCCCACTAAAGCTTGTGTATTCCTATTTCTTTTCCCTTTGACTAGCCGCCTAATCCTCGAACTCACTCCTTACACTCCTCCCTCCCCAGCAAGATTTCATCCATCTTTGTGTGCTCAAGGTACCGAGCACAGTGGCTTGCACCCCGTCGGTGGCTGCTGCCCCGCTCCTGCTAGAGGAGGAGAAGCATTGCTGCTGAGGCCTCTGCATCATCTGCCCTAGGAAATGTCAACCCAGAACCAATCATAAAGCAACCCCAGAGGCTGCGAAGAGGAGGGGGTGGGAGGACCCTGTCCTCCAGCCTCCCAGCTTTGTGCTGAAATGAAGAGCCGCCGCTTCCTCTCCCAGCCGACCCCAGCCTTATTAACAGGCTTCGTTTTAGGGACGCCTCCTCCGCCTCAGCTATCTGCTATGCTAACAGGTCAGCTGCCATTTTGTGTTAAACTCCTTCTCATTTATTACAATACCACTTTTTATTGACATGGAAATAAAACTTACAATCAATAAGATATTATGAAATATACATCAAAACAAAAGTCACTGGAGCGGGCGTTTTCATCTGTTCTCAGGAAGGAACAAGGGTTTATGGTTGGGGGGGGGGGGGGCGGCGGAACACTGAACATTTTTCTTCCCTATTACATGATGCGATTTTCAATGAATCTATAAAGAAAATGAAAACATAAATAGAGTAACCAAACAGAATGATCCCTGCAGCTGTCAAAACTTAAAACAGTTCAGTTTTCCTTTGATTTCTGTTTTAAGTTTTGAAAAGTACATAGATCATTCTCTGCTTTTTCCTTTTCTCTCTTTCTTTCTTTCTTTTTTTTTTTCTTTTCATAGGGAGCCTTTTTCTTAAATCTGCTCACTCAGGGTCTGCTGGCTGTGACCCTTGACAGCTAAACTGACCAAATGATCAAGTGGACTCTGCATTTCTTTCGTAGGCTGCCGGCCCGGCCTCGGTGGGAACCTCTTATTCTGTTTATGACTCCTCAGCGGTGCAGAAAGTTATTCCTTCCCTTGCTGGACACCACATCAAAGGAGGCCCACAGGTGTTTCTTCCTTCTGCTAAAATAATGTCACCCTGGAGAAAAAGGGGAAAAGAGGGGCCCCTCCCGGCTTCCGCACACCTACTGCGTGCTGGGCACCCGTGGCGCTTCACCTCCATGGTCTCGTCTAAATGTTGTCATTACGCCATGGGGTGGGGACGGTTATTCCCTGTTTAATGAGTGATGGGAAACTGAGACTCCGAGAGGCCAAGTAACTTGCTCAAAGTCACACAGCAAAGAAGGATCAGAGTCCGGTTCCAATCCTGCCTGTTGACATCGAGTGGGCGCTGGCAAGGGCTGCCAAGGCAGCCTAGTTGGATTCTCATTTTTTTTTTCTTAAGAACACATGGACACAGGAAGGGGAACATCACACTCTGGGGACTGTTGTGGGGTGGGGGGAGGGGGGAGGGATAGCATTAGGAGATATACCTAAGGCTAAATGACGAGTTAATGGGTGCAGTACACCAGCATGGCACATGTATACATATGTAACTAACCTGCACATTGTGCACATGTACCCTAAAACTTAAAGTATAATAATAATTTAAAAAAAAAAAAAAGAACGCACCCTTCCAGGCTATGTGAGGGGGCTCATGCCTGTAATCCCAGCACTTTGAGAGGCTGAGGCAGGCAGATCACCTGAGGTCAGGAGTTCGAGACCAGTCTGACCAACATGGAGAAACACACTCTCTACTAAAAATAGGAAATTAGCCGGGCGTGGTGGTGCGTGCCTGTAATCCCAGCTACTCAGGAGGCTGAGGCAGGACAATCGCTTGAACCCAGGAGGCAGAGGTTGCAGTGAGCCAAGATCGCACCATTGCACTCCATCCTGGGCAACAAGAGCAAAACTCTGTCTTAAAACAAAAAAACAAACAAAACAAAACAACAACAACAACAAAAACTCACCCTTCCAAAGAGGCCTGACTTGGAGACCCCCATACATAAAGCATATATTAGAGTGGCCACCCAGCTGGCTCAGGACAAGGAGCGTCGAGCCCCTGAGCTCCTCTGACCCACGAGGGGTTGTGGGGGACCTGCAGCAGCCACCCATCTTCTCCCGTGTCCTCGGTGCAGACGAGGCTGACGCGAACTGACACCTGGGTCTCCAGACTCACAGTCCAGAGCGCTCCTCCTTCCCCCACCACAGCCTTTCAACAGTGAGGCCATGGCAAGCAAAGGGGGCCACACTGTGAAATGGGATGCATCCAGTTTCATGGTTTCAGACATGCTTCCCCAGCTCCCACCATACTGTCAGAACAGCGAGACTCAGATGGAAACGGCCTTCACTATCCTTCCCAGCCCAGGGCCCACTCCCCACCCCATGCCCACCTCAGCACAGTCTCAGAAGAGAGCACAGTCTCCTCAAGACTGAGCCACGTTTTCAAAGCACGTGTCCTGCTGTGAGCAGCAGTCACTTTGTCTGCACGTCTTTCCTCTCCTGTCCTCCCATCCTTAAGGGAGAAAGAGTTTCCTCAGTTGCTCGACAGGAACCATGGCATCTCCTTCCTGTGGAGGTATTGTCTTTTTTTTTTTTTTTTTTGAGACACATTCTCACTCTGTTGCTCAGGCTGGAGTGCAGTGGTGCAATCTCGGCTCACTGAAACCTCCACCTCCTAGGTTCAAGAGATTCTCCTGCCTCAGCCTCCTGAGTAGCTGGAATTACAAGTTTCCACCACCACACCCGGCTAATTTTTTTGTATTTTAATAGAGACAGGGATTCTCCATGTTGGCCAGGCTGGTCTCAAACTCCTGATCTCAAGTGATCTGCCCGCCTCAGCCTCCCAAAGTGTTGGGATTACAGGTGTGAGCCACTGCACCTGGCCTAATTTTTCTTTTTATATGAGATTCACATAAAATCAACCATCAGCCATTTTTAAATGTGCAGTTCAGTGGCATTGACTATATTCGCAATGTCATACAACCATCACCCCTCTCTAATTCCAAGACATTTCATCACCCCAAAAGGAAGCTCTGTACCCATGAGCAGTCTCCCTCCAGCTGCAGGCAACCACCAATCTGCTTTCTGTCTCTTCAGATTGACCTATTTGGACATTTTAAATGGGTTCATACATGTGGCCTTTTGTGCCTGTCTGGATTCTTTTCCTTAGCATAATGCTTTCAGGATCCATCCACATTGTAACATGGATCAGTGCTTCATTCCCGGTTACGGCTGAATAATATTCCATTGTGCGGATGTGCCAGGCTTGGCTTATTCATTCATCAGGACGTGGTGTGGTTTCTGTCTGTTGGCTATTGTGAATAACGCTGCTATGAACACGCAGGTACATGTGTTTGAATGCCTGTTTTCTTTTTTTTTTTAAATTTTTGTGGGTACATAGTAGCTATAAATATGAACACCTGTTTTCAATTCCTTTGGTATATCACTACAAGTGGCATTGCTGGGTCATATAGGGTAATTTCATCTTTAACTTTCTTTCTTTTTTTTTTTTTTTAGATGGAGTCTTGCTCTGTCACCCAGGCTGGAGTGCAGTGGCATGCTTTTGGGTCACTGCAACCTCTGCCTCCTGGGTTCAAGCGATTCTCCCGCCTCAACCTCCCCTGTAGCTGGGACTACAGGCATGCGCCAGCAAGCCCAGCTAATTTTTTTATTTTTAGTAGAGACAGGGTTTCACCATTTTGGCCGGGCTAGTCTCGAACTGAGAGCCACGGCACCTGGCCCTCATCTTTAACTTTTTGAGGAACCATCAAGCAGATGTGTTCATTGTATAACTAGTTCTCTATTCATACAAATGGAGACGGAGCTGCTGATAATTCAAAATAGCAGAGTCTAACAGTGGCCAGTAGCTGGTATGACTACTTTTTATTAAGAAGCTTCCAGGCCCTCTGCTGACAACTTTGCCTACATTGTGAAATGCTCTGCCACCCTCCGAGCTGGAGGCTCTCATGATACCTATTTTCTAGGTAAGAAAACTGAGACTCGGAGGTTAAGCATTATAACTTGCCCAAGGTCACGCAGAGTTGAGAAGCCAGAGTTCCAGCTCGGGTGGCTTGGCCCCCAAGCTCATGTTCTTAATCACAAAACTGTCACGTCCCAATCATGCGCCAAATGGTTTCTGTTTGGATTGCCATGTGACAGGGTAGAGGCTGGCAGCGGCGGATCTCTGCTCCTAATTATGCCAGGCTCAGACTGTTATGAAAATGAGTTTGCCTTCCTTGAGCACGCCCCAGCTGTGAGCAGCGGGAGCTGGCCGGCAGGTGGCTGGAATGAAACCCCACACAGTGGATAACCCACCAAACAGACAAGTGACACTTGACTGCAAAGTACGACGCCAAGTGATTGCACTCCATCGCGGCGGTGAGCTTCATCCCTCCGTTCCTTCAGAAAACAGCCTATTGTCCCCATAACAGTTCCCATTTATTGGGCACTTACTCCATGTCCACCAAAGTGCAGAGGTCATCTGACCACAGACCGAAGAGGGGGTATTATTTTCCCATTTTACAGACAAGGAATCGGGGCCCAGGTAGTTTTCGTAAACAGGTGACGAGCATACAAGTGTCATTCACTGAGCTGGTGTCAGTCCAGGTGCTGGGATTTGAGAACACACACCTCATATATATATATATATATATATATATATATATATATATATATATATATATATATATGTATGTATATGTATGTGTGTGTGTGTATATATATATATATATATATATATTTTTTTTTTTTTTTTTTTTGAGACGGAGTCTTGTTCTGTCGCCCAGGCTGGAGTGCGGTGGCGCAATCTCGGCTCACTGCAACCTTGGCCTCCCGGGTTCGTGCCGTTCTCCTGCCTCAGCCTCCCGAGTAGCTGGGACTATAGGCACCCGCCACCCCGCCCGGCTAATTTTTTGTATTTTTAATAGAGATGGCGTTTCACCGTGTTGGCCAGGATGGTCTCGATCTCCAGACCTCGTGATCCGCCCGCCTCGGCCTCCCAAAGTGCTGGGATTACAGGCGTGAGCCACCGCGCCCGGCCCACACACCTCCTCTTAATCAGAGGCATCATCGCTTTTAGGGACTTCAGATTTTGCCCGGGAGGAAAAGTTTCTGGGAGTTCCTTCCCCAAGACGATGAGCTGCTTCCTGCGAGTGACCTGGCTCTGTTCGTAATCTCAGATGATACCTAGCTAGTTTTTATTGCTCTTTAAAAAAATATATCCAATCAAGGTATTAGTTCCTTCCAACCTCTCACGTTCGCCTTTTGTCAAAACGCTGCGCGTTTCCCCCTCATTCCCCTAAACATGCTGTTGAGTTACCGGCCCCCAGAGGCCGGGGACTCCGAGCGGATGCATCCCCGCACCTCGCTGCTCGCTGCCTTCTCCGAGTGTAATCAAACATCAAGCTAAGTAGCAAATAAATCTCTCGATCTCATAAGCTGCACAGCGAGATCATGTAAATGCAAATGAAGGACCTGATTTCAAGCTGTCGAGGGGGAGGGGAGGGAACGGTGGGGCCCTGTCACCGTGACCGCCTCACACGGCAAGGGCCATACATCAGCCGCCAGAACAGAGCAGGCAGCCGGAAGGGAGGCCGGGCTGCCCCGGGGAGCGGGGACCAGGCAGGCGGCAGAGCGCAGGCAGCCCCGGGCCGTGGGAACCAGACAGGGCTGGACTGGGTGGCGGGGCAGGCCTGAGGACGCCTGGAGGGGCTCCCCACGGTCCGCGGCTCCCTTTGGACCCGAGCTGGGAGCTGCTATAGCAGTCTTAACAATAAGACAGCAGTAATAGAAGCCATCGGTTACTGAGCAACCTCCTGGGCCAGGTACCATGAAACACTCTACATACAGCGTCGGGAGGTTTTGCAGGGGAGGAAAGAGACCAGATGAGGTGAGGGACTTACCCAAGGTCACACGGGAAGTGGCAGAGCTGGGAGTCCGACTCAGCTCTGAGTGAATTAGTATGCCAGCTACCCAATTCTCCTCCATGACCCCTCGCCCCCCAGCCACCAGCCGTCATCTTAGTCCCCATGATAAACCAGAGCAGAGTTGCAATGACACAGAAGAGACTTTTTCATAGATAAAATAGAAACATATAACTTAACTCTATTGTGTGGCTTTTTAAATTATAAAAGTAAAACCTCAATATCGAAAAAAGGGCCCCCATCTATAACCACACATCCTCACACATCACAGTTATGGGGCTGGGTTTCCTTCCAGTATCTTTTTCAATGCATTTTTTTTTTAACGTGGTTGTAACAGTAGTCCATGTAGAATTTTGAATCCGGCTGTGGTTTTTTTTTTTTTTTTCACTTGACATTACTTTATACGCCTTTGATCACACATGGATGTGGTCTTCTCATGCGTGGCTTTTTCGTATCATTATGCAGTGTTCAACTGACACTCACACAATGCACAGGGTTCAAAGCATTGGGCTTCTAAGAGGATGCCTGAGCCCTTTGATGCATAATGCACCTTATTTTACATGATTGTTTATCTGAGGTTCTCATTATGGAAATAAATAAATATCCTCTATGCTAATAATGATCACAATTTGCATTTATATTGTGCTTTTCATTCGAGGATCTTAAGTTGTTTTACAATAATGAACTACCCCCCCATGAGCAAAATGGTATGTGTGTGCCTATGTATGCATGGGTCTAGCTATATACAGATATTTATTTAATCACTACCAGGCAACAGGATTTCATATAACTGCGCTTTAACAAAATGCAGGAGAGTGAGTGGAGGCTTTTCAACTGTCAAACAAACATTAGTTTAGACGCAGGGCTGGAGGGTTAATGAGCTACACTATATGTGGTTGCCAGGAAGTGGGGAGTGATTGATTCCTTTGAGGGGCTAGCTCGTGATGGAATGAACGTCTTTGGTGGGTCTGACACTCAGGCATCGAGCTCCCTGACAGAAAACCTGCCACTTTGGAAGTGACCACTGGCCCGTTTGTCTGGAATAAGATCCAGTTCAAGGCTATCTCAGCAACAAAGCCAGCTGGCTTCCCCACTTTTCACCTCTTCACTTCTCATTTCTTATGTCTGGATTTTTAAGATATCTCGTGCAAAATCCACAAGGTCTTTTAAGAGGTACAGCTGTTTTGCAATAAGAAATGAGGGCTAGTTAAGGGGAAAAAAAAGTAGATTGGGTGGGAAATGATTAGACTTGAGTTGCAAGGCGGGTCACTCGTTTTGAAGAAGTTGTGCCATGTAAATGGGCTTTGGTGAAGCTCCAGGTCTAGAGACCTTCGTTCCTGGGTCCCAGGTAGCTTCGGATCAAAGCAACAGCCTGTGGGAAATGCTACCTGCACCTGCCTCTAGCTAGCCCCAGTAGTTCTCATGGCGACAGGCTGCTCCCAGGGGGCTTCCGGGCGCTGGGGCTGCCAGCCCGGCTTGGTTCCCAGCATGGGTTTCCAGGGCCTGGCCCTTCATGATGGGGAGTGGAGGAAGCTGATATTGCAGGAGGAGCCCGGAGAATCCCAGGACCCCCTGGGACGGGGAGAGAGATGGTTTTAATTAGAGCTGAGAGATGGGAAATAAGGCAGAGAGGGATGACATCTTAATGAGGTTTAATGAAGCTGTCTGCTGATGGGGACAGCTGTCACCCAGAGCTGTATTCCAGCCAAGCCACTTTGTGATGGAGGAAACTCGGAAAAAGGCGGTTTGAAGGCAGCTGAGGAGGGAGGGGTGGTCAGACTCGGAGCTGGGATTTTTCTCCGTTTGCCTCTTAATTCCAACACCTCATTGACAAGGGATTCCAGCTAGTGGGCCACATTAAAATAGCCTCCAACACTTCAGAATTCCCTGATGTGCAACACTAAGGAGTGCCTCTTAAAAGACCTTGTGGATTTTGCATGAGATGTCCTAAAAATTCAGACATAAGAAATGAGAAGCGCAAGGATTTTGAGGGCTGAAAGGGGTCTCTTCTCTTTTTGAGCCTCGACTCCTTGCTAGTTCAGTGGGGATACCATGGCCTCCCTTGCAGAGTTGTTGTGAGTATTGGGGCGTGGCTGGGAGTTAAGCTCAGAGGTGTGATGTCCAGGAGAGGTGAGTTTAACCCCAGCTTTTCTATTGACTACCTGGGTGGTGTTGGACAAGTGTGAACCTCTTTAAGCTACTTGACAGTGAAGTTGGCAGAGTTCAGGGAGAAGCAAAAACACTCTCAGCACATGCTCAGCACATAGTAGGCGCTCAATAAAGAGGGCACAGGACATCCTGTGTGCCCTGCACGGAGGAGGTGCAACACAAATGTTGATCCTGTTCCTTGTTTCTTTCTTTGCTGCATGGTGGTTCTAAGGGATCCCTGTGCAGGGAGGGTGATCTCAGCCTCCACATGGCCCAATAGCCAGGCCACGCCAGCTGTCCCAGGACCTTTGCACATTCCAGTTTGCGACCTGTCTAGGATACCCCTTTTGTCTCTGCAACTGGCCACCTCTCATCCTGGCCTGGGCTGGTGGGGCAGGCTGATGGGGCACCGGGTGGCTGATCAGAGCTGAGATTTGGGACCGAGTCTCGTCAGTTTCACGGATGTCAGAGTGAGGTTACCAAACGTCCTAGTGTGTTTTTGCTGCTGTAACAGAATACCTGAGATGGGGCAATATAGAAAGAATAGAAATTTGTTTCTCAGCGTTCTAGGGGCTGGGAGTTCCAGATCAATGCGCCGGTGGTTTCTGTGTCTGGTGAGAGCCTAGTCTTTGCTTCCAAGATGGTGCCTTGGTGCTGTATCCCCCAGGGTGGGGACGAATGCCGTATCCTCGCATGACAGACGGACAGAAGGGGATAAAAAGGGCGAACTCCCTCCATCAAGGCCTTTTATAAGGGCACCTATTCCCCCATGAGTGCAGAGCCCTCATGACTCAACCACCCCCTAAAGGCCACACCCCTGAATACTGTTGCATTGGGATTAAGTTTCAGCATGACTTTGGAGGCGATAAAAACATTCAGACCATAGCACCATGGAAAAGCAGGTGACCGTCAAGCCTCAGGTGGCCCCTGTGTTTTGATGGCAGCTGAACTCAGATGTCTGTCACAACCTGCTTGCCTGTGTCTGAAAGTTCGGGGTCAGGAGCTCGTTTGAGTGCCTCTCCCTGTAGGTTCTTAACAGGCTTCACACAGCCCCTCTGAGGTGCCCAGAGACCCGCCACCCCTCTGTCAGGCAGCTTTTCTCTGTAGGCTTCTAGAAGGCCCCACTGGACAAGCTGGGGAGGGAGGCCAAGGGTCAGCGCTGGGCACTCCCACCTCTGGCTCCAGGCCGCTCCCTGCTCTAAGTCCCCTTGGCCCTCTTACCCTCCCTGGCTACTCCTGGAACCTTCTTCAGATCAGTTCTTCCCAAAATGCCAATTCAAGATCTGTATGTGTCTTTCTTTTCCTGATTACCCTTCCCCCAACGCAGTCAAGACAGCTGTCCTGGGTCCCAGTCACTTTAGTCCTGAACAGCAGCTCCTCCGTCATTTTGTTCAACATTGTTATAATGTTGATGAGAAAAGAAATCAATGTCCGGCCGGGGCCACTGTCTGCATGGCGTCTGCGTGTTCTCCCCGTGTCTGTGTGGGTTTTTCTCCAGGCACTCTGGTTTCCTTCCACATCCCAGAGATGTGCACATTAGGTGAACTGGTGTGTCTAATGGTCCCAGTGTGAGTGAGCATGGGTGTGTGTGTGGGTGCGCCCTGCGAGGGTGTGTGTTGGTGCTAACCTGTCCAGGGTCGGTGCCTGCCTGGTGCCCTGAGCTGCTGGGACAGGTTCCCGCCACTCACAACTCTGAACTGAAATAAGTGGATTGGAAAAATGAATGAACGAATGAGTACAAAGTATTAAAAATAAAAATCTGTGGCCGGGCATGGTGGCCCACTCCTGTAATCCCAGCATTTTGGGAGGCCGAAGCGGGCAGATCACTTGAGGTCAGGAGTTCCAAACCAGCCTGAGCAACATGGAAAAACCCCATCTCTACCAAAAATACAAAATTAGCTGGGTGTGGTGGTGCACGCCTGTATTCCCAGCTACTCAGGAGGCTGAGGCAAGAGAATTGCTTGAACCCGGGAGGTGGAGGTTGCAGTGAGCCGAGATTGTGCCATTGCACTCCAGCCTGGGCAACAAGAGCGAAACTCCATCTCAAAATCTGTAAAGTTCCTTGTGTGATCATTATACAAACGCACGACTGTGGACAAAGTGTAGAAAAGTGCTCAGCAAGCCCTTCGGATTGATGATGTTTGTTTTTACCTGCACAGTCGTAGGAGGGGCTCTTGGCAATTTTGGCTTTGCAAACATTTATTCCTTGATTTAACCCATTACCACTCTGACTGCTGTCACTCATGGATTCCCCCCAAATTGGGTAAATAATGATCTTATTTGTTTTTATTAATCTTTCTGAAATGTATGGATAACTCACATTTACATCAATATTTAATATTAGAATTATTTTGGTGTTTATTGAGAAGTTTGGTGATGTTTTTGTGACCAGACTGTGCCGTAGGAACTGAATTCTTGTTATCTATTAGCTTATGGGAAAATTGGTTTTCTTATATGTTGTTTTGCTTAAAGTTGCAATTTCCAAAAACATATTGATGATGTTGAGTGAGGACTTACTGTTATGTTTTCTGAAGTGATAGCTCTTCCCATAAATCTCAGTCTATATATTGAACAGTAGACTTTTGCCAGGCACAGTGGCTCATTCCCATAATCTCAGCACTTTGGGAGGCCAAGGCGGGAGGATTGCTTGAGGCCAGGAGTTTGAGACTTGCCTGGGCAACATAGTGAGACCCCATCTCTACAAATAATTTAAACATTATCTGGGAGTGGTGATGCGGGCCTGTAGTTCTAGACACTCTGGAGGCTGAGGTGGGAGGATCACTTGAGCCTGGAATGTCGAGGCTGTAGCAAGCTGTGATCGTGCCCCTGCACTCCAGCCTAGGCAATGGAGCAAGACCCTGTCTCAAAAAAGAACCCCCCCCAAAACAAAAAACAAAACAACAACAACAAAAACAGCAGACTTTACCTGGGCTTCTCCTGTGTATAAGGCTCTGTGCTGTGCACCGTTGTGTGGGGCGGAGAAGGCCAGGAAGTCAAGGCTCACCTGTTCCATATGAGCCAAACCCCACCTGCAGAGATGAGGTCTGTGCACATGAAAATACAATCCAGCCCAGGCCATCTATGCTAAATGCCAGCTCATGAAGTAGGAGGCAGCAAAGACTGTGGAGTCAGATGTGGGTTCAGACCCACCTTGGCCACTCAGCCATGCGGCTTTGGGCAATCAGGACCCTCCGGCTGTCCATGCCTTCTTTTCCATACCTGTGAAATCAGCACAGTGGTTACACCACGTTACAGGATTGTTTTATGAATCGGCAGTAACAGGGGAGCCGGGCATGTGGATGTCAGGATTATAGATGTTTGATGGGCACATGGGCAGGTGGGTGTCCAGTTAGCCTGTCTTGTGGGGCAGATGAACTGGTAATGAGTGGATGTGCTGCTCCTCTTGGGCATTTGCACGTGAACAAAGGGACTCTGAGACACACCGTACTTGCACCTAAAGGGCTGGATTGTGGACAGTGGGATTTCAGGCCTTGGAGGTATCCGGGGCCAGGTGGAATACAGGGGAAGGTTGCCGAGGACTCCCACGGCTCCAGCCTGGGCGGACACAGCCATGCTCATTTGATCATGCTTTGCTTTATTGCGCTTTGCATGTAGGAGTCCTCACAAAGCCCCGTGGGTGGCCTCCGGCTGTGCCCAAGTGAGGCCCAGGAACCCCTGGGGTTTCCTACCCATGACCCTCTCTGACACTGTGATGTAGTGTAGCCTGCCCAAGAAGAAAGGAAGTCCAGGTGCCAGGGCAGAAGATTGAGGGGATGATGGGGCTTTTCTGAGTGTCCAAATCTGCTTCTTGGCTGAATTCCTGGGAAGTTCCACTTCATCCTTCCAGGCGATGCTATGGTCTGGAAAAGTCCTCGGAAATGAGAAAGCCACTGCTATGGGCATTCTTGGGGATTTCAGGATGAGACTCTCTAGTCTAAGAAACATAGACCAGAGAATGCATTTGGAAAAAAAATAGTCATTGTGTTGTTGTTGCTGTGGTTTATCTGGTGCCGGTGTTCATGCAGTTCTCATGTGAAGCTGGGTCTCCGCTGTGGACAGAGAGCACATTGCTCCATCAGCAGAGAGTTGGGGGAAAGGGCTGGCAGACACAGTCATGGATGAATGGCTCCTGGGGGAGGGCAGCAGGCTGCAGGTATGGTGTGAAGGGTACACGTTGGGTCAACAACATCATGACACCTAAAGCCCCCGGTGCTATCTTCGGTCACTGCCCCCACCCAGGGGTCCTGCACTCCTGACTTCTAAACCCAGAGACGAGTTCTGCTGGTGTCTGGCTGCATCCGCATGGAGGAGCGCACCCCTTGTGTGTCTGGCTTCTTTCACTCCACGCTTTGTGTCAGGACCACACATGTGGTTGCCCACAGTAACGTTCTTTCATTCTCAGAGTTTCTTTTTTTCTTTCCTTTCTTTTCTTTTCTTTTCTCTTTTCTTTTCTTTCCTTTTCTTTTCTTTTCTTTCCTTCCTTCCTTCCTTTCTCTCTCTTTCTTTTTTTATAGGGTTTCGCTCTGTCACCTGGGCTGGAGTACAGTGGTTCAATCATGGCTCACTGCAGCCTCCACCTCCCGGGTTCAAGTGGTTCTCCCACCTCAGCCTCCCAAGTAGCTGGAACCACAGGCACACGCCACCATACCCAGCTAATTTTTACATTTTTTGTAGAGATGGGGTTTTGCTATATTGCCCAGGATGGTCTCAAATTCCTGGGCTCAAATTGTCTGCTTGTCTTGGCCTCCCAAAGGGCCGGGATTACAGGCGTGAGCCACCACACCTGGCTCATTCTAAGTTTCTTAATCTCTGTGGGCACTGTTGGCATCAAGGGACAGATAGCTCCTTGATGTAGTGGGGTTGTCTGGTGCATTGTAGGATGCCTGGCAGCATTCCTGGCCTTTACCCACTAAATGGAGGATAGCACCCTCTCCCAAACCATGACGACCAAAAATATGTCCAGACATGGCCAGATGTCCTCTAGGGCACATTATCACCCCTGACTGAGGACCACTACTGTAGGGCATTCTGTGTTATGAATATGTCACAAATTTTTTATCCACCTACGATGGCCACTTGGGTTGTTTCTAGCAGTTGGCTATCATGAATTGAGCTGCTATGTGCATCCTTAGACATGTTCTTGGGTGGATGTACACATTCATTTCTGCTGGATGTCCAGGATGGAATTGTTGGGTTATCGGACAGGCATATATTTAGCTTCAAGAGATAGTGCCAAACAGCACTATCCACGGTGGTTGTAGCAGTTTACACTTTCACCAAGTGCATGAGTATACCAGTTGCCCCACATCCTTACCAGTAACAGTGAATTTTTTCTTTGCATTTCCCAGAGGTTGACACCTTGACATATGTATGGCTCTTGGCCACTGGGACATCCTCTTAAATAAGTTCCTATTCAAGTATTTTGCTCATTTTTTTCTGTAGGACTATCTGCCTCTTTCTTATTGATTTGTAGTAACTCTTTATATATTATGGATAAGACTACTTTATTATGGATATCTTCTCTCACGCTTTAAACTCACAGACTTTTAGAACCAAGGGCACTCTGCTTCCCACATCAAATACCCTGGTGAACATGACTGCCATTGCTTAACTGTACTTTTTGCAAGACAGTGAATTTCATAAGAGCAGGGCTGTGTGTCTGATCTGTTCACCCTAGAACTTCCAGCACAGAGGGCTTAGCGCTGAGTGGGTACAAAATAAATATTTGTGGAATGAAAGTATGAGCAAACCTCCCATTGGGATTTTTTTTTTTTGTAGTCTAAAGCTTCCACATGTTTCAGCAGTTATTGATTCCCAGGCAACCACACTAAAAAGCAGAGATTGAGGCACACACCTGCTCCTTGCTCCCTGCCTGAGGGTGGCAGCCAGCTCCTGAGTCTGTCTGTCATTCCCCTGCCAGCTGAAACTCTGCCCACCTGCACCTGCCTTGAGGGAGGCAGAGTCTCTCCCAGAGAAGTCACATTTTAATTAACTTCCCCGGCAGTCACTGGAGAGGCCGGATCATTTTCATAAACAAATGAGAGGCCAGAGCTTTGTCTGTAACTCAGAGAGCATAGTATGGAAGGAATTCAAAACAAGCCACCCTGCAGGGTCCCCATGCACCCGCCTGAAACTCAGAGCCCCATCACTCTTGAGGAACATTGGGGTCTGGGATTTGAGATGGAAAAGAAGCGGAAGAAAAATGATCAACTGTTGTGTAAAGAAGAGCCAATGGTCTCAAAGTAGGCTGTATGAACTGCATGTCTGTGTACCCCTAAAATTCAAAACCTAACTTTGGATGGGATGGCGTTAGCAGGTGGGTCTTTTAGGAGATGATTAGATCATGAAAGCAGAGCCCTTGTGATGGAATTTGTGCCCTTAAATGAAGAGGAAGAAAGCTAACTCTATCTCTGCTCTCTGCCACGTGAAGATACAACAAGAAGGCGGCCATCTGCAAACCAAGAAGAGAGCCCTCACCAAGACACTGGGTCTGTTGGTGTCTAGATCTTGGACTTCCCAGCCTCCAGAACTTTGAGAAATAAATGTCTATTGTTGAAGCCACCCAGTCAATGATAATTTGCTATGGCAGCCTAAGCTGACTAAGACATAGTATTTTACCCACTCATTTATTCAACCCCTATTTATTAGCATCTATTCTACACTGAGGCCTGGGAAAAGAAGAGTGAGGATAAAGATTCATGGGGTATACAAAAAAATCTCCATACCTTCTGCTCACTTTTGTTGTGAACCTAAAACTGCTGTAAAATATAAAGTCTATTTTTTTAAAAAAAACCTTAAAAAATAAAGATTAGATCCCTTTCCTTGTGGGGCACACAGGCTCATGAGGGAAGACAGACATTAAACTGATCATTATGCAATGAATGACTTAAGTACACTACTTTGTGATTTTATTTGAGATGTAATTCACATTCCCTACAATTCACCCATTGAAAATGTAGAATTCAATGGCTTTTAACTTATTCACAGATTTGTGCAACCATCACCACAATCAATTTTAAAACATTTTCATCACTCCCCAAAGAACGCCCCTTAGCCATCACGGCTACAATCATTCCATCCGACCTGTCCCCAGCCCTGGCAACCACGAAGCTACTTTCTGTCTCTGGATTTGCCTGTTCTGGACATTTATGTAGATGGAATCATGCAGGATGCGGCAGCCCTCTGTGTCTGGCTTCTCAGCATGATGTTGCCAACTCTATCCATGCTACCGCGGGTACAACCCTGTCATTTTGTAAGTGCTGGGAAGGCAGGCTGAGGCTGCTGTGGTGCCACCATATAATAAGGAGGCTTGTCTAGGACTGATGCCAATCCGGGAAGGCTTCCCAGAGGAAGTGGTTTTTAATATCAGGCATTTATTGTGCACCTGCTGTGTGCCAACAGGAAAAAGAAGGTAATAGGAGCCATGGCTCTGGCTGGATAGGAGTGTGTAATCCAGGCAGGGGGGTCTGCATGTGCATTCATGGAAACCATGAGGGTGGCAAGTTCTAAGCCCCAAATGAGCAGAACAGATAGCTAAGAGTCACTGGCATTCAGACGAGGGTGAGCCATGGTGAACCCAGGGGTCCTGAGAGTTTCTGGCAGAGACAGGGCTTGAAGAATAAGGACCAGTAAGGGTGGGCCTTGAGCAAAGAGCAATGGAGGTGGCTGGGATGCCTGCGATCCTTCAGATGAGGGGGAGTGGGTTTGTCTATCTCAACAGGGGGTGCTGTGGGGGAGCCTGGGAGGCAAAGCTGCAGGGCTGGGTGGGGTTGGAGGGTGCAGGGCCTGGACTGCCAGCAGAGGGAAGGGTTTATTTCAGAGGCAGTGATGAGCCACGCTGGGTGGTCCTTGACCATCTGTCTACCTCTCAGCACCCAGCCTGTGGGAGCTGGAGAGAGGGGGATATAGACGAGATGGCAGGAGACAGCGAGGCCAGAGCCCACCAGACCCTCTGGACAGTCTTTGGCGCAGCCAGAGTGGAGAGATCCCGGGAAATGTAACACCCTGTGACTTCGAAACCACCGCCTGTGGCCTGTGGCCTGTGGCCTGTGGACAGTGGAAGGAGCAGCTGCACCCACCCTTCTCAGTAATGGCCCCGGGGCCTGCTGGCACCAGGGAGCCACAAGAAGCTGGGGCTGTGGGCATTTCTTTGGCTTGTGGATCTGAGCATGAGCTGGGGGCAGCCAGCCTGGGTTCCAGTCCCAGCTCTGCCACTTCCTACTGCTTGACCTGAGGCAACCTGTCGGATCTCTCTGTGCCTCAGCTTCCCCCTGAGAAACGGGGATGGTAATGAGACCTGCCTCACTGCGCAGCTATGCAGACGGCATGAGGGAAGGCCAGGGAGCCCCAAACATTGTGCCTGGGATGCAGTCCGAACCCAGCAAGTGCCCACTGATGCAGCGGGTGCGATGGGGTTCGAAGCACTGTGCAGGACAGGGTCTCTGACCTCGAGGAGCTGCTGTGATAAAGGGAGACCGCGTGGCAGGATGATCAAGAGCGCCAGTCAAGAGGACAGGCACGCCTCCATGCGATGCCCTGCCCAGCGCTTGGGGGCCGGGGATATCGACCCTGCCTCTCTAGGCCTCAGTTTCTATAGCTATAAATGGGTGGTGGCGGCAGGGTGGGGGCGGCTAATGTGGTTGATGACAGGGCAATTTCATTTGCACAAACCACCTCTGAGAGGCCAAGGAGTTCCCTAGAGTCCCAGGGAGTAAGGACATCTGGCCAGGTGCAGATGGGTGGCAGTGGCCCTGTCACTGTGTCTTCCCCAGGTGAGGATTCGAGGAAGTGACTCCCTCATGTGCTACAGTGACAATGGTTTGAGTGGTCCCTGGTATGAGGAAGGTGGGAATGAAGGTAGGAAAGATGTCTCCTTCCTTCGACGGGGCCTCCAGATGAGGCCTCCTGAACTGGGTCCTGCATTTCCAGCTTGAGCCAGCCAGGTCTAGGCTGCACCCCAAACACAGCGGCTCAGCTCGGGGACTGTGCTCCCCACTCCAACAATACACATGTACCGAGAGGCCCCCCGTCTCTGATGTCTTCACTTGCCTTCAGCACAGACACACAGACCCGCTTCTGCTGTGTGACCCTGTGCCAGCCACAGCCTGCGCTCCTCCCAGGGAGGGCTCTGCCACCCACTCCTGTGCCACCCTGAAGGCCACGGCAGGGCCTGGGGGAAATGCAGGCATCTGGTGCCTCCCTGCTGCCGGATTACAATACATTTGGTCTGAGACTCCACTCCTCACCTCTGCTCTCTGTCCTTCCCCCGACAGGCTGAACTCGGCAAGCCCCGGGAAAGAAGCTACAGTCTGCCCGGCATTAATTTTAATTATGGACTCTACATCCGAGGGCTTGACGGAGGAGTCCCTGAAGGTGAGCGAGCAGCTTTGGAGCATGAGGGCAGAGGAGTGGGAGGGAGGCTCACCCCTCTTCACAGACCCCTTGACCTAGCTCGCTGCTTGGCAGCTGGTTGGGTGCTGGAGAAAGACCCAGGGACCGCCAGCCTGGGCAGCTGACTGGTAAAACCCAGGAAGTGGCCCAGATGGGGAGGGCCAAGCAGGGCCCTGGTGTGCGGTGTCAGGGAACTAGCATGGGTATCCCCGCACCGCCCCCCTTCCCCGCCGCCGGCAGGGACTGTGTGCACTATGCTGCTCACGTTACAAGAATGGAATGAGACTGGGACCAACCCTCTGCCTGCCCAGAGGAAGTCAAGGGCCAGCCCAGCTCCAGGGAAGATGCTTGGCTTGGGTACCCTCAGGATCTCTGGGAGCCCTGATCCCGCCGTTTTGGGCCATCATGCTTTCTGGGGGCCAGGCAGGGTTGTCACCCAGTAGGCTCAGGTAAATGGGAAGGCCGAGGACCCGCGTGCCCCCATTTCTTCTCGATCAGCTGCCTCAGGGTGCTTACTCCCAGGCTGACCACTGCCCCGTGGGTCTCTCCCTGCCCTCAGCCATCGGACGCTGGAACGTGTTCAAGCAGCAGCCCACCTGCCCCCACGAGCTGACCCGGAATTATATCGCAATGAACCGCGGGGCGGTGAAAGCCGGCCTGGTGACTGCCCGGGAGAACTTGCTCTACCGTCAGCTCAATGACATCCGCATCAGTGACCAGGATGACCGGCGCATGAAGAAAGAGCCGCCCCCTCTCCCTCCAAACATGACATTTGGGATCCGGGCACGGTAAGGTGGCTGGCAGCCAGGGCTTCATCCCTTGAGGGGGTGGAGGTACCAGCTCAATCAGGGACAAGGTCGGAGGGTGACAGGGAAGTGGAGCATCCTCCCAGCCCCACTGTCCTCTCTTCAATGACTCTCTCTTGTGTGACCTCTATAGCCACACCCTGAATCCTGCTGAGCTGGGTCCTGGCCTTATAGCAGGGTACCCTGTAGGGCTGTGCACAGGTCACCCACTTTCCCTTGATCAACAAACAGTGATTGAGACCTGTCCCTGGGCCAGGCCCAGTGACTCATCTCTGTAATCCTAGCACTTTGGGAGGCCCATGTAGGAGGATCGCTTGAGTCCAGGAATTCGAGGCCAGGCTGGTCAACGTGGCAAAACCCCGTCTCTACAAAAAAATTTTAAAAATTAGCTGGGCATTGTGGCACGTGCTTATAGTACCAGTTACTTGAGGGCTGAGGCGGGAGGATTGCTTGAGCCCAGGAGGTCGAGGCTGCAGTGAACAGTGATCGCACCACTGCACTCCAGCCTGGGCAACAGAGTGAGACCCTGTCTCCAAAAAAAAAAAAAAAAAACCTGTCTCTGTCTTCATGGAGTGACAGATGGGAGAGCCTGCCAAGTTACCCAAGCACGGCACCACCCCCGGGAAGCCAGGAGAGAGGCTCTGGAGCCTGGGCTCAAACGTGGACTCTGGCCATAACTGGCCATGGGATCCTTGCCCCAGCTTCCACATCTGTAGAATGGAGATAACAGTAGCACCTGTTTCACCGTATGCCGAGGTTTCAGTGACGTAATGCATATAAAAACCTGAGCACAGGGCCTGGCCTACAAAGGGCACTCAACAAGTATTAGCTACTGTTCATGTTAAGATATGATGTAATGTGAGTTGTAGATCCAAGAGCTATGAAATTTTTAAAATTTTTTATTGAGGTTTCACTTATACATAGTGAAATGCACAAATCGTGAAGGGTTCAGCTTAATGCAATTTTACAAATGGACACACTCAAGCAACTACTACTGAGATAAAGATATAGAATAAATCTGGCACCCCAGAAACCTCCCACACTCCCCCTGAGAAATAGCAGTTCTATTCTATTCTTCCATCCCCTGAGAAATGACTGCCTGGTGGCCCCACTGTCACCACAGTTTAGATGACTGGCACGCATGTCCCAATGGGTCCACATCCTCACCATTGTCAACAAGGGCACGACCGGCCTGGCGCTTAGATAAGCTCCCTAGTGCTAATGAGGGCCCACAGGCCACACGCAAGTAGGGAGGGAGATGGGGGGACACCAAGAGAAGAGCCATGCGTCCCATCCAGTCAACACCCCATCTTCTTCTGACTGCCCTACAGAAACCAGCTAACTGCTCTCTCTTCTTCCAGAATTGGCCCTTCCCAAGCCACCTTCCACATTACTCCAGAGTTATCTTGCTAACACACAGATGAAATGAGCCAGACATGACCCATGTCCCAACCCTGGCACACATGACATTCTATAAAAGCAGAATGTAGTTGTGTTTAATCGAAACTCACTCATGGCTCACATGATTGGAAAGTGCAGGGACAGCTTCAGGCATAGCAGGATCTAGGCAGTCAGGCAACATCATCAGCATCAGGTCTCTCTGTTTCTTGGCTGTGCTTCCTGATTTTGGCTCCATTCTCTGAGAAGCTTCTTCCTCACCTGCAAATGGCCAGCAGCAGTTCTATTCTGTTTTTCTCTAAACAGCCCAGTGCAAAGGGCGTTGGTGCTACAGACACCTTGAGTTCAAGACTCTTTGGGCCAGCTCAGGTTACATGACTATCTTCTTTTTTTTTTTTTTTGGACAGTGTCTCTGTCTGTCCCCCAGGCTGGAGTGCAGTGGCGCAGTCTCAGCTCACTGCAACCTCTGTCTCCCTTCCAGGTTCCAGTGATTCTCCTGCCTCAGCCTCCCGAGTAGCTGGGACTACAGGCGTGCACCAACACGCCTGGCCAATTTTTGTATTTATAGTAGAGACGGGGTTTCACCATGTTGGCCAGGCTGGTCTTGAACTCCTGGCCTCAGGTGATCCACCCGCCTTGGCCTCCCAAAGTGCTAGGATGACAGGTGTGAGCCACTGCGCCCGGTTACATGACTATCTTCTACTCAGCCACTGTGGTCAGGGCTGAGACGCCAGGCCTGGGTCATGTGTCTGCCTCAGAGCCAATGGCTGAGGCCAGGGGAATCTGAAGCCTGGCTGGCCTGGTCTGATGATGCGCCCTTCCCTGGAGTCAGGGGTGAAATCAGTCCCTGCAATCTACGTGGGCCGATGGTGGAAAAGACGTACAGACCAGGGTTGTGTTCCAGGAGGGGAATGGACATCAGGCAGGCAGTAGGACTTCCCAGCCCTTTCTACCTCACTACACAAGCTGGTCATTAGCACAAAAATGACCAATATTTGTGCATTGCACTGAACAAATAAATAGAAGCGGCTGCTCCCAGACAGTAGCGGACTTCTTGCAATCCGAAGCCCCGTTCAGTGGCCTGTGACTGACAAAGCCAACATCTCAGCCCATCTGCGTGGCAGCATCCTGCCCGGCCCTCATTTGAGGCCACTGACATTCCATCCCTAGCTTATCTTTCCAATCTCCCCTCTTGCTTCTCCTGGACTAGGTGCCTTCCTTTGACTGTGCCATCATATATATATATATATTTTTTTTTTTTGGGGGAGGGGGGTGGTAGTTCCTTCTTTATTTTTTATTTTTTCTAATTTTTTATTGTGGTAAAATATACAGAAGATTTATCATCTGAACCATTTTTAAGTATACAATTCAGTGGGAATCATTACATTCACGTCGTTGTGTGACCGTCACCACCATCCATCTCAAGAACTTTTTCATCATCCCAAACCGAAACTCTTTCCCTATTAAACACAAACGCCCCAGCCCCTGGCACCCACCATTCTACTTTCTGTTCCTATGAATTTGACTACTCTAGAGATCTCATATGCACGGAATCATACAATGTTTGGCTTTTTGTGTCTGGCTTATTTCATTTATGTAATACCCTCGTGGTTCATCCATGTTATAGCACGCATGTGAATTTCATTCCTTTTCAGGGCTGAGCAATGTTCCCTGTCACTCATTCATCCGCTGATGTGCATTTAAGTTGTCTCCACCTTCTGGCTATTGTGAATAATGTTGCTGTGGACGTGGACGGACACGTGTCTGTTCCAGTCTTGCTTTCAGTTCTTTTGGGTGTAGACCCCGTAGTGGGATTGCGGGATCAGGTGGTAATCGTGTTTTAAGTTTTTGGGGACCCGCCACACTGCTGTCCACAGCATGTGCCGTGTATGCTTTTGTATACTTTTCCCACCATCCTACTCATGGGAAAGAACCCTGAGGATTGAGTAGGTGGGAAAACCTACTCATTCTTCAAAGTTCAGCTCAGCATCGCCTCTTTGGTAAGTTTTCCCACCTCTCGTGGCCTCAAATACCAGGCACATCTCTCCCCAGAAATGCATTTCTATTCACCAGCCCTGAAACCAGGAAGGTGACACTAGAGACACCTTGGAAAGTCACTTCGGGGCTGGATTAATGAACTCCTGTACATCGTCCTCCCTGTACCTTTGAAATCATCCCCCAAGTGGGTCCCCCAAGGCATCCCCTGTGACTTTTGCTGCTGATCCAGCTCCTCTTCTCAGCTCCCAACACATGTGCCCTCCCTTGCCCTGTTCTCGCAGGCTGCCTGGGGCAGAGAGGAGCCCCTGTTCCTGGTCCGTGCTGTGCACTAGGTCACTAGATCAGTCCATGCTGGTGACCAAGTGTCACAAAGACAGTGTGGTGGCAGGAGAGGGGCCCTGGGTCGGGAGTTGGCCTGGGATGCTAGTTCCAGCTTTGTCCCCAGCTCTCCACGTCACATTCCCCCCAGGGCTTCTGTTTCCCCATCTGTAGATAGGGGGCTGCACTAGTGACACATATACTAATCACAGCACTCTGTGATTCTCAGGCTATGTTTTGCCTCCTCAGCTTGGGTCTAAACCTTCACGCCAATTTATTTTCATGGTTATGAAAACCTTGTGCCAGAGGTGGGCAGGATTACTATCCAACTGAGGCAGGCAGAGGTTAACTGACCTCCCCAAGTTCACACAACCTCTTCATGGCAGGGCTTGGCCTGGATTCTCAACCCTTAGTATGTTTATATTTAAAAATAGAGCCGGGTGCAGTGGCTCACGCCTGTAATCCCAGCAGTTTGGGAGGCTGAGGTGAGTGGATCATCTGAGGTCAGGAGTTCGAGACCAGCCTGGCCAATATGGTGAAACCTCGTCTCCACTAAAAATACAAAAATGAGTCGGGCGTGGTGGCATGCATCTGTAATCAGTAGGCTGAGGCATGAGAATTGCTTGAACCTGGGCGGTGGAGGTTGCAGCGAACCAAGATCGCACCACTGCACTGCAGTCTGGGTGACAGAGTGAGACTCCATCTCAAAGAAAAGAAAAGAAAAGATTAGAACACAAAGGACACTTGTGATCACCTGGTTCAAAGCCCTTACTTAAAACAGGAGAAAATAGAAAGAAGTTAAGAGAGGTGAAGTGAGCTTCCCAAGGTTGCACAGCAATTTGTTAACTGAGCCAGTTCTGGAGTCCAGTTGTCAGGCTCCCCATCCAGTGCTCCTCACTCTGTGTCCTACTTCCTTGGAACCGATGTGCAGCCGGAACACCCACAGCTTCTCATCCTAGTGCCGGGGTTTTCCACGGCATCACTGAAGTCAGCTGGGCTCAGAAAGGACAAGCATTATCATCCAGCTTTCAATATAGAATCTTAAATTGCTGTAAAACCAAGTGGCCACAATTCCAGGGAAAGGACGTGATGAAGTGCTGGCTGTATCTTCTGTGATGGTAAATGGGCTTTGCATATGCAAATTGAATGGATTTTAAAATGGTATTTAATGACAATTTTCGTAGCAGACATTAACATTAATTGCACAAAAATGAAAATGCTGCATTAGGTTGCTGTTAGCAGCAAATATCGTGGCCATAAAGCTTTATCTTTATCAACAGCAGCCCTTCCTGATGTGACGGGCAGCTCCGCAAATTGCAGGCAAAAGGGCTTTTATGGAGCAGAAATATCCCCCAAAGCAGGCCCAAATCAGCATCAATTTCACTTTATTTCTTCGTAAATGGAGGTTAAATGGCTTCTGGAAAAGCTTTTACTGAGATGCCCAACCTGCGTGGAAAGCCTCCACCCACCTTGCAGCATAAGTGCGGAGGAAACGGTGACAAAATCATTGCCCCGCTCCCTAATGGGGCTATTACTTTAAAGTTATGGGGCCAAGGCCCATTTTCTAATGATCACCTTTTACAAGCCTCAACTGCATTTCTTTCTTTACTTTAAAAGCATGTTAAAACACCAAATCCGATTACACCCGACAGAGGAGGTGTTGGGGAGGTTTGGTCCAATAAATAAATAAACAAAACAAAACAAAAACAAAATGAGTGTTATTTACTCACAATTACAGACGTGTTAAAAAAATAAAGTCCCACCTCAGACTGAATCCACTAACGCTCCCTCTAAGCTAGGATGCTAATGAGCAGAGGGGTTGTGACTGCCACCCTGTGAGCTACGATTCTGACCACAGCCAGCCCCCCAACCCCCATCCATGTCTAGATTTGCAGTGGGCAAATGAATTGTGGTGAGGGGTGCACCCCCTCTTCTCCACACGTCTCTGAATCTGCCCATTCAGCCTCAATACCAGATGGGATGCAAAGCCGAATTTAGATTATTCAATTACTTCCTTCCCAGTTATCCTATTTGGTTCCCAATCCACACCGATTTGCTGCAGGTTGTCACTAAATCGGAAGGGTGCATTTCAATCCCAAAGCCTCTGTGGCTTGCAGGAAGTGGAGACCTGAGGAGTTATCTGGAAAATGGGGGTTGTGTAGACATGGGGGCAGACTGGGGGCCGTGTAGACATAGGGTCAGTCCTGGGGCTGTGGCTAAATCAATCCACAGAGGAGTTTGGCTGGTACAGTAATTAAAGGAAAAAAAAAGGTTGAGTTGCCACATTTTTAAAAAGTCAGGAGATTTCATATAAATACCTGAATTTTCCATTTCCCTTGAACAAACAGAAGCCTGGGCAAGTGGATCTGCGCTCTGCCTGGCTCCTGGGGCTGGGGCTGAGGGGCAGCATCCCTTTGGACAGAATCCATGGACTGTTTATCCCAGTCCTCACCCAGACTGGCTTCTCTCATTTTTGTTACCTGCCTAGTCCAGGTAGGCACGGAGTTTGGAACCCCTGGTGTAGACGGATTGTCTCGATCCCTCAGCTAACGGCAGCCTCTTTGTGTCCTCTGATAACAGTATGAGCCACCGCTAACAAAAGCTGCTCTGCATCGATCTTAAACGTGGCAGGCATTTTGCACACATAATTGCTAACCCTTATGTCCTTCCTATGAGACAGGTATCATTCTGCACACTTCACAGGCCAGGAAAGGGAGGGCAAGGGCCCTCCCCGAGGCGTTACGGTGCAGAGCCCGGATTTCTATCCAGTCTGGCAGCTGGCTTTGAAGACCACACCTCTAGGATCAGGCAGCTGGAAAGAGCCCCGGCATTCTCTCGCTGCTGTTTCACTGTCAAATCCCAGAATTCAAGTCAGGGAAGAATTTTAAATTCTCATTACCAGCGTGTAAGGCCCTAACACAGATCTCAAAGCATGCTGCCACCCAAGGTCCGGAAACAGATATGTCTGGAGGCCAGATATGTAACTATTAAAGACACACTTAATTATTGATGCACTTTAATAAGTGTTTGCAAATGTTCGCATGCCCTCGGCACATCTTAATTGTTACTGCTCCTAATTGGCCCGGCACTGTCGATTATGATGAGTCAGGGATGGCGGGGAGGGGAGGAGCAGGGAGGGCCCGGCAGCAGCTGGCGCTCCTGGTGGACTCTGGGCACCCTGGGCTCTGCCGCTGTTCTGCTTGGGAGCCTGGGCCACAGTCAAGACACAGATGCCAGCAGGAACATCCATCACTCAGTCAACCAGCAAGCAGCCCCTTGCGCATCAGTGTCTCACATGGGCCAGATGGAAGGTGGGAAGACCCTACTTTGCACTAACAATGGCAACTATGTGTTATTATTACTACCTCAGGTCAGACACTGCCGAGGTCCTCAGGAGCATCCTCATTAACTAACTCTGAATAGCTCAGTGAGTACAAAGTTAGCTCAAGTGAGTACAAGGTTGGAATGCTTCTATCCCCGTTTTACAGAAGAAGAGACAGAGGGTCTGAGAGGTCAAGTCATTTGGCTTCTGTGCAGTGCGAGGAGGATTAGTGTGGCCTGAATGCCTATGACAGTGACCAAGGGTCTGATCTGCCTCCCTAACACAGGGGTAGAGGTGACACGGGCAGGGACTCTGCTCATGTTTTTCCAGCACTAGAAGGGGGATGAGACAGGATTCTGTGTAAGGCCATCCTGTCTGGATTTTTCTTAAGGCTTTAGAACTTAATCTGAACAGACCCAAAGAACCTGCTGAGCTTCTCCTTTCTGGGTCACTTCCTTCCCTTTCACATTCAGCGGCAACCACTTCCTGATAAACTCAAACTTCTTGTCAGGGCATCCAGAACTTTCACCACGCTGGATGCTCCAGGCCTGCTTTTCTCACGCCAGGATCTGTGGTGCTGACCACAGTGCCTTTGCGGAGGAGGCCTTCGTGGAGTTGCTGAATGAGTGCATGAACAAATGGCCACATTGGGGTCCAGATATAAAGCCAGTTGCCACGTGCAACCTGAGTAGCATCCTTAGATCAGCACTAATTAGCCTGGTCTACACCCCCAATCCTGGTGCAGAAAGCCTTCAGACCATGGAAACATAAGAAACATCAGATAAGCGGGAAATGCTGCTGGCCCAGCCTTCTGTCTGCAGCCGCTGCTGGTCCTGCTATCAGATGCATCATCAGCCTGACGCTGACAAATGTGAAGGATGCAGGAAATTTTACAGGCTGTTAAAAAAATGTTTGCTGCCTGACAGGTTTTTTTGAATCTCTCTGCCAAGCTGATATATTTTACAAATTTACAGTGGGCCCATCAATCACTCTGGGTGATTTTGTTTCTCCTGGATCCGATGGCCAAAAAAATCCAAGCCACCCACCCAAGCTCCTATAAAATAATAATAAGCCCTTTCCCCAGCAGCCATCCCAGAGATCCGAGGCAGTTTCTGAAGGGCGAGACCACGTCTGCATTTATTGGTGTCCTGAAACCCGGCTGAATGAAACCTGGTCTGACCACAAGGGGGAGCATGTGGATCTCGCAAAGATCCCCGGGCCTCAGAGAGGGCCTGAAATGTACATTGCCCCCTGCAAAGCCAAGTTTCTCCTGTCCCCCGCATAATCTGCTCCCTGGCACTGACTGCGACTGTCGTTAATACTCCTCTGCTGTATGTCAGGTCCCAGAGCGCAGGGAGAATGTCAGTTTCATCCATCGCTGCATCTTCAGCGTCCAACACAATGCCTGGCACATAGTGAGCACTCGAATATAGTCTGGGGCCCTTTAAGACTTTGAGACAGTTATCAGAAGCAAAGAGAGAGTCCATCTGAGACCCAGAGAGGGGACGTTAAAGCCAGAGATGACACTTCATAGACTCCGCTGTGATCCCCGCCCCCCGCGCCGCCGACTGATGTCATGAGTCTGCAGTGCAGTGATGCTGCCTCAGAGAATGAATGTGTTCCTCAGCCATGTTAATAGAGGTAGCAAGTTCAGAACAAAGGAGGTGACCTCCTTGCTCTTTTCAGCTGCTCAGGCCATACTTGTAGTATCAAGCTCAAGAATGCAGGACATCATACATTCAAGGGAAGGTTCATAAACAGGAAATCGTCTAGAAGGGAGCCGTCAGGATGATGGGCGGGAGAGGGGGAGGGTGTCTACTGTGTACAAAGAACAGGAGAAGAGATGAGGTCCTCCTAGCTGGACGTGAAAAGATGCCGCAGAGACACAGCAGCTGTCTATAACCATCTGAAGCCCTGGGATTAGGACAGTGGGGGGGTTTTGCTCTCAGAGGCTTCAGAGAACAAAATGAGGACCAGAGTGTGTGTTGGAAGGGGGCAGTCCTCATAGCTGTGTGTGTTCAGAATGTGTGTTGGAAGGGGGCAGTCCTCACAGCTGACACTTTCTGGGCCCCCACTGAGTGACCGCTGCGTCCAACACTGAGCCCTGTACCTCATCTCATTAAATACAACTCTACCAAGTAGAGACTATCATCCCTATTCTACAGATGGGGAAACTGAGGCTCAGAGACAGTCACTTGCCCAAAGTCTCCTGGCTAGTTGGAGGCAGCACCAGGATTTGAGCCGAGTCTCCCTCCAGGGCGGCTGTTCATATCCACAGGCCGCATGCTTCCAGGAGGCAGAGCAAGGCCCTGGGCGAGGAAGTCATTTCTCATCCTGAGCTCCGTTCACGTTGGTGCCAGTGGCCTGGTGCGGAGGTGAGTCCTCAGCAGCGAGATGGCGGCTACGAACAACAGTTACAGCAATGAACGGCCAACGCTGATGAGCACCTACTGGGGCCTGGCTTTCCACAGAGCAAATGGATTAATCCTCACTGCAGCCCTGTGCAGCAGACGCCCGTCACCTCTATTTATCCATGAGAAAAGGGAGGCATGGTGAGGTTCTGTCCCTCAGCAAGAGGTCACAGGTGGCGAATGGAGGTGTGGGGACTCTGTCCAGGCAGCTTACACCAGGACCCTAGCCCTTAGCGGCCTGAACAGGTTCTTTTGGGAGGTGGAGGCACTGGCTGGCTGCCCAGCCCGGGCTACCTCTGCTGGGGCTTTGGGAGCCCCCTGAACTGAGTCCGACAGGGGTCCCCTGCTCCTCAAGGCCTGCCTGCTTCCATGGACCTGGATCTCCAAGGAGTTTTGTTAAAAGGGGCCCAGGCTGAGGGCCAGTCTTGCTCGGTGGCTCACACCTGTAATCCCGTCACTTTGGGAGGCCAAGGCAAGTAGATCACTTGAGGTCAGGAGTTCGAGACCAGCCTGGGCAACATGATGAAACCTCATCTCTACTAAAAATACAAAAATTAGCCAGGTGTGGTGGTGGGTGCCTGTAATCCCAGCTACTCGGGAGGCTGAGGCACGAGAATCACTTGAACCCGGGAGGTCGAGGTTGCAGTGAGTCAAGATTGCACCACTACACCCCAGCCTGGGCGACAGAGCAAAACTTTGTCTCAAACAACAAACAAAAAAGGTGGGGGACAGGCAGGGAGCCATAACTGGGAGAAGGTAGCAGCCTGGGGCCCCCATCTTTTCCCCCTTCCACTCCCAGGAAGCCCAGCCTCCCTGGGGCCCCAGACTGGCTGCTCCTGATCCACCCTTTCTCCCTCCCCAAACTCCTGCTGCTCCTTCCTCCTTCATGGGAGCTTTGTCTCCAGAGCCAGGACAGAGACATTTTTCATGCTTTGCCTTGTTTCCCTTTCGGCTCTCCTGTGGCCCGGACAGAGATTTATTCGCGGCCTGACACTCGCGGCATCCCAAGCAGGGAGGGCTCAGGGAGGCACTGATGGGCCCGTAATGGATGGGGCCGCCACTCCCCCAGGGCCTGGCCAGGCCCGAACCCCATCCATCAGGAGCAGCTCGGTGCCAAGGTCAACGCTAACGAGGCTGGCCCGGCTGGTTCCCCTCGGAGCCTCCCAGGTTGCATCGCACATGCTCTGCTCTGCCTTTGATTTTTCCAGAGCTGGGCCTCACCCGTGTCAGGGGAGGGGCACAGCGAAAGCCCTTCTGGGAGCCAACGCTGGAGTCCAGAGTCGGGAGTCCGGCTTGGTGCCTGGCCCGGCCGTGGGCCTCTTATCGCCTCTACAGCCTCCAGCTCACAACACAATCAGAGGGGCTGCTAGGGTGAGGTTGGTTTAGCTCTTTCCGGGACACGGAGGAGATGGTGCTGCTGTGAGCCAGCCGGCACCTCCCTGGCACTGCACGAAGAACCAGGCATCAAGCCCAACACATCAGCCCACATCCCACTGTGGCAAGGGACCCCGCAAGCAAAAGTAGTCACAGAATGAGCGCGTCATGCAGAGGAGCGGTGAGCCCAGCCAGGAGGAGCTGCAGGCAGGCCCTGATACATCCCGTCGGTGGCCAGATCATCTCATCGTGTGGAGGAACAGTGAGCTCACAGGACAGAGCTGCACGCTGGGCCCCATCAGTCCCGTCGGAGGCCAGATGGGAGTGGCTGTTCAAGCTAGAAACCGCTGGAGCCTTGCATTCGTTTTGATGAATAATAGTGCCAGTTTCCGGGGCTAGACACCATGCTGGGTGCCTCATACACATCAACTCAAGAGATCCCCAGACGGGCCCTAAGGTAGCAACTGACTCTCTTATCCCCATTTTATAGACAAGGAAACCAAGGCCCAGAGACACTTGTACACAGTCATGTGGTTGCAAAGGGGTCACGCTGGGATCTGATCTCAGAACCCACATTCGTTACCTCCGGCCTATGCTGAGAGTTCATTTAGTGCCCACCTGTGCTGGGCATTGTGGTGCTGGGTGTTTGGGATACAGAGAAAATAAAACACAAAACAAACCAATATGCAATCAGCAGGTATAACAGCAAGGCAGTGCATGCTGTTTCTAGTGGGCAGAGGACCCAGGAGAGAGGGCACAAGGGTACCTTCGGGTCTGCTGAGACTTGACTCTGACTCCCCCAAGCTAAACCTCCTTCAGTCCCCTGAACTCCCTCCCTCCCCACGTTTCTCTGGACTCACAGGTGCTTTTCCCTCTGCCAGGGATGCTCGTTCCCACCTTGCCTGGCGGAGGCCTCACCGTCCTTCAGACACTCCTGTGTCTCTTGCCTGGAGAGGCCACCCTGTGTGGCCACTGCCTGCAGACCTGAGCATCTCCCCCACCAGACTCAGTGGGGCGGGCCTGGTGTTGCCCACTCCTCCTTCCCCAGTGCCAAGCATGTGCCTGCCTGGAATGTTGTAGGTGCTCAGTAAACGCTTGTTGACTGACTGCGTGAGAGGGAACAGATTGCTCAAATGCAGTGCGTCCTGGATTTTGGGAACAGGCACTATTCTAGTGCCAAGAGCACATGAGACGGCCAACTCTTTCCCGGGCACGACTCTTGCAGGGCACTGAGCTTCAGCTACAGGAGCTGTTGAAAATCATCGTTTGTTAATTTCCTGGGGTTTCTGAAACAAATTACCACACGTTCAATGGCTTAAAATAACAAAAATGAAGCGGCCGCGCGGCGGCTCACGCCTGTCATCCCAGCACTGTGGGAGGCTGAGGCGGGCGGATCACGAGGTCAGGAGTTCGACACCAGCCTGACCAATATGGTGAAATCCCGTCTCTACCAAAGATACAAAAATTAGCTGGGTGTGGTGGCACACACCTGTCATCTCAGCTTCTTGGGAGGCTGAGGCAGGAGAATCACTTGAACCTGGGAGGCAGAGGTTGCAGTGAGCCAAGATCATGCCACTGCACTCCAGCCTGGGCAACAAAAGCAAAACTCTGTTTAAAAAAAAAAAAAGTAACAAAAATGGATCCTTTCCTAGCTCTGGAAGCCGGAAGTCTGAAATCAAGGTGTTGGCAGGGCCACGCTCCCTCTGCGGGCTCTAGGGGAGGGTCTCCGACCTCCTCCAGCTCCTGGTGGCCCCAGGTGTTCCTTGGCATCCCTTCAGCCACTGCTGCCTCAAACTTCACGTGGCTGTCTCTCCTGCATCTCTGTCTTCTCCTCTTCTGTCTCTTACAAAGATATTTATCATTGGGTTTAGGGCTCAGCCAAATATCCCCAGATGATCTTATCTCAAGATCTTTAATGTAATTACATCTGCAAAGACCTCTTTTCCAAATAAGGTCAAATTTACAGGCTGGAGGAGGGTTAGGATATGGACACATCTTTTGGTGGTGGAGGGGAGACCATTCAGCCCACTCTAATCATCGAAGCATCTTAACACAAATCAAGTCAGAGTGTCCTGCATTTTAGGTGTCGTTGGGTTTTGAGAAAACAATCTTTAGAATTATAATTTTACAATGGCTTCCCCTGGAGTCTTGCTACCTGTTGGCCCCTTATGTTTTTGTGAAAAATGCAGAAGGGGTTTGTAATCAGTCAAAAGATGATAGGTATAGGCCAGGCGTGGTGGCTTACACCTGTAATCCCAGCACTTTGGGAGGCCGAGGCGGGCAGATCACCTAAGGTCAGGAGTTTGAAACCAGCCTGGCCAACATGGCGAAACCTTGTCTCTACTAAAAATATAAAAATCAGCCAAGCGTGGTGGCAGGTGCCTGCAATCCCAGCTACTTGGGAGGCTGAGGCAGGAGAATCACTTGAACCTGGGAGGTGGAGGTTGCAGTGAGCTGAGATAGTGCCTCTGCACTCCAGCCTGGGTGACAAGGGTAAAACTCCATTTCAAATAAATAAATAGATAGAGATGATAGGTATAAATGCTTTTATGAGGAGCAGGTATTTTATTTTTTTAATTTAAAAAAAATTTTAATTTTTGTGGGCACATAGTGGGTGTATATGTTTATGGGGTACATGGGATGTTTCGATACTGGCATGTAATGCATAATAATCACATCGTGGAGAATGGGGTCTCCAGCTCCTCAAGCACACAATCCAATTCTACTCTTAGTTATTTTTAAATGTGCAATTAAGTTATTATTGACTCTAGTCAAGGGAGCAAAACATTTTAACCAATCCTTTCTTTTGTGTTTATTAGAAAACTTTCCAAACAAATAGAAAAGTTCAGAAGCAACATAACTAACTCCCGTGAACCCACTACCTGGATTTAGCACGCTAACCATCTGGCCGCTTTCGCTTCTGATCCTTTCCTTTAATATTGAAGAAATAAAACGTGTCAAACACAATCTGAGGCCCCTGTGCACACCTTCCTAGCCTCAGCCCCTCCCCGTCTTCCCTGAGGACCCTCCCGAGGTTGGAGCACGCATGCTTTCCACCCAGCGTGCCCAGTTTTGCTCTGTCGTTAGCGATCCATAAATCATAGGGACTACTGAGCGGGGTCCTGTGCCCTGGAAGTCACTCTGCACATGACTCGCTCATCTCATGACACACATTTGCAACATCACCCTGTCCCACTGTCTGAATCGTCCGCCACAGGTGTACCCATCTCTCTACTGCTAAGGTGTTTCTCGTGTCCCCCCATGACAAGGCCCCCACCGGCACCCTGGCACACCTGGTGCCCCTGTGCGAGGGTCCTCGGGGTTGATGTCCACGAGCAGAGCTGCTGGTTGGAATGAGACCTCCTCTGCCTGTGCCGACAACCCCAATTGTCCTTCCGGGTGCTGGCCCCATCTGCCCTCCCATCTTCTCAACTCTTTCTACCTCCTCTGTGTCATTGACCACGGGTGACTGTGAGGAGATGACCCTTCCCCTGTACCCCTGACCACAGATGACAGTGAGGAGATCTCCCTCCCGTGTCCCTGACCATGGGTGACAGTGAGATGACCCTTCCCCTGTGTCACTGAACACGGGTGACAGTGAGGAGATCCCCCCGTCTTGTGTCCCTGACCACAGGTGATGGTGAGATGACCCTTCACCTATATCCCTGAACACAGGTGACAGTGAGGAGATCCCCCTCCCCTGTGTCCCTGACCACGGGTGACAGTGAGGAGACGCCCCTTCCCTGTGTCATTGACCACGAGTGAGAGTGAGGGGACGCCCCCTTCCCTGTGTTATTGACCATGGTGACAGGAGACGCCCCTCCCCTGTGTCATTGACCACGGGTGATAGTGAGGAGATGCTCTGTCCTCCTGGTCAGGCAAAGGATGGGTATCAATGATCACCTTGGAAAAGGGGTAACTGAGGCCCACAGGTGAGGCTGTCCGCTGAGTTACACACACTTGTTGAGAATCCAGTCTCCTAACACCCAGTCTGTGGGGTCTGCCATCCTCACTACCTCCGGGCAGAGGTGCCCACCTGGGACTCACCTTTGCCCCCGGAGCCAGGATCCCCCTGCCCAGTCGGTTTCTGAGTGGCCTGGCGGATCTCCTGTTCTCAGCCCTTTCCATTTTGGCTTCACCGAGCGCTGCCTTCCTTGCCGCCTGCTGCCTGCACCGGTGCCGGAACTGCTAATTGAATTCATCCTTGTGAAAAGTGTTAACACGTTGCAAATGACCTCTCATTCAGATTTAGAAGTCAGGTGTGTGCCGCTAACCAAGCCTCCCGGCGTCATTAGCTTTTATGTTGGATCCACAAACAATTAAAAAGTAGCCACAAGCCCAGAGGTCCTCTTCTCTAATTAGTTCTAAGAGTCCTGCTAGGGAGACAGGCGGGGCCTCAGTTCCACCCCTCTTCCTAGAAGAAACAGGCCCTGGAGCCAAGGGGTGAATTAAGAAAAAGGCAATGAGGGGATGAGGGTGGGCCAAGGGGTGCAGCAGCCTCCGGGGCGCCAGAGCTCAGCCCCCCAGCCCGCCCCAGCTCTCTGCTGGGAGGACAGAAGTGCCGGGGGCCAGCAAGTGGAGGGTCCCCTGCCCGGGAAAGGCTCAGAGTTGGGACTCTCAAAGGGTGCCAGGGAACACGTGTGCCAGAACCACTTGGCGGGGGTGGGGGAGGCACCCTTGTTAAAATGCAGATTCCTTGCCACCACCCCATCCCCAGGCCCAGAAAGCCAGAATGTCTGGGGGTGGAAGGTGACATCTCTACTTTTACTAAGCTCTCTAGGTGATTCTTATTCACTCTTCAGACAGAGAACCCCGGCTCGACATTCTGAGGGAAGGAGAGACTGTGTCAAATGCAACTTCTTATTCAGGCGGAGGCCTGTGTCTTTGGGTCCAGGGCAGCTGGACCTGAGGGCTGACACCTCCCTCCCAGGGCTGCAGGAGGACTCTGGCACCCCTGGGCACACTTGCCTTCCTGTGTCCCTTCCTCTGTTTAAAAAAATCTATTTTATGGTTATGTTAGTATAAAGATGAATATAATCCAGGCTGAATTATTTTTATTTTTTTCTGATTTTAAAAGAAATTTAAATATTTTATGAGTCCCTAAAAGTGTCTTGGGCCCAGGCACGGGGCCTTCTCGGCCTGATGGGCGGGCTGGTCCTAGTTCTTCCTTTCAGGCCTCATTACTCCTTTCCCTCCTGGAAAGGAGGAATTCCCTCTTCTCTCTCCCCTCCTTGCCTCTCCTGGCACCCCTTTCTGCAGCGAGCAGAGATGAAGGCAGAGAGAGGATAGAGAACTTGCCTTGAAGCCTGAAGACTCGAGACTCAACACAGACCTCTCCCATTTCCATGGTGAGGAACTTTGAGAAGGCCACACACTCTCCAGGGCCTCCGTTTCTCCGTCGGTCAGTGGGATTAACACTCCTTCCACTACAGGAAAAAAATTGTGTCAAATCCATCAGTGAATAGTTCCTTGGGCTCTTGGGAAGAGAGAGAGGCACCAAGTATTTTTGTTGTTTAATTGGCGTAGAACCAGGGTTACAAATTCATGAGCCTGCAGAGGCCTGGCAGATAAAAGGGGAGGCTGGCCCTGTGTAAGGCTATAGGGAGTGGTGGGGACTGCAGCAAACTGGGGCACATACCTGGTCTAAAGTTGGCAGCTCCAGCCAGTTGTGGACACATAGGAATGTGTACCAGTGTTACCAGATCATCTAACATCTCAGTAAACAAAGCCAGGCATTTGGACTTTTATGTGAATCTTCTGATTTTTAAAAAAATATATATTGGTTACTTAAGATTTCAAAATGCTACAGGCCAAACTAAGCATGTCTGCAGGCCAGACCTGGCCTAGAGTCTGCTATTTGCAACCATTTTAGGGCAGTAGTCACCCAACGCTGATCCTGAGTGAGTTATTTAATCTTGTTGAACTCCAGTTTATTTATACAAAAAGTGGGGCTGACATAATAGTAGTTCCTGTCTAGTAGGTTTCTTGTCGGGATGAAATGATGCGGTCCCTGGAACTTGAGTGCAGTGTGGAAGGGAGGTGGGTGTGGTTCCAAAGGACAAGAGGAGAGAGCTTGTGGGAATGGAATGTTCTGTGTCTTGACTATGGTGGTGGATACATAAAACAACACATGATTAAACCACACAGAAATACACACACACACACACACACACACACACACACGAGTATGGGCGAAATCAGGGAAATCTGAATGACGTTGTTGGACTGTATCAATGCCATTATCCTGGCTGTGATTTTATTCTACAGTTACCATTGGGGGAAACTGGGTAAGGGGCACGTGGGATCTCTCTGCATCATTTCGTACAAACTGCAAGTGAATCTACAATGATCTCCATAAAAGTTTCAGTTTAAAAAAAAATAGATTTAGTGGTAGCTTTGGTACCCACGGGCAATGTTATAATCGCTTGTTAGAAAAAAACCACGGTGAAACTGTAGGCACAAGCAAAGTGCTCAGTAAACAGCCATGGAAGTCACTTGACAGTCGGACAGCCACGTCATTCAGGAAGCCCTGGGTGCCAAGGAAAAAGGGAGACACCCCAGCCCTGCAGCACGCAGCTCGGGGCTGTGTGAGAACACGAGGGCGGTCTTCAGAAACCCCATCCGGCAGGTGGAGAGGGTGGATCTCCCTAGACGGCTCCACTTCTGGGTGTCCCTCATGGATCGGGTGTCGATTTCGTATCGTGGAGAGAAGCCCAGCCCTCCAGCCTTCTCCCTCCTCCCAAACCAGCCATCTACGGTCTCAGGCCCAGCCTCAGAGGCCACCATCCGCCCCTCCGTCCCTTCTCAGCTGCGAGGGTGCCAGCAACTCCCCGGCCCCCGGGAGCAGCAGACTGCTGGCATATTAGAGATGGATTTTAATTTTATTTTAACAAAATAGCTGTCTCCACTGGAAGAAGCATCAAGAGCCAAATAAGGACCCGTCTTGAGTGGAATCACGTTGAACAGACCTCGGCGCTGTCATTGATTTTCCAGGAAGAAAAAAATCGCCTCTGGCTACTAAACCGAATTAGTAGTCACTGATGACCAATTATTTTAGCCTGCTGTGAACGGAGAGCCGTACTAAAATCCAGTTTGTCAGACCCAAGTCTCCCTTCTGAAACACCTTTCAACAAATGTGTACCTAAAGTCCCTCAGAAGGCTCCTCCAGCTTCCTCTCTTCCGCCAAGTTCTCCAGCTCCACAAAGTTTTAATGAGCAGCGAAGATGAAGATGGGTTGCCATGAAAGGGCCCCTCTAATCCACAGAGCACTCCTGGCAGAGCGGAGCCGCACCGGCAAATCAGAGCTGTCAGCCCTCATCCCCCGCACACACAAAGTGTCAGCCTAATGTTTGCAAATGATAATTTCCATTTCCCCTGCACATCCCCTGTGCCTGCATCGGAGATCAACCCCTGGTCTGGGGTATCAATCGCGGAGCAGTCAGGATGGGTTTGATGGAACTAATTTGAAGTTTCTGGGAGGCCTATCCCAAGTAGGAGCTGATTTCATTTCATTCCCCCTTTTTCGCTTTATGGGACTGAGTTTTGACCCGGTTTTGTTGCTAGTGGGCGCGTCCGGTGGTGAGAAACTTTTCTGGGGGGTTCCTGCCAGGTTATCAGCAAATAATTTGTCGAAGCTCTTAGCAGGGGCCCTGTCATCACGACACAGGCTGTTCAGGAGTCCACAGGCAAGCCCAAAGCCCGGCTTTCCAAACAGTAGAAACAGCAGCTTGGAAGCCCTCACAGCCCGAGTGTGAGGGCCTGAGACCCCTGGATGGGGCCCAGCGTGGAAGTCAGGACAAATCGGACTCCTTTGTGTAGGGGAAACACTCACTCAGAAGTCCAGGCAAGCAAACTGCCAACAAGCACAGCTTGACCAAGCTACCTCCACCTGGACGAGATGACTGGATCATTCAGACCCGCCTTGGAGCCGCTCAGCACACAGCTTAACCATTAGGGGCAAAAAGCCTCAGGGCCAGGGGAACCCGGATTCGGATCCTGGCTCTCCTGTCTGGCTACTCTGCATCCCTGAGCATCACACGGGCAACTCGCTCCATTTCTCTGAGCCTCAATTTCCCCTTCTGAAAGCCAGGAGTCTCCATCCTCCCTTCCAGAATTGTGAGGACTCGGTGAGCTTTGCACGTGGAGGGCTTGGTATAGAAAGTGCTCGTTAGGATGGGAGGCATTTGGAATCGCTCTTATTCTTCAGGGTGGATCAGGCCCATCTCCAGCTGGCGGTCCTGCCTGTGTTCACCCTGTTCCCTGTCTGGAGCTCTCCTGCCCGGCCACCTTCCACCCATCCCCAGAGATCTGTCCAAAGCCTCAGAGGAGATGTCCCTCATCCAACCCACTTGCTGGATTAACCTTTCTCTCCTCTGAGCTCCGGCCACACTGCAGGTGGCTGTCTACACTGGCATTGGCCCTTGGCACTGCAGGGCGATAGGGCTGCAGCGTGGCTACCCCCACAGGCTTACGATTCGAATGACTACTGCGTGGTCTTGAGCAAGACAGTGGCGTTCCCTGGGCCTCAGATTTCTCATCTGTAAAGTGAGGATATTGATATCAGTCTCTCGAGTTGTTGTCCCAAGGATTGAGGAGGCAGGCAGGGAGTGTGAGCTGTGAGGATGGTTATTTCTGCTGTATGCTCTGTGACCCCAGAGGGCAGGGAGCCACCCCCATGTTCAGACATACCATTAATGCTCCTAGATGGTCCGGATGGGTGGATGGATAGGTGGGTGGGTGGGTGAATGAATGGATGGATGGATGGGTGGGTGGGTAGGTGAGTGGGTGGATGGTTGGGTGGATGGATGGATAGGTGGATGGATGAGTGAGTGGGTGGGTGGATGGATGGGTGGATGGATGAATGGATGGATGGGTGGGTGAATGAATGGATGGATGGATGGGTGGGTGGGCAAGTGGGTGGATGGTTGGGTGGATGGATGGATAGGTGGATGGATGGGTGGGCGGGTGGGTAGATGGATGGATGGATGAGTGGGTGGGTGGATGCATGGATGGATGGGTGGGTGGGTAGATGGATGGATGGATGAGTGGGTGGGTGGATGCATGGATGGGTGGGTGGGTGGGTAGATGGATGGATGGATGGGTGGGTAGATGGATGAATGGATGGATGGATGGATAGATGGATGGATGGATGGATGGATGGATGGATGGATGGATGGATGGTTGGGTGGGTAGGTGGATGGGCAGATGGATGGATGGATGGATGGATGGATGGATGGATGGATGAGTGGGTGGGTGGATGGGTGGGTGGGTGGGTAGATGGATGAATGGATGGGTGGATGGATGGATGGATGGGTGGATGGATGGATGGATGGGTGGATAGATGGATGGATGGATGGATGGATGAATGGGTGGGTGGATGGATGGATGGATGGATGGATGGATGGATGGGTGGGTGGGTGGATGAATGGATGGATGGATGGATGGATAGGTGGATGGATGGGTGGGTGGATGGGAGGATGGGTGGATGGATGGATGAACGGGTGGGTGGATGGGTGGATGGATGGACTAACGAACGAGTGAACGTAGAGTTGAGATCTCATTCATGAGGTGCACTGCCCTTCTGCTGTCCCCTTCCTCCCCCTGAAATGTCCTTGGGCCCTCAAATCCTGTACCATTCCCCCTCCCCCAGGTTAATCCACTCTGCTACACCGCAACAGTGTCTGGCATCATGCCCCCTCCCCTCTCCTCTCACTCAGAAACCATCTCTAGTACATTCATAAAGCCTTTCCTCTGCTATAACTCCTGCCTCAGCCATTTACTCCTCAATCTTGTCTTTTTAGTTTTTCTTTTGAAACAGCCTTATTGAGGTGTAATTTCCAGACAATACAATGATCCATGCACAATTTGATGAGTTTTGACAAATTTATACACCTGGGTATCCAATGAAGATATAGTACATTTCCAGGCCAGGCACAGCAGCTCACACCTGTAATCCCAGGACTTCAGGAGGCCAAGGTGGGAAGATTGCTTGAGGCCAGGTGTTCAATACCAGCCTGGGCAACATAGTGAGACTCCCACCTCTACAAAAATTTAAAAATTAGCCAGTTACGGTGGTGAGTGTTGTAGTCCCAGCTACTCAGGAGGCTGAGGCGAGAGGATTGCTTGAGTCTGGGAGATTAAAGCTGCAGTGAGCTAGGATCGCACCACCGCACACCAGCCAGTTTCTAAATAAATAAATTAATTAAAAGATACAGAACATTTCCATATCCCAGAAGTCTCTCATGTCCCTTCTCAGTCAGTGCCTTCCCCTGCCTCCAGGAGGATCCCCAGCCCTCACCAAGCTCCTGGCCTCAGGTCCGGTGTGGACCTGACCCAATTCCTTCTGCCCCCTGGCCCAGGAGCCCCTCCCCAGACACTGGCGCAGGGCCAGCCCTCCATTCCTCTCTCCCTGGGCTCTGAAGAGCCTCGAAGGCCAGGAGGGCCGTGCTGCCTAGGAGCAGCCCGCAGTCCTCCATCCCTACCCCACTGCCTGGGCAGACCCTTTCAGTATCACACAGAAGCACAGATGTTCCCAAGCCTGAATTACTTCTGAACACAGTCCTGAAGATTCATAAGGAACAGGTCTGAGAGCAGCAGATCTCCCTGGCTCCTCCAGCCTGTCCTCGGCTTCAGGAACCTCCTCTCATTCGTCTTCAGGAAGGGGTTGCTTCCATGGCGTCTGCCGGCCTGGCCGGGCTCTCTGTTCTCCAGGGCAGTGAGGATACAGGATCGGCCCTGACATGCCGACTTAATGGCTGATCTTCCCATGAGAGAGAGAGAAGGGAATCAAGAGGCCACGTGTCCTCGGTGCTTGCACCCGTCCTGAAGGATATCGGGGCCACCCCACCCCCATCACTAGGTTCCCCAAGGAAAAGCCCATTTCTTCCAAAGACCTCCTCCTGGGCATTGCAGTTGAGGCCACATGTCCTCAGGAAAGGAGTTTCCAAAGGCTTCCAGAGTCACTCAGCTTCTCTACTGAGTGCAGACGGTCCAGGCCTGGAGATTTGGAGAGGACAACCCAGCACCATCCCTGCTCCGTGGAGCTCAGAGCCTGGTGGGAAAGGTGGACCCTGAGCCGACTATTATAAAGAACTTCAAACACCTCGCATGTGCAAAGTGCAGGCATGGCAGAGTGGGCAGAGCTAAGGGAGGTCTCGAGAGGTGTCCGCCAGGCGAAGGAGAGGAGTCCAGGAAGAAGTATGGGAGGACTCTGCATTTGGGAGGGGGTAGGAGAGGGACTGAGCTGGAGACCCTCGAGAATCATGCACTCCCAGGGGCAATGGGAAGCCACTGGTTGTGCTGAGAAAGACAGAAATAGACTTGCTTTTTTTTTTTTTTTTTTTTTTGAGATGAAGTCTCACTCTGTCACCCAGGCTGGAGTATAGTGGCAAAATCTCAGCTCACTGCAACCTCTGCCTCCCGGGTTCAAGCGACTCCCCTGCCTCAGCCTCCCAAGTAGACTACAGGTGCACGCCACCATGCCGAACTAATTTTTGCATTCTTAGTAGACACAGGGTTTCACCTTTTTGGCTAGGCTGGTCTTGAACTCCTGACCTCAAGTGACCCACCTGCCTCGGCCTCCCAAAGTGGTGGGATTACAGGCGTGAGCCACTACACCCGGCCCCAGACTTGCATTTTTTTAAAAAGCCCTGGCTCCTATGAGGAGCAGGGGGCCAGGGGATGGGGGCTGTTGCAGGGTCCAAGGACAAAGGACGGTGTCTGGGAAAGTCTGGGGTCCTATATGAAAATAGCCAGGGCCCCTGGACTTGGCCTCTATGTGCACCTGGCTTGCTGGGCAGTGTTGTTCAGCCTTAACTGCCCTCTCTTTTGTGAAAATTGATTCAAATTCTCTTGGCTGAAGACACTGCAGCCGGAAGGGTGGGAGTCCAGGCTTTGCTACTGGAGTGTGCTGTGTGACCCTGGGCAAGCCATTTGACCTCTCTGGGCTTCGCTTCCCATTCCTACCTTTTCCATGCTCATTTAGTGAGGATAAATAATTAAGATCCTCCATGTGAACCCCTCCAGCGCCTCAAAAGAATGGACGGCTGTAATTGTTACCACAGGGGCTCTCCGCCTGGGGCAAAAATCGTTCATTTTGGGGGTGGGAAAAATGCCTATATTTTACCATAAAGAACTACATTTACTTAAAAAACTGAACGTGTTGTAAGGAAGCATCAAAAAATGGTTATGGAAGACAACAGGAAAAACAGCTCCTAAAACTGCATTCTTGAAAGGTCAAGTACACAGGGAAATGCTAGATGTCCCCAGTGCATGGTGGGGTAGGGCTGGGTTCTGCCCATGGCTCCAGGAAGGCAGGATCACCCCCGGGTGCTTTGTGGTGGAAAACAAACGGCCTGGAGAGTTCTGATCTGATGTTCGGTGTGGACCTGTGCATGGTAGGCGGAGCTGGGAATGTGTCCTGACCCCGAGTCTGGGGACCGGAATTCATCACCCTCACCACCGGCCACGCGGCCTCAGCCAACTCTCAGGAGTCCTTTTCTTTCCTTTTTTTCCTCTATTCTTTGCAAAAGGATCATATACAACCACTAAGTAAGCTGAAATATGAAAGTCTTCCTTACCCCATCCCTAGTTCTGCTCCCCTGCCTCGGGCCTCGCTGTGGACATCACTGGTAGGCTTCTTTCTTCTTTCTTTTTTTTTTTTTTTTTGAGACAGGGTTTCACTCTGTTGTCCAGGCTGGAGTGCAGTGGCATGATCTCTGTTCACTGTAACCTCCGTCTTCCGGGTTCAAGCAATTCTCCTGCCTCAGCCTCCTGAATAGCTGGGATTACAGGCACCTGCCACCATGCCCGGTTAATTTTTGTATTTTTTAGTAGAGACAGGGTTTCGCCACATTGGCCAGGCTGGTCTGGAACTCCTGACCTCAAGTGATCCACCTGCCTCAGCCTCCCAAAGTGCTGGGATTACAGATATGAGCCACTGCGCCCGACCTTCCAGTCTTTTTTTCATCCACCCACGTTTGTGCAGAGGCACCTGTACTGTATGTCTCCTCCCCTGACTTCTTGTTTTACACATGATGTGTCTCAGGGATCTCTCTGGCTCATTACACACACAGCCACTTCATTCTTTTTGGCAGCTGCATAATATTTCATCATGAAGGCCGTCGCTTTTACAAATGTGACCAGCTCAGTGAACAACTGGGAGGCACAGGGGGGTCCGAGAACACCTGAGCCCTGACTGAGAGGCCTGTTCACACCTGCTCTAAGGGTTGACTTCTTTCCCGGTCCCTTAGGTGAAACCTCAGGCTTCCTCGGCTTTTCTGGTCACTTCTAATTACAAAAAGCAATCTCCATGCTCTAATTAATATGCCCAGGCTCGGGTATCATCAATACTCCCAATTTCATTGGAAGATGAATTTCTTTCCTCCCCTGGCTGGCTGCTTGGTGAGAAATGGCAGGGAGTGAGCTGCATCCATGTGTCTGGTTTCTGCCCCGCCACCCCCACTCCCAGGCTCCAGGATGAATGCAAGATATTACAAGGGGCCTTTGCTGTTAATGCATTAGCCTATTTGATTTGGTGCTATTATACATAGCATCCTTTTTTAAATTTTCTAATTTTTTTTAGAGACAAGGTCTTGCCATGCTGCCCAGGCTGGTCTTGAACTCCTGAGCTCAAGAGATCCACCCATCTTGGCCTCCCAAAGTGCTGGGATTGCAGGCATGAGCCACTGCGCCCAACCTATTTTACTTAGTATTCTTTGATTTGTGTTTATAAGTGAGACTGACCAGTAGTGTGTATATTCTCCTTGTCTCGGTTTGTGATCATAAAATGATTTGGGAAGCTGTTTTAGAAAAAGTTGTGGAAAGTTCTGGAATAGTTTCTATAGGACAATTGGGAGAGCTTGTGTGTAAAAGTACCCGGGGTCAGGCACTGTGGTTCATGCCTGCAATCCCAGCACTTTGGGAGGCCAAGGCGGGCGGATCACTTGAGGTCAGGAGTTTGGATCAGCCTGGCCAACATGGCGAAACCCTGTCTCTACTAAAAAAAAAATACATAAATACAAAAATTAGCCAGGCGTGGCAGCGTGAGCCTGTAATCTCAGCTACTCAGGAGGCTGAGGCAGGAGAATCACTTGAACCTGGGAGGCGGAGGTTTCAGTGAGCAGGAATTGTGCCACTGCACTTCATCCTGGCCAATAGAGCAAGGCTCTGTCTCAAAAAAAAAAAAATTAATTGACACGTGCCATATTTATTTATTTATTTATTTATTGAGGCAGAGTCTCGCTCTGTCGCCCAGGCTGGAGTGCAGTGGCGTGATCTCGGCTCACTGCAAGCTCCGCCTCCCGGGTTCACACCATTCTCCTGCGTCAGCCTCCCAAGTAGCTGGGACTACAGGCGCCCGCCACCACGCCCAGCTAATTTTTTGTATTTTTAGTAGAGACGGGGTTTCACAGTGTTAGCTACGATGGTCTCGATCTCCTGACCTCATGATCCTCCCGCCTTGGCCTTCCAAAGTGCTGGGATTACAGGCGTGAGCCACTGTACCCGGCCGACACACCCCATATTTATTTTTACCCTATATTTTTTGGCCCTATACTCTTCGATTACCTCTTTATGTGATAGTAATTTTTTTTTTTTTTTGAGATGGAGCCTCATTGTGACGCCCAGGTTGGAGTGCAATGGCACAATCTCAGCTCACTGCAACCTCCGCTTCCCGAGTTCAAGCGGTTCTCCTGCGTCAGCCTCCTGAGTAGCCGGGACTACAGGCATGCGCCACCACGCCTGGCTGATTTTTGTGTTTTTAGTAGAGACCGGGTTTCACCATATTGGCCAGACTTCTCTTGAACTCCTGACATCAAGTGATCCACCCGCGTTGGCCTCCTAAAGTGCTGGGATTACAGGTGTGAGCCACCACGCTCGGCCCCAGTATGATAGTAATTTTAAAATATTTTTCTATAAAAGTATAAAGCTATTTCAGTCTTTCCACTAGCATGCTTGATTGCATTTAAAAAAAATTTTACTTTGAGATGATTATAAATTCACAGAAAGTTTTAAAGAGAAAGTTTGTACAGAGAAAACCCACGTCCTCTTCACCCAGTTCCCCACAATGACAAAATTTCACATAACTAGATTGCAAAATGAAAACCAAAAACTTGACATTGGTACTATGCACAGATTCCATTCAGCTGCCAATTTTATATGCCCTCATCTGCATGTGGGCATGTGTGTATGTGTGTGTGTGTGTGATGTATTTAGTTCTTGCAGTTTTATCACATGTGTAGATTTGTGTGACACAATCAAGACACAAAACTGTTCTGTCATCCAAAGATCTTCCTCACACCCCCTATAGTGAACCCTGCTTCCCTCTATTTCCCAATGCCTGGAAAATTTCAAGAATGTTAAATATATGGAATCACACAGCGTGTAACCTTTTGAGGTTGGCCTTTTTTGCTCTGCATAAGGCCTAGAGTTCATCTGAGATGTTGCATGTAGGGAGAGTTCATTCTTTTTCGTTGCTGAGTGGTATTCCATGGTATGGATGGAATTGGATGTTCTTCTGATCTATAGCTTGTCTTTTCATCCTCTCCTTTTCATTCATTCATTGAAGGATGTTTTTGTTTTCCAGTTTTGCACTGTTACAGCTAAAGCCGCTATGTATTCTTCAATTACATCTTTAAATAAAAAAAAATTAAACAAATAATCAAGTAAAGCTGCTATGAACATTTGTGAATAAGTTTTTAGGTCAACCTAAGCTTTCATTTCTCTGGAATAAATGCCCAGGAGAGCAATTGCCGGGCCATCTGGTAAGTATGTGTTTAGTTTTTTTTTTGTTTTTTTATTTTTATTTTTTGAGATGGAGTCTCACTCTGTTGCCCAGGCTGGAGTGCAGTGGTGCGATCTCGGCTCACTGCAACCTCCGCCTCCCGGGTTCATGCCATTCTCCTGCCTCAGCCTCCTGAGTAGCTGGGACTACAGGTGCCCGCCACCACGCCTGGCTAATTTTTTTTTGTATTTTTAGTAGAGACGGGGTTTCACCGTGTTAGCCAGGATGGTCTCGATCTCCTGACTTCGTGATCCGTCCGCCTCGGCCTCCCAAAATGCTGGGATTACAGGCATGAGCCACAGCGCCCGACCGGCAGTTTCTTAAAAAAAAACTAAACACCAGGAGCTGGTTTTTTGAAAGGATCAACAAAATTGATAGACAGCTAGCAAGACTAATAAAGAAAAAAAGAGAGAAGAATCAAATAGACACAATAAAAAATGATAAAGGGGATATCACCACCGATCCCACAGAAATACAAACTACCATCAGAGAATACTACAAACACCTCTACGCAAATAAACTAGAAAATCTAGAAGAAATGGATACATTCCTCGACACATACACTCTCCCAAGACTAAACCAGGAAGAAGTTGAATCTCTGAATAGACCAATAACAGGCTCTGAAATTGTGGCAATAATCAATAGTTTACCAACCAAAAAGAGTCCAGGACCAGATGGATTCACAGCCGAATTCTACCAGAGGTACAAGGAGGAACTGGTACCATTCCTTCTGAAACTATTCCAATCAATAGAAAAAGAGGGAATCCTCCCTAACTCATTTTATGAGGCCAGCATCATTCTGATACCAAAGCCGGGCAGAGACACAACCAAAAAAGAGAATTTTAGACCAATATCCTTGATGAACATTGATGCAAAAATCCTCAATAAAATACTGGCAAACCGAATCCAGCAGCACATCAAAAAGCTTATCCACCATGATCAAGTGGGCTTCATCCCTGGGATGCAAGGCTGGTTCAATATACGCAAATCAATAAATGTAATCCAGCATATAAACAGAGCCAAAGACAAAAACCACATGATTATCTCAATAGATGCAGAAAAAGCCTTTGACAAAATTCAACAACCCTTCATGCTAAAAACTCTCAATAAATTAGGTATTGATGGGACGTATTTCAAAATAATAAGAGCTATCTATGACAAACCCACAGCCAATATCATACTGAATGGGCAAAAACTGGAAGCATTCCCTTTGAAAACTGGCACAAGACAGGGATGCCCTCTCTCACCGCTCCTATTCAACATAGTGTTGGAAGTTCTGGCCAGGGCAATCAGGCAGGAGAAGGAAATAAAGGGTATTCAATTAGGAAAAGAGGAAGTCAAATTGTCCCTGTTTGCAGACGACATGATTGTTTATCTAGAAAACCCCATCGTCTCAGCCCAAAATCTCCTTAAGCTGATAAGCAACTTCAGCAAAGTCTCAGGATACAAAATCAATGTACAAAAATCACAAGCATTCTTATACACCAACAACAGACAAACAGAGAGCCAAATCATGAGTGAACTCCCATTCACAATTGCTTCAAAGAGAATAAAATACCTAGGAATCCAACTTACAAGGGATGTGAAGGACCTCTTCAAGGAGAACTACAAACCACTGCTCAAGGAAATAAAAGAGGACACAAACAAATGGAAGAACATTCCATGCTCATGGGTAGGAAGAATCAATATCGTGAAAATGGCCATACTGCCCAAGGTAATTTACAGATTCAATGCCATCCCCATCAAGCTACCAATGACTTTCTTCACAGAATTGGAAAAAACTACTTTAAAGTTCATATGGAACCAAAAAAGAGCCCGCATCGCCAAGTCAATCCTAAGCCAAAAGAACAAAGCTGGAGGCATCACACTACCTGACTTCAAACTATACTACAAGGCTACAGTAACCAAAACAGCCTGGTACTGGTACCAAAACAGAGATATAGATCAATGGAACAGAACAGAGCCCTCAGAAATAATGCCGCATATCTACAACTATCTGATCTTTGACAAACCTGAGAAAAACAAGCAATGGGGAAAGGATTCCCTATTTAATAAACGGTGCTGGGAAAACTGGCTAGCCATATGTAGAAAGCTGAAACTGGATCCCTTCCTTACACCTTATACAAAAATCAATTCAAGATGGATTAAAGATTTAAATGTTAGACCTAAAACCATAAAAACCCTAGAAGAAAACCTAGGCATTACCATTCAGGACATAGGCGTGGGCAAGGTCTTCATGTCCAAAACACCAAAAGCATTGGCAACAAAAGCCAAAATTGACAAATGGGATCTAATTAAACTAAACAGCTTCTGCACAGCAAAAGAAACTACCATCAGAGTGAACAGGCAACCTACAACATGGGAGAAAATTTTCGCAACCTACTCATCTGACAAAGGGCTAATATCCAGAATCTACAATGAACTCAAACAAATTTACAAGAAAAAAACAAACAACCCCATCAAAAAGTGGGCGAAGGACATGAACAGACACTTCTCAAAAGAAGACATTTATGCAGCCAAAAAACACATGAAGAAATGCTCATCATCACTGGCCATCAGAGAAATGCAAATCAAAACCACGATGAGATATCATCTCACACCAGTTAGAATGGCAATCATTAAAAAGTCAGGAAACAACAGGTGCTGGAGAGGATGTGGAGAAATAGGAACACTTTTACACTGTTGGTGGGACTGTAAACTAGTTCAACCATTGTGGAAGTCAGTGTGGCGATTCCTCAGGGATCTAGAACTAGAAATACCATTTGACCCAGCCATCCCATTACTGGGTATATACCCAAAGGACTATAAATCATGCTGCTATAAAGACACATGCACACGTATGTTTATTGCGGCACTATTCACAATAGCAAAGACTTGGAACCAACCCAAATGTCCAACAATGATAGACTGGATTAAGAAAATGTGGCACATATACGCCATGGAATACTATGCAGCCATAAAAAATGATGAGTTCATGTCCTTTGTAGGGACATGGATGAAATTGGAAACCATCATTCTCAGTAAACTATTGCAAGAACAAAAAACCAAACACCGCATATTCTCACTCATAGGTGGGAATTGAACAATGAGATCACATGGACACAGGAAGGGGAATATCACACTCTGGGGACTGTCATGGGGTCGGGGGAGGGGGGAGGGATAGCATTGGGAGATATACCTAATGCTAAATGACACGTTAGTGGGTGCAGCGCACCAGCATGGCACATGTATACATATGTAACTAAACTGCACAATGTGCACATGTACCCTAAAACTTAGAGTATAATAAAAAAAAAAAACAAAAAAAAAACTAAACACATACTTGGCCGGGCACGGTGGCTCACGCCTGTAATCCCAGCATTTTGGGAGGCCGAGGCGGACGGATCACGAGGTCAGGAGATCGAGACCATCCTGGCTAACACGGTGAAACCCCGTCTCTACTAAAAATGCAAAATATTAGCTGGGCGTGGTGGCAGGCACCTGTAATCCCAGCTACTCGGGAGGCTGACACAGGAGAGTTGCTTGAACCCGGGAGGCAGAGGTTGCAGTGAGCCAAGGTCGCACCACTGCACTCCAGCCTGGCAACAGACCAAGACTCTGTCTCAAAAAAAAAAAAAGAAAAGAAAAGAAAAGAAAAAGAAACTGCCAAACAGTTTTCCGGAGTGGCTGTGCCATTTTCCATCCTCACCAGCAGTGCATGGGAGCTGTAGTTTCTGTGCATCCTCATTTGGTAGTGTCATTATGCCCTCTTATTTTAGCTGTACTAATGGGGGCATAGTGATATCATAGTCTTCATTTGCATTTCTCTAATGGCTACAGATGTTGACTATTCTTTCATGTGTTTGTTTGCCATCCATATATTCTCTTTGATGAAATATCTCTTCATGTCTTTTGCCTCTTTTCTTTCTTTCTTTTCTTTTTTTTTTTTTTTTTTTTTGGTTTTTGTAGAGAGGGTTTTGCCATCAAACTCTTGGGCTCAAGGAATCCTCCCACCTTGGACTCTCAACATGGGGGGATTACAGGCCTGAGCCACCGGGCTAGGCTTTGCCAATTTTCTTTTTTTTTTTTTGAGACGGAGTCTCTCTCTCTCTGTCACCCATCCTGGAGTGCAGTGGTGCAATCTCGGCTCACTGCAACTTCCACCTCCCAGGTTCAAGCGATTCTTGTGTCTCAGCCTCTTGATTAGCTGGGATTACAAGCACCCGCCACCATGCCCAGCTAATTTTGTATTTTTAGTAGAGACGAGGTTTCACCATGTTGGCCAGGCTGGTCTCGAACTCCTGACCTCAGGTGATCTGCCCCCCTCGGCCTCCCAAACTGCTGAGATTACAGGCGTGAGCCATCATGCCTGGCCATCAGTTTTCTAATGGGATTGTTTGGGGGTTTTTTGGTTTTGATTTGTTTTGTTTTACTGTTGAGTTTTGAGAGTTTTTTATTCTAGATACGAGTCCTTTGCCAGATACATGGTTTACAGATGTGTTCTCCCTGTCTATAGCTTGCCTCTCCATCCTCTGAACCGGATCTCCCACAGAGCAAACGTTTTTAATTCTGAGGAAGCCCAATTTATCAGTTTTTTTCTTTCATGGGTTATATTTTTGGTGTTGAGTCTAAGAAACTCTTTACGTAGCCTTAGATCCCAAACATTTTCTCCTATGTTTTCTTCTAGAAGTTGTATAGTTTAATGTTTTGTATTTAAATCTGTGAACCATTTGAGTTAATTCTTGTATCAGGTGTGAGACTTAGGTTGAGTTTGTTATGTTTGTTTGCTTTGTTGTTTATTTTGTCCAAGATATCCAAGGCTCCAGCACCATTTGTTGAAAAGACTATCCTTCCTCCATTGAATTGCAATCTCCCTCCATTTGCTTCTTTTGGTTTATTATAACTCACATATAGCCCAATTTACAATATCCTGAATTATGAAAAGTTTATCTCCTAAAATTCTGCCTAGCCTTTCTCTCTGTCTCCTTCCCCCCTTCCCTCCCGCCATGTGTCCTCTCTTTCTCTCTCAGTCTTTTTCAACAAGAAATAATTACTGAGAGCAGCACTGTGCCAGTTCACACCAGATATAAACCATACCCGCCCTCGTGATGTTGGTGGCCAATGGCCAAGACCTGCTGTAAATCAGCAAACAAACCAATGAATGAGCGCCCCCCGCGTGGGAGGGCGCCGGACCAGGGCTGTCCTAGGATGGTTGGGGAGGAGCCCTCTGGGGAGGTGGCCTCACTACTGGGACCCGAAGGCAAAGGGGAAGCTGAGTGTGTGCTGAGCGAGAGAAAGAGGATTCCAGGGCTTGGAAGACGAGGTGGGGGATGGCATGAATGTCAGGAAGGAGCTGGAGAAGGAGGCAGGAGCCGCTGGAAGGGACCTGCGGCCCGGGCAATGAGTCTGGGCTTAGGCTAAGACATGGGGGGGGGGGCATGGAAGGCATTTTAAGCAAGGGGTGATATGATCTGACTTATGTCCTAGGTTCTCCCCATGTCAAACCAGCTTCTCCACCTTTGTATCCAAGGTAATGCGCCCCAGCAGAAGGGGCACAGCCTGCCGGTCTCCTTCAGAGAACCCAGGCTGGGGCCGTTGGGACTCCCAGGGTTTGTCGGTTACTCTCATGCCCCAAGCCCCTTTCCCAGTAATAAGAGCTGCTGGCCGGAGCTAGACATGAGGATGTCAGCCGAGCCCGCAGGAGGGCTGAGGGTGCCTTTGTGGTGGCGATGGATGTACCGGGGACTGCTGAGAAGAGAGCTTTTCTGTTGTGAACGGTCTCTTGGGGTAGATATTTTCAGATTATGAATCTAGTGTCATTAGAAAACACAGCTATAAATTAGGCTGCTCAGAAGCATGGGGTGTGTAATAATTAAGTAATAAAAGTCACCGCAGGGGTAAAAGAACTGGAAAACAAAGAACCACCGTTTGTAGCAGCACCACAGGCTGCTGTGTGAAGGACCTCTGCGCAGGGGCGGCAGCTGGAAGCTGCTGAACCTTTGCTCAGACAGAATCCCAGCTCAGCCCCGGCCCAAAGAGAGCTGCGTGGAGGGGAGGCAGACTGGCCTCGGAGCACGGCCAGGACCCAGGGAGTGGATATTTAGGGTCTGGTTTAGCTCTGCAGCTGTCTCTGGGCCATAAGCTGAAACACGTGGAGGAGCCCGGCAGAGAGCGGAGCCAGCCTGATAGGGCGATAGGGCAGGGTGAGGCCTGGGGCGGAAGGGGAACTTTTACTCAGCGCCGGCCAATTGCTGCAGCCAGGAGTGCAGTCCAGCATGGGCAGAACTTACAAATGTCAACACACTCCAGGAAGTTGTTTTTTGAATGGAAAAAATTTTAAGTGTTGACAATGATTTCAAAGTTTAAGACCACCACGCAGGCCACATAAAACGCAGAGTGAGAGGCTCGAGGTCTGCCATCTCTGGTCCTGAGCTGTGTGACCCTGGGAGACGCTTCCCCTCTCAGCACCTCCATTTCCTCATTCTTTTTTCTGTGAAATTAAGTCACAGGGTAAGTTCTGAGGTTCTGACCCCTTCCTGGGGCATTTGCATCTTTGAAAAACACATAAACCAGGCGTGGTGGTTCACACCTGTGATCCCAACATTTTGGGAGGCAGAGGCAGGAGGATCACTTGAACTCAGGAGTTTGAGACCAGCCCGGGCAACATAGTGAGACCCATATCTCTACAAAAAATAAACAAAAAATTAGCCAGATATGGTGGCGCACGCCTGAGGTCCCAGCCACTTGGGAGGCCGAGAATATCAGATAAAAGCTGTGGATTCTCTCCCTAGATGAAAGTCTTTACATAGCTGCACAGAAATAATCGCCTGCACCTTCATGGGACTTTGGGAGGCTCAGAGCCTGGGGTTAGATCATCTCCAGGTCCTTAAGCCTTGAAGCATGAGGCCTGGATGCAGCGCCTCTAGGCGCCCTACGTGACTGAATCGGAGGTGCCCTGAACGAGATCCCACGGTGACCCAGGTGTATAGTTTGAGAAACGCTGCTCAAAGGGCCCTTCAGCTGCCGAAGACTCTTCATGTTCCGGTCACTGGCCGTGTTCTGGATACCGCTCATGGGAAAGGTGGTTCCCATCGATGTTTCCCAGTGTGTAGGCTGAGGAACCCCTGTGTACGAGTGTCCTGTGGCCAGTATCACAAATTACCATGAACTTGGTGGCTTACCCAACAGGAAATGATTCTCTCACAATTCTGGAGGCCAGAAGCATGAAACAGGAGTCAGCAGGCCCCGCTCCCTCCCAGGGCTCTAGCCGAGGACGCTTCCTGCCTCTTCCAGCTGCTGGCGGCTCCAGGCGTTTCTTGGTTTGGGGTTACAGGGTAGCTCACGTTATATTAGGTTGGTACAAAAGTAATTGCAGTTTTTTTCTATTGAAAGTAATTTGAGGCCAGGTGCAGTGGCTCACGCTTGTAATCCCAGCACTTTGGGAGGCCAAGGTGGGTGGATCACTTGAGGTCAACAGTTCAAGACCAGCCTGGCCAAATGGCCAAACCCCATCTCTTCTAAAAATGCAAAAATTAGCTGGGCATGGTGGTGGGCGCCTGGAGTCCCAGCTACTCGGGAGGTTGAGGAAGGAGAGTCACTCGAACCCAGGAGGTGGAGGTTGCAGTGAGCTGAGATCCCACCACTACACTCCAGCCTGGGCAACAGAGCGAGACTCTATCTCAAAAAGAAAAAAAAGGAAAAGAAAAAGAAGTAATTTGACAATGCTGGTCTAGAGGCTTGATTACATTCCAGTTTACGTTGGGTTTTTTCCCCGAACATGTTTGGTAGGCAGTCCAGCATCCCTCCTAGCATATCAGTTCTGGCACAGTATCTATTTGTCACTGTCAGTGATGTCAAGATTGATAACTGGGGTCAATTTTATGTTGTGTATATTTACCACAATAATAAAATGATGGTCATATAAAGGGCTGGTCATTTGGTTCAGCTGCTGCAGCATGACCCATCTGCTGGGAAGCTCCCCATCAGCCTCCACCTGATCATTTTAGCAGCCACAGATGAATGTTCCCTAGATCCATTATTTCATTAGGAGTCACAAAACACTGATTTTCCCACTAATTCTGTCATTCCTCCTGCATTTATGAGCTCTGGCTTTTCTATAAAGAACTTTTCCGGCCGGGCACGGTGGCTCATGCCTGTAATCCTAGCACTTTGGGAGGCTGAGGCGGGTGGATCACGAGGTCAGGAGATCAAGACCATCCTGGCTAACATGGTGAAACCCCACCTCTACTAAAAATATGAAAAATTAGCCAGGCGTGGTGGTGGGTGCCTGTAGTCCCAGCTACTCGGGAGGCTAAGGCAGGAGAATGGCGTGAACCCAGGAGGCGGAGCTTGCAGTGAGCTGAGATCTGCCACTGCACTCCAGCCTGAGCAACAGAGCGAGACTCTGTCTCAAAAAAAAAAAAAAAAAAAAAGAACTTTCCCTTATCGCCTATTTGATTACCCCAGGATGCAGTTTGTACTAGAAAGGCAGGGAAATGTTCTGTTATTTATTTTCAGAATAATGATTTTGTGGCCCAGCAACCTCCAAACTGCACAAGGAGGTTTTCCTTTTTTCCCACCAGAATTATGCATATATATCCATATGTCATATAGAGAGTGCTGTATGATGGATTTCAACTCACGGCCATTGTTATTCTGTCTAATGCTCAAATTGTCCTGTCTTTGGCAAATTTGGGCTGGCCCCTGTGGTCCATTACCATGTCTCCCAGTAGCCTCTGACAGCCTTCTTGCTTCTGGCATGGGGACCTCCTGGGCACAGAGATCAGCCATTTCTCCAGTGATCCCCGGTTCTTTTGAGCAGAGAATGGCACTTAGAGACCACAGTCTGGGCACTAGGGGTGCTCACTGCTACTGAGTTGTTGTCACTTCTAGACTTTTACAGTGGACAGAGATAGGGATAGGAAACATGTTACTTTTTATCAAGAGGAAAACTAATGAGTTGATAATGATATTTACAATTCAAATTTAAAATTACACAGGTTTTTTTCTACTTCTTTGATTTTATATAGGTATTTCTTTTCTCCTAATGACATTTATATAATTACTAATTTGCTTTATCCTGGAATGTATACATAATAGTTTCAAACTAACAATATCAACATTATTATTAGCAACAAGGACACAGCTTCAGATTTCCTCATGGTTCTTTTTATCCTCGGGATATCTTACGCTAGGGATATTCTGCCCAAATCTCTTTTAAAGTCACTTGAAGCTGGGCGAGGTGGCTCACGCCTGTAATCCCAACACTTTAGGAGGCCGAGGTGGGCAGATCACTTGAGGTCAGGAGTTTGAGACCAGCCTAGTCAACATAGCAAAACCCTGTCTCTACTAAAGATACAAAAAATTAGCTGGGTGTGGTGGCTGGTGCCTGTGATCCCAGCTGCTCAGGAGGCTGAGGTGGGAGAATCACTTGAACCTGGGAGGCAAGGTTGCAGTGAGCTGAGATTGCATCACTGCACTCCAGACTGGGTGGCAGCGTGAGACTCCACCTCAATAAATAAATAAATAAATAAATAAATAAATAAATAAAGTCACTTGAAATCATCTGTGGTTATGCCACAACTTGACATACAATTAGGTTCATTTGCTTTCTCCTGTTGTTATTTGGGGTAGATGCTAATCCTTTCTCTTTAATTTTTTCATAATTAGCAAAAAAACCATTTTTTATGTTTCCAAAGTCAAAACTATAACACAAAGTCTATTCAAAAAGTTCTAGCTTTCCTTTCTGTCATTTCCTTCCTGTTCTCTCCCTCATTCTACAGGTAGCTTCTTAGTTAATAAGTTTGGTTTATCTTTTCATTTTCTTCCTCATGAAAATAGAAATATATGTATATGCATCATATATATATGATATACATCATAAATTCTAGATATCTATCTTATATATATGGGGGCATCCTATGGGACTGGTTAGGGGTGCTTATTTAGTTTTCTCTGGTTGGTTCTAAGCTCCAAGTGGGTACAAAACTTAGGGGAGCTGGGAGTTATTAACCAAGTCCTGGACATTCTGGGTTGGCTGTTTCAAGGTTATTCTTTGGCTTCCTGGCCTGTTGGTAGAGACCACAGTCTGACTTCCTACAAGTCTGGCATAGCAGGTGGCTTCCTGGGCTGGTTACTGTACAAAATGGGCTGGTTTCCTGGCCTAGCTGCTGCAGATTGTGGCTCATAGTTCTTTTTTTTTTTTTTTTTTTGGAGACAGAGTCTTGCTATGTTGCCCAGGCTGGAGTGCAGTGACGTGATCTTGGCTCACTGCAACATTCATCTCCCAGGTTCAAGCAATTCTCCTGTCTCAGCCTCCCTACTAGTTGGGATTACAGGCACACGCCACCACACCCAGCTAATGTTTGTATTTTTAGTAGAGACAGGGCTTCACCATGTTGGCCAGGCTGGTGGCAAACTCCTGACCTCAGGTGATCCACCTGCCTCGGCCTCCCAAAGTGCTGGGATTACAGGTGTGAGCCACTGCACCCAGCCCATAGTTCTACTTTTATATGTGGTTTGGCCATTGTCCATTTGGATATTCCGTCTCTCAACCTGTTTAGAGATTAGGTCCCACCTGGGAGCAGTTGGCCATTCGCTGCTACAGAGGCTTGTGGCTGAGCGGGTCTGCCTTGCGGTGCTTCCCGTGCTGCTCTGGGATTTTACCCTTCTCATCTGTAAGATGGGAATAATACTAGTATCCATTTTCCTGTTGGGAAGGGGTGGAGCATACAAAATGCCTAGGGTAAGTGCTCCTTGGCTGGAAATCGTTGTCAAAGGGAACCAGAGCCAGACACTGATTAAAGGTGGTAAAGACATTTTATTCAATACTATTGCAAAAGGGGAGAGGCTTCAGTATAGAACTGAGTTCAGTTCCAGATACAACAGAAGTGGGGATGTTTAGCTGAGGAGCCAAGGGAGGGGCGGGGTCAGTGGATGGAAAATTACTAAGAGGAGACATCAAGGCAGGAAGATCCTTGCTAAAGGCAGGCCAAGGTCATCAGATATCAGGGGTGCAGGTGAGGAACTTAATCAGCTGTCAAGGGTAATCAGATGTGAAGGGGTGGGGAATCAACGTAGCGGGACTCTTGGCTACAACTGGCTTCAGCAGGCCAAGGAAGGGCCCAGGGATGAGTCCTAGTGAGAAAGAGCTCAGAGGACCAGACCTCTAACGTCTGGTCAAGGAGGGAGTCCTACCACCGTCCCAGGCCCACCACTCATCAGCCTATGTGAGGGACCTGTTTCGTGGCTTTTGAGCGCTGGGAGAGAGGCTTTCACAGAGGTGGGAGTGATGTACCCCACAGCCCCTGACGTTTAGGAGGCTCCCGGGGGCGGGCGGTGGGGAGCGGGTGCCTCTGGTCTTTCCGGGGCCTCAAGCTCTGTCTGGACTTCTTCCCTCCAGGCCTTCCACACCCTTCTTTGATCTGCTGCAGCACCGGTACCTGCAGCTGTGGGTACAGGAACAAAAGGCCACCCAGAAAGCCATCAAACTGGAGAAGAAGCAGAAGGTAAATGCAGCCCTCGCTCCCAAGTTGACAGCTGATGGGGTGGAGAAGAGAGAAGGGCTGGCCAGGGCCAAGCATCGAGATGACACTTGTGTATGTTTGTCATTGGGGATGAGTGGGAAATCAGGTTGCATCTTCTGCCCAGCATCAGAGAATCTACAGCTGAAAGCATCTTGGTGATTATCCAGTTCCTACCCTACCTAAGCTCAGAGCGTAGAGGAGATGGGTCCGGGCCATCAGTCAATAGGCCCTGTGTGACCCTGAGCGGGGATGAGAACCCAGCTGTCCTGACTCCTACCTCGGGACCCTTCCCACCAAACCTCTGCACACACCCAAAATCAGATTTTAGACTAATCCAACCTGGCCCACACAGAAGTATGTCCTGTACAATCTATAGAGAAAAGGCCAATAAGGCAAAGTTGAAAAGGAAACCACTTCTGAAAGGGTGCCTTAAAGAACACATTATATTAAACTTTGTAACATTTTATTACAAATTAACCAGGAAGCAGCATTCCAAACACCTCCCGTGCATGACGTGCATCCTCTCATCTATGCTACCAAAGCCACAAGGCAGGCATTGTAATCGCTGCTTCCCAGGCGTGGAAGTCGAGGCTTGGGGAGGCAGTGCCTGCACAGGGAAGTTTGAGCTGAGGTCCCAAGGATGTCCAGACACTGCCGATTGCTGGTGATAGGAGTCCCTAGCAACAAGCAGGACGTCAGGGCAGTGAGGTTTTTTAGCAGGAAGGAAAACCATCTTTAATTCTTCGTTTGTGTTGTCATACACATGTGAAAATACTCAAGGCCGGGCGCGGTGGCTCACGCCTGTAATCCCAACACTTTGGGAGGCCGAGGTGGGTGGATCACCTGGTTTGAGACCAGCCTGGCCAACATGGTGAAACTCCTGTCTCTCCTAAAAATACAAAAATTAGCTGGGCATGATAGTGGGCACCTGTAATCCCAGCTACTCAGGAGGCTGAGGCAGGAGAATAGCTTGAACCTGGGAGGCGGAGGTTGCAGTGAGCTGAGATTGCACCACTTCACTCCAGCCTGGGCGACAGAGTGAGACTCTCTCAAAAGAAAAGATACTAGAATGGTACTTCCTGGCTGGGTACGGTGGCTCACACCTGTAATCCCAGCACTTTGAGAGGCCAAGGCGGGCGGATCATGAGGTCCGGAGATCGAGACCATCCTGGCTAACACGGTGAAACCCCGTCTCTACTAAAAATACAAAAAATTAGCTGGGCGTGGTGGCATGTGCCTGTAGTCCCAGCTACTCGGGAGGCTGAGGCAAGAGAGTTGCTTGGACCCAGGAGGTGGAGGTTGCAGTGAGCCAAGATCGTGCCACTGCACTCCAGCCTGGGCAACAGAGCAAGACTCCGTCTCGATAAAAAAATAAATAAATAAAAATAAATAAATAAAATAGTACTTCCTTTAAAATATTCTGAAACTCGAGCTTTCAGAGAGATCAGATTGGCCTCCTCGGCAGTAGGTCCAGACTGACGATGGTAAAATCAGAATCACTCTATGTTCACACAGTACTTTATAGACTTCATCAAGGCGTGGCTCCGGCGTGGCTAGTTGTCATGACAATCACAACCAGCACCCTCCCCAAGCCTCTGAGCTGAGGGCTGGGCTGAGTATGCACCCTGAGTTTCTGCATTTAGTTCTCTGAGAATGCCCTGAGGTCAGTCTCTCCTCCTATCATCTCAGTTTGGTTTATTTCACGGGGAAACTAGGGCTCAGAGAGATGAAGTGATTTGCCAACAGTGTCAGACCTAGGTGTGTCCAGCCTGAGAGTCCAGGCTCTTCCTGAAGAAGAGGTCCCACTCCTGCTGTTTACGGAAAAGCCTGGGGCTCAGCAACAGCGCCTATGATGTTCTAGGGCCAACCAGGGGATCGGAGGAGTCTTTCTCGAAATCCTGGTACCCTCAGGAGGGGCCAGGAGGGGTGCACGAAGTGGGAGGCTGAGGATTTCCAGGCGTGGCGGGTGCCAGGGCCTCTCCTGGCTCTTCTCAGCAGTCTGCAGAACGTCAGACACCTCATTAAAGAGCTCGGCCTTGTAATAACATTTTAAGAGCAACCCACGACTAGTTTATTCGTTAATGGCTCAAGCAAGAGTCCACTTGCTGTGGTGATGGCCGATTTCAGAGGGAGCATTACCAGCACAAACTGCTTTCTAGCCCCGCATTAGAGCTGGGAGTTTTTTTTGCTGTTTGTTTATTTTTGTTTTTGTTTGTTTGTTTTTGAGACGGAGTTTTGCTCTTGTTGCCCAGGCTGGAGTGCAATGGGGCAATCTCAACTCACTGCAACCTCCGCCTCCTGGGTTCAAGTGATTCTCCAGCCTTGCCTCCTGAGTAGCTGGGATTACAGGCGCCTGCCACCAGGCCCAGCTAATTTTGTATTTTTAGTAGAGACGGGGTCTCACCTTGTTGGCCAGGCTGGTCTTAAACTCCTAACCTCACGTGATCCACCCACCTCAGCCTCCCAAAGTTCTGGGACTACAGGCATGAGCCACTGTGCCAGGCTTAGAGCTGGGAGTTTTAATTAGCAGGTATTTCACGCATCCCAGAGTGTTGGTAAACCGACCCCATCTTCCAGCTCTAGGACAGAGTCCCTCCTTTTCAAGCAGAGCCCCCAAAACAGCTCGTGTGGTTTGGAGCAGGTACCAGCTCTGCATGTGTGGCTGAGTGAGTCTCTCTTTGTTGGGGTCTTGGTTTCTGCATTGGGTGCGGAAAGGGGTCTGATTAAACAAGGCCCCACCATACTGTGCCTGTTGGGGGAGGAAAATGTCTTTCCTTCTACCCATTCTAGACTCATGGCTGAGGGCCCTATCACAAAAGACAGATTTGCAAGAGAAAAGCATTCAAATGTCTTTCAGTTTTATGTGACACATGAGCCTCTGTAAGGAAATGAAGGCCCAAAGAAATGGTTAAACGCATATATTTTTATGCTGGATTTGGTGAAGAAGGGGATAGTTGTGGAGAAAGGATTGGATGAATAGTGTGATCTTTTGGTGATAAACTGGGGGAAACTTCGCAAGGCCTGTTGTTCAGATTATCAGGATGTTCTTTACCTGTAAGTTTTGGGGGGCACCTCTCGAATGAGGGTCGCATAACCTGCTTGAGGGGAGAAGGGCAGGGGATGTGAGCGAGACGTCCTACTTCTCCCTTTTTCAGTATGCCAAGGGGGCATATTTGGAGGTATTGTGAACCCCATCACTTAGCGCATAGCAGGCACTCAGAAAACACTTGTTGTACCAACCTCGTAATCTTGCTCCAAGATTCTCTGTGGCTGCTATATTGTCCTACAAATGGCTACAAACCCCCCAAACGCTGGGAGGCTGTGGTCTGGGGTTGATAGACAATTTACCGGACTTGCTTAGACGGTCAGTTTGCAAAGCCACATCCCCACCACCACAGACCTCAGTGTCCTCCTCAAGCCTGTAAGCATCGGGGTATGTCCTGATTTGGATGGTGATGACCCCAGATGAAATTCGTGGCAACAGCTACCACTAAGTGAGCCATCATCTTGGCCAGCCGCCCTCCTCAGAGCTCAACTCAGCAAACCCTGCAAGAACCCTGCTCAGTGGGCGTTGGCACCCTATTGCTAGCAGAAGGAACTGAGGCTCAGACAGGTGACATGGCTGCTTGCCTCTAATTCCGAAGCCTGGCTCCATAACCCCCGACTAGACAGCCTCTCTGCTTTGGTTCAAAGATAGTTTCAAAACCTTCTAGACATGACCAGGTGTGGTGGCTCACGCCTGAAATCCCAGCACTTTGGGAGGCCAAGGCCAGTGAATCACTTGAGGCCAGGAATTTGAGACCAGCCTGGCCAACACGGCAAAACCCTGTCTTTACTAAAAACACAAAAATTAGCTGGGCGTGGTGGTGGTTGCCTGTAATCCCAGCTACTTGGGAGGCTGAGGCAGGAGAGTTGCTTGAACCCGGGAGCCTAGATCACAGCACTGCATTTCAGCCTGGGCAACAGTGACACTCCGTCTCAAAACAACAACAACAAAAAACACAAAAAAACGGGTAGGGGGGTTTGTAAGTGATCCACAGACACTTTCAGTAAAATTAATACAATAAAATCAGTAAAAGGGGTTTACTGGGGTGGTGGCACCTTCGATTAAACTCGGTTCAGTCTTTATTTGCCGATTGTGCTGTCTGTGTGCTTCACACCATGGGAGGTGACGCGGAAGGTTTACTGGGCCCCGCCCTTGGAAGACAGTTGCCTTTAGGGAAAGAGGAAACATAAGCCTGGTGAACCCCAGGGCAGATCCATGTTCTGTAGGGCCTGAAAGGTCTACAGTTTGGAATCCCAATTTAAGAGAAAATACACAAAGGAAACCTGAGACCCTGTGAGCTCATGCCCAGGGCCCCTCCTAACTGAGCCCTGAGATAAAGGACTTGGCAGCATTGATGGCCTCAGGGCTACTCCGCCAGGCCTCTGTCCCCAGTACTCCCCGGGGGCTGCCCTGAGCCAGGTCTGTGGCTCTGGCCATAGCCAATACTGACGACTCCCAAACCAGGGCCTCCAGCCCATCCCCAGCCGCCTACGCCCCATCCCCTGGCACATCTTAGGACATGACACAGTCGAAGCCAAGTGCCAAGTCTTTTGGGTCAGTCTAGAACAGACCTTACGAGCTATGTGGCTCTAACAGTGGACTTGCTGGCACCTGTCAGTGGGCACAGGCACGCAGGTCAGGAGCAGAGGGGCTTCCACTGTGTCTCTGAAATCACACCTGCAGAGACACCGTGGTGGGAGGTCCCTGAGTCCCCCGAAGAAGCTCTCACTCCTCCTGCACGAGCAGGCCATGGAGGACCTGCTCTAAAAGACACTAACCCCTGGAATCGTGCACTTCTTCATCCAAACACCATGGAGTCCTGGGGACCCACTGGGGCTGCGTGAGCCACGGAGGACAAGTTCAAGGATGACTGAGACACTGTCCATGCCCTGAGGGTGGCTGCACGCTGGAATCCCACATGTTCCAGAGACTGGAATGCTCCGGGTGTCCTGGGGTCCCACCCCCCCTCCCCCAGTCTCCTGAGCTGTGGCCAGAGACAGGACCATGGAGGCAGGTGGTGTGAAACAGCCTTGGAGAAGGGCTGGGGCCAGAAGGAAAGTGACCGAGGATCTTGCCACGCCAAGAATCCCAGCCCTCTGTCTCTATATCCCTTCAGCACGGCCTTCTCCAAGTAGCCGGGCAACCATCTCACCTTTGCCTTTCCCTGGCCTACAGGTGGTCCTTGGGAAGCTGTATGAGACCCGGAGCAGTCAGCTGAGGAAGTACAAGCCGCCCGTGAAGCTGGACACCCTCTGGCACATGCCTCACTTCCAGAAGGTCAGTGTCACCTTCATCCACACCCCTCCCTGCACCTTGCTGGCTGCCGCTCACCTTGCCAGGTCCTTACCTGCTGTCTCTGGGTTCTGTGGGCTTCTCACCATCGATTAGTACAACAGCCGCAGCAGCAATCGCAACAGCTAATGTTTCCTGAGCACTTCCCAAGGCCCGGAGCTGAGCCTTTGTGACTTTTCACATTCACTGAAGGGGGCAGCTGCTGCTACCAGGCCTATTTTCCAGACAGGAAACATGGTGGATGCTGCGGAGTGGCAGAGTCTTGGGCTGAACCCAGACCATCTGGGTGCAGAGGCTGGGTGGCTGTCCACCTAAGGCAGAGGCAGTCTTCCTGTAGAGGAGGCTGTCCACCTGGAGGAGGCTGTCTAGCTGGGGAAGGAGGCTGTCCACCTGGGGAGAGGGCTGTCCGTCCGCCTTGAGGAAGGAGGCTGTCCACCTGGGGCAGAGGCTGTTCACCAGGGGAGGAGGCTGTCTCCCTGGGGCAGGGGCTGTCTGGACCAAACCTCCCTCCAGGGAAGGGGTAGTTGATGCATGACATCCTGCGCTGGGAATTTTGGGGTGCAAGACAGATGCATGCCAACCAGCATGAACTTCCCACAGAGTGATGTCCCTGAGGAGAGAGGAGCAAAGGTCTACCAAGGACTGGGGCAAGTGTGCGACACGTACCCAGACTGACCTAGATAAGGACCCAGGGAACACGCCACATTCTGGCCTCAGAACTCAACCGGTGTTCACTCAGCCTTGTAGCCCTGTAGCACCCAGACAGGGATTCATCTTCAACAGCTTTTGGCAGGGAAAGAACAATGTAAGAGCCGGGGGCACCGTACGGAGAAAGGGAAGTGGGAGATTTGGGAACAGTGGCTTCAGGATGGGGCCGGGGGAGGTGCGTGTGTCCAGCTCAGGCAGAGGGAGCCTTTCTAGGAGGCCACAAGGCAGTCGCCTGGCCCCGGGAAGACAGCTGCAATGTTCCTGGGCAGCCAGGCCCGGCCGCTGTGCCGCATTAAACTGCAGTTTAAACAATGAAGGGACCGGTGCCTTTCTGAGCCTAATGCACTCGAACAGGCTGTAGAGCTTCACCGGAGAAACCTGCTCTGCCCCCCCTTGACGCGGCCTCTCATGTCCTGCCCAAGTGGCCTCTGCCAGCATATGTCAATGACCATGCGCCCTGCCGCCCGTCAGTGCGCTGCCTCCGTGCACAGCAGACGTCAAGGGAGGAACAGGGCCGAGTACGTTTGGGAGGTGGAGGGAGTCACTGCAGCTCCGCAGCTCCTCTCACCGCTCCTGCCCTCGACAGCACGGCTCATCTCTAGCTTCTCTACCTTTTCCAGCCATGTTGCTTCCTCTGCTTCTCCTGCTCTCTCACTCACTCAGCAGATTCCGTCCACAGCCTCCATCCTGGCCCTGGCTGTGGTCTTTCCTCACTGCCTATTTTTTTTTTTTTTTTTTTTTTTAAGGCTGGGTCTCACTCTGTCACCCAGGCTGGCGTGCAGTGGTGCAATCACCTTCACTGCAGCCTCAACTTCCCAGGCTCAGGTGTTCCTCCTGCCTCAGCCTCTTGAGTAGCTGGAACCACAGGCTTGTACCACCATGCCCAGCTGATTTTTGTGTTTTTTTGCAGGGATGAGGTTTCGCCATGTTGGACAGGCTGGTCTCAAACTCTTGGCCTTAAGTGATCCTCCTGCCTGGACCTCCCAAAGTGCTGGGATTACAGGCATGAGTCACCATGCTCAGCTACCTCCCTGCTCCTTTCTCTGTGAGAATCCCTGCAGTTCATGGGGACGCTGCCTGAGGAGGGACTGGGACCCAGCGTTCCACTGGCATGGGCTGCCCTCTGCAGCACTCTGCTTTAGGCCTTGACTCCCAGCCCCACTCAGCCCCCTCCTCTCTGATTTAGAGCCCAAGACCATGGACACAGGAGGCTCAGGTGTTCTCCCCTCAGCAGAGCAAGGAAAGGGCTCCAGGTAACAGTGCCGCACCTGTGCTGGGAGCTCCGGTCTGTCTCACTCACCTGTGTCCCACGGCGCCTGGCCCCAAGTAGGAGCTAAATGCACATAGAATGAGTTTCCATTTTCCAAAGAGGGGATTTGACTCAGCTGACCATGGGTCTGCCAGTCTTGAGACCGTTGTTCTGAAATATGATTATGAACAATAGCAAACCAGGAATGATGGCCTCCTGTGCCATGCCAGGCACTGTGTGAGGTCATGTGTGCATATTACTTCATTTCAGCCTCAGAACAAGAGTCCTGACCAGGTGGTGCAGATGAAAGGCAGAGGGGGAGCACCTTCCTTGCCCAGAGAGTGGCGGGGACAGGAACCCAGGTGTGTCTGATGGCAGGGCCCAAGCCGAGACACATGACCTATCGGGCCATAAAACTCATGAGAAAGAAAATCAACATGCAAGCCACAGCATATACTGAGTGTTCGCCTCCTTTCCGAGGGTATTCGCAGGATGCTGGGAGTTAAAGCTGCAGGCTGTCTCCCTATCCTACTTGCCAGAAACCTGGGGCCAAGGGAAATGGGGAATTGTGCCGGGTTCATCCCTGGATGCCACCCTGTCCAACCCAGCAGAGACCCTTAGACACACAGAGTGCTGCCGTTATGGGTGTCACACGCAGTCGCCTCCTTGTCAGGAAGTAACACCAACAAAAAGTATTTACCGAGCCCTTAGAATGCACCCGGCGCTGAGCAGGTCTCATCTCATAGATATCATGCCCCCATTCTACTGACATGGAAACTGAGGCTTGGAGAGGTGAGAAGTGGAGTCTGGGTCCAATCTGGGGTTTCCTAGCCCCAGGGCCTCCCGAGGACCCCTTCCCTCACCTCCAGGCCCCACCCACAGGTCCCCATTCTCACCACCAAGGGATCCTTTCTTCCCCTTCACGGCACTTAACTCTGCAATTAATTAACTGGGCAATTTTTTTCATCTTGCTCAGTAAAATGTGAGCCCCCCAGGACCGTGCCTGTCAGTTCCACACCTTGTCCCCAGAGGCCAGCAGGGTGCCTGGCACAGAGTAGGGGATCAGTAAACATCTGTGGAATGAATGAATGAGGGGATGAAAGACTGAACCGCCAGTACAGCCCAGAGTGACAGAAGAATTTAAAAGTCTGTTACAGACCTGCTGAGCCTCCCCTTTCTCCCCTTCCCAAACCAAGCACCCACCATCCCGGCAGCCACCAACTGGGCCTGGACTCAGGGGTCCGGGCGGGTGGCCAGGGCCACTCCCCCTAGGCGGAGCTGCTGTCTGTGGTGTCTGTCACGTGTGAAGCCCCGGGAGGGCCTTTGTCTGCGCCTGGCTTTGCCGCTGATCTGCTGCCCCCACCCCGGCCCCATTATGAAGGGAAAAGCGCTTCCAGAAAAGTTGAGCCTGTCACGGTGATGGATAACCTAAATGGACTCTCCCCGCTCACGAGCAGATGTCGACGCTGAACTCTGTCAGAAATAATTAAACACCTTTCACACTGAAAAGCAGCAGGCAGGGCGCGGCTGCTGCACCGACACCGCCAGCCACGAGGGGGCTGCCCTGCCAGAGGGGCTGCCGAGACCCCCGCGCTGGATGACCCGGGCCACTTACAGGGTCGAGAGAGGAGAGGGACCAAAGAGGGAAGAGGACACATCCCCCACTGTGCATTCCCTCCAGGCAGGGCAGTACAGAGATGTCTTCTTTCTGGTCTGTGCCACCAGCAACTGCCCCTGGTGGCTGGGGCCCAGAAGGGGGTTCTGCCAGCAGCTGGCGAGGGGCCCTCCTACCAGGACAGTTATGCCTGGGCTCTCTCTCCAGACCTCTGTTTCCTCAGCTGACAATGAGTGGGTGGGACTAGTTCTTGAGCGTTCCTTCCAATCCAAGATTCTGTGATCCCCAGTTCACTGGCCCAGGAGCCATGTGGGAGGGGATGGGGGCCCTTGGAGGTGCAGACCCCAAACCCAGGGTGAGCCAGCAGGGGGAGCAGCTCAGATCCTTCTCAGGTGCCCATTTTGGGGATGGGACATGAACTCATTTTCTCCCATCCCTGAATGGAGGAGCCGCTGGGCTGGGGCTGATGCCCTCTGTGCCCTGTGGGGGATAGAGACGCTCCCCTGCCCTTTGGCCGGGTGTTCTAGGTCTCCAGGGCAGACAGCAAGGCCAGCAAGGAGTAATGTGGTACATCTGTGTGCACGCATGACTCCAGGGACAGCCAGACGGGGTCAAGTGGTGACCCTGCCACACCTACCTGTCAGGTGGCTTTACCTGTCTGTGACCCACTTCCTCTTCCATAAAATGGGCTAACAAATGCTCCCCTGGCTAGGCTGCTGGGAGGATCCAGAGAGAATATGTGTGCACCACGCTCAGCAGAACGCCTGGCCCATGTTAACTGCCTATAAGTGGCAGCTCCATGAGGATGGCTGTGGAGATCATTCATTCATTCATTCCCCTGCTCATTCACAAATCTTTTCCACATGCGCCTTCATGCTGGGCCCTGTTCCCCGCACTGATGCTATGCTGGCGAACAGGCCAGACTCGGGTGTGACTGCCACCGTTGGGCTGCTGGCCGCTGGCTTGGGGTGACATGGACAGACAGACCGACACACAGGCAGCTGCACAGCTGGGCTCCTGGGCCGGGAAGTCTGGAGAAGCTCTGCCCTAGGTGTCCTCAGGTGTCCCCAGGTGCGCCGTGTCCACAGCCTGAAATGGTCCAGAGACACCAACCTTGCTTGAAGGGCGGAAGCCACTCCCATAACAATAGCCCCATTAAACATAACCCTGCGTGGGCCGGCCCACCCTGTTTCCTTGCCTTTTGCAGAAACTTCCTCAGGGCTCTCCAGGCAGGGTCCAGACACCCCCACTTGCCCAGGCAGCCCTCCCTGGGGCCCTGGCTAACAGCGCTTCCTCCGGTTCTCAACCAGCCACTCATGCACAGCCACACAAAGCAGACGGTACATCCTTCTGCCCAAAGATGGAGAGTGAGTGCCCCCAAAAGCTTATGGCCGATGACAATGGCGAAAGACTGGATGCCACTGATGAAGAGATGGCTCAAGTACACGTTAGGAGACCTTGAAAACCACGGCTTTGATCTGTACTTATTGACACTTTAATAACATATTGTTGGGCAAAAGAGTCCATGCCACGGGCCCCGCCTGGAGAGAAGCACCCGAGCATCTCTGAGCGTCTGCACAATGCCTACAGACATTCGGCAGGAGGGCCCCACAAATGGTAGCAGTGGTGATCTTTGGGGCGGGGGGGTGGGGGGTGAAGCTGATTTTCCTTTCTCTGATGCTCTTTTCTATATGGTTTGCATTTTTTTCAATGAGTAGATGCAGCTTTTCCAAAACCAGTAAGGCTATTTTTTTAAATGTTTTTAAAAGATGGAGATCCTGAGTTCTTCCCCAGGTGTTCATCCCAGTGTTCGACCTCCAGCTTTGAGCTCAGTTCTTCCTGATGTCTCACCAAACGCTCGCACGCTGCTGGCCAAGTCCGGTTTTGCATATTCAGCTTCCCTCAGGCATGAAGGTCAGGGCTGTGCCCCAGCAGCGAGGCCTGCTGACTTCCGGAGCCTGGATCTTTATTATAAAATCTATGTTATAATTAGAGACCCAACATCCATTTTAGAAGGGGGCTTGCCCAAGCATCTGTTGGCTGGCGGGGGGGTCTCCACATTCCCCTCCCGCCCCCACCCTCGGAACATCCGCCCCTCCCCCCACAGTCCTTGTCTCTGTACACTTCCAATACCCACCAACATTACATAGTCGTTCAGTCACTAAAGTATGAACAAATTGACTATATTTTCATTTGGCTTTTGGTTTCAGCCCCACTGCTTTAGAATAATGGCCCAAGCTATTAAGCTAACAGTTTGATTTACAAGCTTTTGTGCTCTGAACGCTGGGATCAGACTCCTCTGTTCGTGGAAGACTAACCCTGCTTCGGGTCTCCTGGGCCCCTGGCTCCCTAATAGAACAGGAGATGGAGGGAAAAAAATATATCTCAGCAGCCAGCCAAGCAGTGACACCCAGAGATGCAGCTGATTAGTGAAAGCTGCTGAATCTAAGAAAAGGATTTTCTTTCCCACCTTTAAGCTCTCTTACAAATCATAGCTGGCTGGAAAGTTAACTCTCTGCTACACCCCCCAAGCGGGCTTCTAGCCTGTCCACCCTGCCGCCTCTGCCTCTCCACAAGGCTTGTCCAGTTAAAATGAAGATGGGCCGACCCCCACAAAGGTGTATCCGAACCCAGGAAGGACAGATGCCAGATCTACGGCCCCTCCCAAGGGTCTCTGCACCAGTGATGTATTTTAAGAATCCTGTCGCTTCCTTGCATCGGAATAAGAATCATCTTACGTCACTGTGTAGGGCACCAAGTGCAGGAATGGAATGTGTCACATGCGGAAATAGGGCAATGGGAAGAATGATTCAGAGGCCCTGATGGAGTTGACACTTCCTCTGTAAATACAGATACCCCCCATTCTACATGGATCAGTATGCCGACGAGCTGACTTGCTACAGGGATGAAAGCAGGAGCTTGGCCGGGCACAGTGGCTCATGCCTGCAATCCCAGCACTTTGGGAGGCTGAGGCGGGTGGATCACCTGAGGTCAGGAGTTTGAGACCAGCCTGGTCAATATGGTGAAACTCTGTTTCTACTAAAAATGCAAAAATTAGCCAGGCGTGATGGCAGGCACCTGTAATCACAGCTACTCGGTGGGGCTGAGGCAGAAGAATCGCTTGAGCCACGGAGGTGGAGGTTGTAGTGAGCAGAGATTGTGCCACTACACTCCAGCCTGGGTGACAGAGCAAGACTCTGTCTGAAAAAACAAACAAACAAACAAAGCAGGAGCTTAATTGGTTTTACATAATCTGGCACCTCAGAGGTATAGAATTTTTAGGCACCTGCTCGTGAGGTGACATTGCTGCTCAAATACTGGCAAGCCACAAATAGCCAGAGCTGAAGTTCTGAGGCAGAGACAAAAGGAAAGGAGGTGTTCATGTATGTGGGGAGTGATGGGGGAATAGCGGCCAAGTTCCTAGAGCAGCACTCAGAGTCTGGGAGTGTCTGTGGTGGGGCCTGCAGAGGCCAACAGTGAAGGGATGACCGAAGCTGACACTTCCAACAGGACCAGTCCTACAACCTGGGAACCCCCAGCCTGGCTGCCCCCTTCATCCTTCCAGCTCCAGAGGCTTTTCTGTCTAATCTAGAAGGTTCTTCTCCCTGATTATATGCAAAAATATTTCGGTTTTTTGTTGAAAATCACCAGAATCGATGAGTAAGACAGCTGGTTTGGGCATCAGTTACATCTTTCTAATTTCTAGAGGCAGCAAGAGTCTCATGTTGAATTTTGGGAGTTGATGGAATTTGGGGGGTCCCCAATTTCTTCTTCCGACTTCTAGCTCATCTCCAGGAGAATAAATCTCCGATGATCTAGAGAGAATCCCACCAGCTTGGGAAGGAATTTGGGGAGCAGCATCTTCCTCAACATCTCCCTTGAAGCTTTTTTTTTTTTTTTTTTTTTTTGAGACAGGGTCTCACTCTGTTGCCCAGGCTGGGGTGCAGTGGTACAATTATGGCTCAATGCAGCCTCTACCTCCCAGTCTCAAGTGATTCTCCTACCCCAGCCTCCTAAGTAGCTGGGACTACAGGCGTGCAGCTAATTTTTAATTTTTTTTTTGTAGAAACAGGGTCTCACTATGTTGCCCAGGTTCCTTCTGGTTTCTGAGTGTCCCCACTTGTCAGCCTCCATCCCCTGGCCCCAGCGAGGTTGGTGGGGTGGAGACCCAAAGCCACCTGACATGGTGCCATCTGATATGGGGCCGTCAGCAGGTTCTTGCCCATAAATGGCATCAGATGATTTCCTGGGATAAACTCAGGGTTCATTCAAACTGAACTCTGGCAAAAGTGCAGGTGAAATGGACCAAGATGCTACAAACACAGCCTGACTGGCTACCCTCAGAAAGGGAAAGTGCATGGCGTCAGTGAACACATTTGGGGTAGGGGGAAAGTAAGACAATGGGGAGGTTTTATGAAGACCGACTCTGTCTTCTTCCCCTCCTCTCCTCAAAGAAGTCCTAGGAAATGATGCCTTAGGGTGGTGCAAAGAAAAAAGAAAAAAAAATGTGGGCAGTTTGACCAAAGTCCAGTAGCTGGGAGAGTGGAGGGGAGAAGTTATCCTAAAGATGGAGTTCCAAGACAGCAGCAATGATAACATCAACAGCTCACACGTCCTGACTCCTTCTTGGGTGCCAGCCTGGGTGCCCTTTTTTTTTTTTTTAAACTGTATTTTATTTTTTTAAGATGGAGTCTCACTCTGTTGCCCAGGCTGGAGTGCAGTGGCACAATTTTGGCTCACTGCATCCACCTCCTGGGTTCAAGCAATTCTTCTGCCTCAGCCTCCTGAGTAGCTGGGATTACAGACATCCGCCACCACGCCCGGCTAATTTTTGTATTTTTAGTAGAGACAGGGTTTTGCCATGTTGGCCAGGCTGGTCTCGAACTCCTGGCCTCCAGTGATCCGCCCACCTTGGCCTCCCAAAGTGCCGGGATTACAGGCATGAGCCACCACGCCCGGCCCAAGCCTGGGTGCTTTCGTGAGTTATCCCATTTCATGTCAATAACTCTCAATAACCCCACATGGTAGAGATGAGCTGCCCTGTCTCTGAGGCAAGGAGGCTAAGGCTCGGAAGCTTAAAGTCACGTGCCCAAGGTTAATAGCTAGCATGTGGCCAGGTGGGGACTTGGACTCTGGCTGGCTGCCTCCAAGCCTCAGGCCCTGAAAGAGCTGATAAACACTAAAGACTTGCAACTGAGGTCGGGGGCCAGTGCAGGGCTAAATGCGGGCCCGGGAAGGAAAGTGCAGGGCGGTCAGGAATGAGGGATTTTATGAGTGTCCAGAGTGTCGTGGCCGGGCCTGCTCCGGCTGATTTAAGCCCTGGCAATAAACCAAACTTCCCACTGCCCCAAAAGCCTCTAGACCTTGATAAAACCTCGGGCATCTTTTAAATTGCAGTTTGGCCCCAAGGCTAAAAAGGAAAGAGGCGGCTGATCCCGGATTCAGGCTTACTGCGTTAAAAGTGGGAGGCTGAGGCTGAGTCCAGCAGGAGGGCTGGGTCTGTCTGTGGGCTGGGCAGCCATGCAGAGTGGCTCCAGGTCCCAGCCTGCCTCATGCCCGCCCCAGGTCTGCATCTGTGAAGTGGGGATGGCAACAGAGAGGACCAAGTGCAATCATGCGTGTGAAGCGCGTGGCACAGGCCTGGCTAGGGGACGGTCATGGAGCAACAAAGCCTCTGGGAGGGACGAGGCCCTGGAAGCTGCTCCTTTAGATGAGTTATTCGAAAACTTGGCTTTGCCTGGGATCCTCTGAGGAGATGTTTAAAATGCAGAGTCGAAGGCCCAGTGCGGTGGCTCATGCCTGTAATCTCCCAGCACTTTGGGAGGCCAAGGCGGGAGGATCACTTCAGCTCAGGAGTTTGAGACCAGCCTGGCCAATATGGTGAAACCCTGTCTCTAGCAAAAATACAAAACTTGGCTGGGCATGGTGGTGTGCTCCTGTAATCCCAGCTACCCGGCAGGCTGAGGCAGGAGAATTGCTTGAACCTGGGAGGTTGAGGTTGCTGTGAGCCGAGATCACGCCACTGCACTCCAGCCCAGGTGACAGGGTGAGACTCCATCTCAAAAAAAAAAAAAAAAAGCAGAGTCCAGGGCCTCTCCAGGACTCTGATCCAGTGGGTCTGGGACAGCCACCAAACCTGTATTTTCAGCAAGCCAGCTGCCCCAGCTCTCAGGGTCAGTGTCAACTCCACTCTTACAGTTACGTTCAAATATGTGTTTACTGTGGCAGGTGGATGTATTTTCATATGTTTGACATGAGGCATGATGGGGCTTTCAAAGGGAAATGTGCAGTTGGAGACCGCCTCTGTCTGTTAAACAGCCCTAAGGCTTATGAACTTCTGTCTTAGTCAGGCTGCTCTAACAAAATCCCATAGACTGGGGAGCTTAAACAGATGTTTATTTCTCCTAGATCTGGAGACTATAAGTCCAAGGTCAGGGTGCCAGCATGATCAGGTTCTGGTGAGGGTCCTCTTCCTGGCTTATAGCCAAGGCACCTTCTCACCGAGTCCTCACTTGCTGGAGAGAGAGAGAGGAAGCACACACTCTGGTGTCTCTTCTTATAAGGACGCTAATCCTATCATGGGGGCCCCACCCTCACGATCCCATTTAAACCTAATCAACTCCCCAAGAGCCTTATCTCCAATGCCATCACACTGGGGGTCAGGGATTCACATACGCTTTTTGTTGGCTGAGCATGGTGGCTCCCACTTGTAATCCCAGCACTTTGCGAGGCTGAGGTGGGAGGATCATTTGAGGCCAGGAGTTCAAGACCAGCCTGGGCAACTAAGTGAGACTCTGTCTCTACAAACAAACAAACAAACAAACAAACACCATATGCGAATTTTGGGTGGACACATTCAGTCCATAGCAAGCTCTTTTTCAAGTGCAGTGGAAATCTGCCTTCTACCTTCCACCTCCTTGTTGTGTTTCTTGCTTCTTGATCCCCATGGAATCACCTTCTCTCCCTTCCACATGACAGCCCTGCAAATTCCCAAAGTCAGATACCATTTCTTCATAGACAACCAGGGTCTCGATTGCACCCCAGGGCAGAGTTCTGAATGTTGGAAGGGGGAACCCCACGTTGCAACAACAGTGGACGGCCTAGGCTCCACGGTCTCCACCAGTCCATGCTGCATTCTCTACCTTTATCCACATGCATGGAAGATTTGTCAAGCTGCACTGCATTTCTATATATTTTTAAATAAAATTGTGACTGAAACTGTCTATCAACGCCACTTGAATCACTTAATACAAGAACCTCCGTGAAAATTCCCTGCTGGAGGGCAATTTCAGGAAGAAGCTTAGTCGGATTCGTGTATACTAATAGTAGTAATAACAGTACAAGCCACCATGTCTTCAATGCCTACACTGTGTGCCAGGCACCATTCCAGGGGCTTGGCAATGACCCCACGGGATGGGTAGTATGACCCTTACTTTGCAGGTGAGAAACTGAGGCCCCTGGTCACACAGCTGGAAAGCGATAGGACCAGGATTGGAACTGAGCTCTGTGGAACTCAAAGCCCTATGTCCCTAATCATCGAGTGCACTGTCATGCCTTCTGTTGTGGAAAAAACATGCTCGACGTGATGGAATGTGCTCCGTTTGGCTTCATGTGGCAGAAATTGAGCAAGGGTTAGAATCTGTTTAAACCAGGGGCCTGAGAGTTGCTACACTTTTCTTCAGACTATGCTTTATGCAACCCTTATTTTTATTTTATTTATTTTTTTTTTTGAGACAGGCTCTCACTCTGTCACCCAGGCTGGAGCACAGTGGCACAATCACAGCCTCAACTTCCTAGGCTCAGGTGATCCCCCACCTCAGCCTCCCAAGTAGTTGGGACTACAGGTGCACACCACCATGCCCGGCTAATTTTTTTTATGTTTTGTAGAGATGGGGTTTTACCATATTGCCTAGGCTGGTCTTGAACTCCTGGGCTCAAGAGATCTGCCCGCCTTGGCCTCCCAAAGTGTTAGGATCACAGGCATGAGCCACTATGCCCAGCCCTTAAATACCTTGTTTCACCTTGCGTGCAATCCGCCAGATACCTTCAAATCACTTGGAAGGAGACAGGGTACAACTACTGAAGAAAGTAAAACACTTCTTCCACTTAGAGTTTAAGCTGAGCAAAGCAGAGATCTTCAGGGTGCCTGAATCTTGGATGCATTCCTAAGGGCTGTGTTGCCTCATCCCCAGACTCCTGACCCACTCATCTGTCCATCCGTCCATCCATCTGTCCATTCATTCATCTATCCAACCATCTATCTATCCATCCATCTATGCATGCATGCATGCATCCATCCATCCACCCATCCATCCATCCATCCATCCATCCATCCATCCATCCATCCATCCATCCTCAGCCATCTGTCCATCTGTTTGTTCATCCAACCATCCAGCCAAGATTTGTTTGGTGTCTACTGGGTGCCTCTAAAAGTAGAGTTACCCCAAGACATTTGAAGGCCTCCTGTCTGCGGACATTTCCCTAGAACCATGCCCACAATATGGCATTAACATCTTTGCTATCTAGCTGAGGACACTTAGCTCTAATAGTCCTATTTGTGACTTGTCAGGCTTAGCCTCGTCAACCACAGAAAGGTTCTGCTCCTTCTTAAAAGATACCAGAAAAAAATCCTTCCTGGTCATTATTCCAATAAGATAAAAGGGGAATAACAACACCAAACCTCGTTGCAGTACACTCCACCCCGATGGGCCGAGGACACCAAACATCTGAGTGTGTCCCCAGCTTCCCTGGCAGTAACTCAGAAGTTGTTCAACAGCCTATATTAATGAGCAATAAAGTACTGACGGGCACTGCATGGACGGCTCAGCAAAGGACTTAATTTGCAACCGAGCACAAAATCAAAGACTGTCAACCGAGGAACCATGTGGCTGGATAAGCACCTTGTGCTACCTGAGAAAGCACTGTCAGGTAAATTTCCAGAGAAAGTAATTAAGGAATCCCCATTGTCTAAATTCAGCAGTAAAATTTGGAGCTCTGGAATTTGATGCTCACCAGGGAGCTGGTGTCTCCTCCCAGCCCAATCCTTCATCAGAATGAAGAGTGGAGGCTTAGGAAGGGATCAGCTGACGTGCCTCCCGCCCTTTCCCTAACACACCCCCCAGCCCTGTGTGGTCCTGCATGTGTTGTCTTGTCAGAGAAGCAGAAAGCAGCAAATGAGATCTCCGCGTTGTGAGATGGGGGTGAGATTAATATACAAACATATAGACCTGAGATCTGGCAAGTGCCAATTAATATTTATCAAGCACCCACGGCGTACACGATACCGAGAATCAACATGCAAAACATACAGTCCCTGGCATCAGGCAATCTCCACTCCGAGTCACACTCAGGTTCCGCGCACAGATAGATGATCCGTGTGCTTGGAGGCACCTGCCCCGGTGGGAGAACCCACCAGGAGTTTAAGTTAATATTGATACAAGCGCCCTCTTCATACTGAGACAATGTAGGATTCTCAAGCAGGCATCGTCAGCACCCTGGCCTCCACTGGGGGAACCCTGATGAGACACTACCCCAGATCTCTAGGGGCCGTCCCATTCACAAAGACACCTCAGCAGGGCCTCCGTCGACACAGTCCCTTCACTAACTTCTTCTTAGTCTTCACGATAAAAGAAAAAGTCCTCCTCCCCACTGAAGATCAGGCTCTGCTGTGACCTCCCCTGTCCTGATATTTCTAAGCGGGGGTGGGCAGGTTGTGGCAGGACCCCTCCAGAAGAAAGAGCTGAGCAGCCTCCCATCATCTGGGTTCTGCAAAGAAGGGAGGACCCCCTCCCCGGCGGCTCAGCTTGTCAGGGCCTTTGTTGACAACCCCATTGAAAGCGGCCTCACTGTCTTTGTGAAGTTTCCTCCATCTCCCATTCACTCCTTTCTCAGGCAGTTTTTGAAAGGTGAAAAGTCTGGAAAACACACACACACTCTCTCCCACCCCACCCCCCGAGCCCCATCACACAGAGGGAGAGGGGGGTGGCAGCTTGGGGGAGCCGGGCTGACGAGCCCCTCACCTGGCCCCGCGGTGCACCGCCTCCAATTAAATCAAAATGGTTTGTTTTTAATGGTCTTTTACACTGACAAGTGGGCGATCATTTTGGGCCCACGAGCTGTCAGGGAACTGAGGCAAATCCTCCGTTGATAATGCCCAATGCTTCCAATTAGGAGCCGAGGCCGCTCCTGGCGCGCTAACGATTCCCCAGCCAGCCCCCAGGCCCCTTTGGCGCTGGCTGTTTCTTCCGCCTCCTCCACCGCAAATTACTGACACAAAACGGAAGGCCCCGCGTCTCCTTCGCCACGCCAGGCCCGGGCCCTGTTGGGTTTAATGAGCCGATGGAAGTTTCGTGGCTCCGGCGCTAAATTCTTTTCTTGTTTGACAGCTGCTCGGCTAAGGCAAGTGTTGACCTTATAAAAGATTTAGTGTTTCTCATTATTTTCTGTCAAGCTTCACAAGCGATGGCGCGGCGGTTATCATTTGCATCCTGGGGTGTGTGTGTGCAGGGTGTGTGTTGGGTGCGTGTGTTGGACAGGGGCTCCAAGGTGCAGACGGGAAACGGGAAGGGGTCTTTCCCTCTCCCCAAGTTGTCCCTGGCCCCTGCACAGCAGCTGCCAGCGTGAGGTTCTTGCTGGGCCCAGGTGTTTCAAAGAGAAGGCAAGATGCAAGTCCAAGGTGATGGATGCTTCCACGGCTTCCCGGCCTCCCGGTGGAACCAGAGCCACCGCCGTGGGGGCACGGGAGGAAGCCCAGTGCGCACCGAAGTCGGTCGACTCTCAGAGCCTGCTGGGCCCAGCACAGCCAGGGATGAGCGCTGGGCAGCAGGACAGTCCCAGCCAGACTCAAGGCTGAGGACGGTTTTAGGGTCAAGCTCAAGATTTAATCAGGGACCTCACTCTTGCCTCAAAACCCTGGTTAAGGCAGTTTCCCAAAAGCTTCCTCCTTTTGCTCTACACCTGGAGAACCGATTTTTTCCAAGTGGCTGGCATTATTCTCCCCAAGCTGACTATGGGAACTTTGTCAGTCCTTACTTTGTTCTGGCACCCCATGCAAATCGAGGCCACTTGGTAACTCACAAGGCTGCCGGGAGTCCATGCGGCACCTTCCCCAGCCCCTACCGGCCTCCTCATTTCTTTTCTTTCCATCTCTGCATCCTCCCCTTGCTCCAACCTACCTGCTGGCTACCCCAGGAACGGGTGACCTGAGGTTGCATAAAGAGTGACAGAGTCAAGGGCAGAGGAACGTGTAGATGTCTCCTCCCCCGGTTCTGAGTTTATAAGCATCACTGATACCATGGGAGACTCCATGTTGATCTTTTAGAGTGAAAACCTGGCACTCCACCTCCCTCCCGTGCCCACGGCAGACCTTACTAATCAATCGTTGTGTACTTTTTTCACCTGCCTAGGTTCAGCCTTAGAATATTTTGTAACAGAGGTTGGCCATCAGCTACCACCAGTCTATTAGAGCCAAGTAAAATGAAACAGTACTGCCATCCCTGCCTTAGAGAGGTCATGAAAATAAATTGCTATAGGTATTCCTAAAATTGCTTATCTTTTTATGCTACATTAAGATGATATTTATAGAAAAGGAAATAAAATATATAGCCCACTACATAGAAATAAATAAATTAGACTTCACCAAACTTTGAAAGCTTTTGTGCTTCAAACGATACTATCAAGAAAATAAAAAGACAACCAGCAGAATGGGAGAAAATATTTGTAAATCATATGTCTGACAAGAGACTTGTGTTGATGAATATATAAATTACTCTTATAAGCCAGTAATAAAATCCAGGTGTGGTGGCTCATGCCTGTAATCCCAGCACTTTGGGAGGCAGAGGCGGGAGGATCACCTGAGGTCAGGAGTTCAAGACTAGCCTGGCCAACGTGGTGAAACCCCATCTCTACTAAAAATATAAAAATCAGCCAGGCGTGGTGGCAGGCGCCTGTAATCCCAGCTACTCAGGAGGCTGAGGCAGGAGAATCACTTGAATCCAGGAGGCAGAGGTTGCAGTGAGCCGAGATTGCACCATTGCATTCCAGCCTGGGTGACAAGAGTGAAACTCTGTCTCAAAATAAATAAATAAATAAAAATAAGGACGGGTGCGGTGGCTCACGTCTGTAATCCCAGCACTTTGGGAGGCTAAGATGGGCAGATCACCTGAGGTCGGGAGTTCGAGACCAGCCTGACCAACGTGGTTGAAACCCCGTCTCTACTAAAAATATAAAAATTAGCCAGACGTGATGGCACGCACCTGTAATCCCAGTTGCTCAGGAGGCTGAGGCAGGAGAATCACTTGAACTGAGGAGGCAGAGGTTGCAGTGAGCTGAGATTGTGCCATTGCACTCCAGCCTAGGTGACAGAGCAAGACTCTGTCTCAAAAAAAAAAATCAGTAATAAAAAGATAAATAACTCAATTTAAAAATGGGTGGCCGGGCACAGTGGCTCACGCCTGTAATCAGCACTTTGGGAGGCTGAGGTGGGTGGATCATGAGGTCAGGTGATCGAGACCATCCTGGCTAACACGGTGAAACCCGATCTCTACTAAAAATACAAAAAAATTAGCTGGGTGTGGTGGCGGGCATCTGTAGTCCCAGCTACTCGGGAGGCCGAGGCAGAAGAATGGCATGAACCCGGGAGGCGGAGGTTGCAGTGAGCCGAGATCGCGCCACTGCACTCCAGCCTGCGCGTCAGAGTGAGACTCTGTCTTGCAAAAAAAAAAAAAAAAAAAAGGCAAAAGATAGGAACAGACATTTCTCCAAAGGAGATAAACAAATAAACACATGAAAAGATGCTCAACAACATCATGAGCCATCACGGAAACACAAATCAAAATCACAATGAGATGGGACTTCACTCCCCCTACAACGGCTAGAATAAAAATGACAGACAACAACAAGTGTTGGTGAGGATATGGAGAAATTGGAACACCCATACGTGCTGGTGGGAATCAAAAATGGTACAGCCAAGTTGGAAACACTTTGGCAGTTCTCCAAAAGGCTAAACATAGAGCTCCCGTATCACCCAGAAATTCTACTCTTAGGTATACACCCAAGAGAAATGAAAACATACATCCACACAAAAACTGTACATGAATGTTCTAGAAGCATTACTCATAATAGTCAAAAGTGGAAACAACCCAAGGTCCATCAACTGATGAATGGGTAACAAAAATGTGGTCCATCCATACAAAGGAATACTATTCCCTGGAAAGGAATGAAGCGGTCCTCTGTGCTATAACGTGGATGAACCTTGAAAACATGATGCTAAGGGAATGAAAGCAGCCAGTCACAAAAGACCTCACATTGTATAATTCCATTTATATGAAGAGTCCAAAATAGGGAAAGCCACACCAACAGGAAATAGATTAGTGGTTGCCAGAGGCTAGGGAAGAGGAATAGGAGTGACTGCTAATGGCTATAAAGTTTCTTTTGGGGGTGATGAAATGTTCTAAACTTAGGGTGTGGAGGTGGGTTGTACAATCCTAAGAACAGGCTAAAATTGGTGAGGTTTATGGTATGTGAATTATATCTCAATAAAGCTGTTTTTAAAAAGAGTCACTTTAAAAAATAGCCCAGTTGGATGAGATGAGTGATCATCGCCTAGATTCTGACTTTAGGGGCCAGAACAGGGTGATAATTGGCCACCAAGGTCTGGCCTCAGACGAGGGGAGTCTGCTGTGTCCTCCACTACAACTCTCATTCACCTGCAGCCTATTGAGCTTACAAGCTGAAGAAGCTTAGGAGCTGACCTGAGGTTTATGGAAAGTTCACACACACACCCCACCTTGGGACTGGTGTTACCCAATTATTTTGCTCCTAGCGTCTAGCAAACAGCTTCATTGTTCAATTTTGATTTCAACTGCTGCTGACTGGCCTTCGCTAATCCTTGCGAATGACCTGGAGCCATTGGTATGGCTTCTCGAAGGAGCAAATCGATTCTCATTTTCAAAGGCACAAATGCCTAGCTTTCCTTCTGCTCCGGTAAGTCCCGCAGCCCTGCAGTCAGTCCATGGAGCACAGCTCTGCATTCCAGTTGGGGCTCTGTCACTTAGTAGCTGGGTGTCCTTGGGCCGGTGTCGTATCCTTCCTGAGCTTCAGTCTCCTCCTTTGTCAAACCAATGGTCCCCCGCCCCATCCCCTCAAGGTCGCTGCTCCTCCCCATTCCCTGGGCACGGTTCACTGAGAGTGGTGCCGGTGCCATTTGAGAACCTACATTAGACCTTGCAGGAAGGCAGGAAGTTTGTTTTCCAAGCAGAGCTTGGCTGTTCTTTGAAATCGCAGCATGTGTCAGCAGGGAGGGTCGGGTCCTGTGTCCTTGCTCATCTATTTTTGGACCACAGAGAAATGAGAGCCAGTGGCAGAATAACAATCTAGGGGACCAGATGTCTCAGGAGAGACTGTTACCCTTGTTAATTACTTAAACGACAACCTGCTACATCAGAGCTGAGGACCCAGCCTGCTCTCCCACGATGTCCTACATGAATCTGTGTTCTACCGGAGCCTCTGACCTCCAGCTGCCCCGAACTTGACAGGAATTACTGACCTGGGACTGATCCATAATTTTCAAGTGCCTCTCATTAGAGGAGACAGCCTCTCAATCTTTTAAAGCAAAATCTCTCTCCCAGTCACCTGAGCAGTTGTCACTTAAAAACTAATCTAAAATCTCTATGCCTGTCATTATTTTTTTTTTTTAGCTCTTTGGCAGATTTTATTTTTTTAAATCTGTTTTCCCCCCCCAAATCCTCCCTTTTGCCTTGTTAGTCTCCAGACCTGGCACTGGAAGCTTGGTGTTTAGTTAGGGGACCTTCGTGTGGCCAGTGCGTGGGGAGGGGGCGTCTGCTGGCTCAGCTGCCCTGGCAGTGGGACTGGGTCAGGGACCTGGACTCAGAAAGTGCTGTGGAAAAGCTGATTGACCTGTGAATTTGTACAGCGCCAGATTTGGTTTCTTCTGGCCATTGAGGTGCATGTACACACACACACACACACACACACACACACACACACACACACACACACACACACACACCCCCTCCATGTGTCTCTGGGATGGGTTCGCAAGCAACAGCAAGGCATAACAGTGGACAAAAGGCTCAAGACAAAACACACGGCTCCTGCCCTGCCCTCCCAACAAGAAGAGCCCCAGGGCTGTGGCTGCCTGAACCCCCCACCTGTGGCAGAGGCGTCGGGTGGAGGCAGTAAGAAGGCAAGGAAAGAGGGAAGGGGAAGAAGGCAAAGGCAGCCCGCTTTTCAGCTTGTGGACCAGAGCCATTCAACCCAGCAGAAGGCTGGTGCCGCCTCGCAAGGAGGAACGGCCAATGCCTCATCTCCAGGTAGAGCCTCTGCGTCTTGGATATTTTCTCAGGCATGGAGGTGAATTTACGCCCCCATGAAGCTGGATAAGCCCAACTGGAGGGGCCATCGGGAAGTCACATACGTAAGCCAACGTCACCCACCACTGGCGGCTACGGTTCCTGTGGCAAAACTTTGTAATCAAATTTGGAATCCTGCCCACATCTCCAATAAGGGAAACTCATAAAACAGTTATCCTTTCTAAACTGTGTGTGGCACGAGGAGGCCCTCCCTCACCCCAGGTCACCTCCCACAAATGCAGTTTGAACCCACATTTGTGTTCTCATATGAAAAAGAGGAAAAGGCAATAGTCCCATAGAAATAAAACTGAAATCCTCTCTGCTTCCCTCCCTGGGCTCACTCTCCTCCCTCCCAGAGGCAGAGCCTGGCGTGACCTCTGAGAACATTCTTTTCCTTCCGCCCCTTTCTGTCTAAGCAGATTCACACATATGCTGGAGCTAAACAGGGAAGCGTTTTGTATGTTTTTTATTTTTTTCATATCAAGGAAATCATGCTTAGGTTCCATTCTGTAAATTTTTTTTCATGCAACGTTGGGTTTTTGAGATTCATGCACATTGGTTCTGATAGACCTGGAACAACACTGTCTAATATAACTTTCTGATAAAAATGTTCTACATCCACCTGTCCACTGCAGTAGCCACTGGCCACTCAGGGCCATTGAGCACTTGTTTTTGTTGTTGTTGTTTTTGTTTTATTTTATTTTTTTTTTTTGAGACAGAGTCTCGCTCAGTCTCCCAGGCTGGAGTGCAGTGGCACAATCTCAGCTCACTGCAACCTCCGCCTCCCAGGTTCAAGCGATTCTCCTGCCTCAGCCTCCTGAGTAGCTGGGATTGCAGACACGCACCACCACACCCAGCTAATTTTTGTATTTTTAGTAGAGACAGGGTTTCATCATGTTGGTCAGGATGGTCTCAAACTCCTGACCTCGTGATCTGCCTGCCTCAGCCTCCCAAAGTGCTGGGATTACAGGTGTGAGCCACCCCACCTGGCCGCAATTGGGGTTTTTTTGGCTTTTTTTGGTTTTGTTTTTAGAGACAGCACCTCACTCTGTCACCTAGGCTGGAGTGCAGGGGTAAGATCATGGCTCACTGCGGCCTCCACCTCCTGGGCTCAAGCAATCCTCCCCCTCAATCTCCTGAGTACCTGGGACCACAGGTGGATGCAACCATGCCCTGCTAAAATTTTTTCTGTAGAGATGGGGTCTTGCTATGTTGTCCAGGCTGCTCTCGAACTTCGAGTTTAAGCGATTCTCCTGCCTCAGCCTCCCAAAAAGCTGCAGTTACAAGTGTGAGCCACTGCACCCGGCCTATTGAGCACTTGGTATGTGGTTGGTGCAACTGAGGAACGAAGTTTCAGATTTTATTTAATTTTAGTCCACTGACATTGAAAGAGCTGCATGTGGCTGGGGGCTGCCATGTTGGGTGGGGCCTGCCATGTTGGGTGGGGCCTCTCTGGAGTGTCCACTGTAGTGGATGCAAGGTGTTCCACCCTCTGAATTCACCACCCTTCATCCGAGCAGGCCCCACTGATGGACATGCAGTTGTTCCCGGCATTTATTGACATGGTACTACCGTGAGGATTCCTCATGCACATCTCTTAGTGGACATTTCTGAGAATTTCTGCAGGGCATGTATGTAAACGTGGACTCGTTGGTTCGTAGGGTGTACATGTGGCCAGCCTTTCTGGCTATGCCAAGTCTCTCTAAAGAGGTTGTACGAATGAACACACTCGCTGGTAGTGCATGGAAGTTCCCGTTTCTCATGTCAGACTCCTTCCCGTTATTACCAATCCGATGTGTGTGTAATGCTTATTCTCTTGCTTAATGTGCTATTCCCTGATGATGCGCTGGGTTGAGCATACTGTCCTGTTTTTTGGCCACTCAGATTTCCCCTCTGGAAACCACCTGTTCCTTTCTTCTGCCCTTTCTTCAGCTGTGGGACCCCAGCACCAGCTACTCTTTCTCTTTGAGTATCTGCTTGTGTGCTATTTCCTCAGGGAAGCCTTCTCTGGCCTCAATCAGAGTTGGAGTCTCTGTATCATAAGCTCTTACAGAACCTTGTACTTCTTTTAATACACAATTCTAATTGAAGAATTCGTTGTGTGATTTTATTTTTATTAGTAGTTTCTCACTCTATCTCAGGGACTAGCCCCATCTCTGATACACAATGGATGGTCAATAAATAAGCATTGAATAAAATCATGAATACATAAATACAAGGACAAGGGCCACATCTTAGCCTCAACCCAGGTCCCATGGACATCTTCTCTAGGATAGCACCAGTTCATTCCACATGAGGATTTTTTCATTGAAAGTAGAACAGATTTTTCAAGCAAGAATACAAAGCAAAACCTCAATAAATACCAAAAGGTCTGACTTGTGAGGATTACTTCAGCACCAAAGAAATTGAATTAGAAATCAGTAACAAACCTAACTGATAAAATTGCCTGGAAATGTAAAATCACGCTTATAAATAACTTAGCGATCAAAGGAGAAATCCAAACAGAAATTAGATAGAAATTAGATTAAAAGAGAACTGAGCAAAAACAAATATACTCAAAACTTGTGAGATGAGCTAAAAGAGAATTTAGAGGGAACACAGTTGCTAATGCTGTGTTATATAAATGCTAATATTGGAGAAAAAAAGAAAGATGAAAGGTAATTAGCTAAGCCAACGACTCTAGATGCTAGAAAAAGAACAACAGAGTAAACATTAGTGAAATGTCAAAGGTACAATTAAGGATATCAATCAAATGAAAAGTTGGTTCATTGCAAGTGGATTGGAAAAGCACAGATGCTTTCAAATGAGTTAGAAAATGGGGCCCACCGCTCTAGATGCGGGAAGCAAAGTGAGACCTCCGTTCAGGGACTGCGGTGCTGAGGAAGGGGCCTGCTGTCTGGCGGCTGGTCTCAGCTCTGCCCAGGACTCACGGGAGACCTGGGAGGGTCACTTCTCACCTTCGGGCCTTGGGTTTTCCATCTGTAGTATGGGAGAGTTAGATTCGATATCACTAAGGTCTCTTCCAAACCTAACTCTCTGGGAATATTTTATTCTGATCCAGTAGCAGGGAGGAAAAGGATGTTATCCCAGGAGGGAACTATGATTCCTAGGCAGATGGAGTAGAAATCTCTTCTAGGATCTAGTAGCTGCTCATCTCCCCTGCCACATCCTGCTGCCCATAACAGCAATGGCTCGCTTTCATTTCCTGGAATTCACCCCCATTCCTCCTTTGCCCCTTCCTTTGCCCCTGGCTTGCTCCTTCATCCTCCCCAGAGAGCCCTTCCTGAGCCCCAGATGGAGGTAGATTTCCCCAGTCCACAATCTTATTAAATAGCTCTTGTCGGCCTGGTGCCGTGGCTCACGCCTGTAATCCCAGCACTTTGGGAGGCCGAGGTGAGTGGATCACCTGAGGTCAGGAGTTCCAGAGCAGCCTGGCTAACATGGTAAAACCCCGTCTCTACTAAAAATATAAAAAATTAGCTGGGCGTGATGGCAGACACCTGTAATCCCAGCTACTCGGGAGGCTGAGGAAGGAGGATCGCTTGAACCCGGGAGGCAGAGTTTGCAGTGAGCTGAGATCACACCACTGCACTCCAGCCTGGGCAACGAGAATGAAACCCCTTCTTAAAAAAAAAAAGAAGATAGCTCTTGTCTAAATGTCACAAACAATCACATGTACAGTGTGTTTAGTGACCGCTTCCCAAGATGTCTCCCTGGGTCCATGTGGGCTCTGCCTTCCTGGCAGGTGTGTTTCCAGGGCACTGCATGGCAGCGCTCTGTCCTTATTTCTGCGATGCCATTTAGATTTGTGCAATGCTCCCCATTCTAACAGGACCAGCTCCTTCGCCAACCGGGATAAAGCCTCCCGCTCGCCCGGCTCCCAGGGCTGCTGGCGGCTGTGGCACTTGCCTCTTATTTACCTGCATTGACCTTAGAGCAGCTCAGAGCTCCATTCAGCAAAGCTGTCTCCTGCCAAAGCCATTACAATTTCTTAGCTCCAGGCAGAGACAGACCGCAGATGGCTTAATTTAGAAGCATCTCAGAAGGAATTCCTTGCTCCACAGCTCTTCATCCTTTGACTCCAGGGGTCCACAGGGTCGTGACCACAGAAGGGCTTGAGGCCTGACTTGTAGTCAGGCTCCTCATGTGTGGCTGGGCTGCTTGGAGAGGGGGGAGCGTGCATGTGCGGCGGAGCCATGACCTTGCAGCCAGCGACTTTTGCTTCATGGACTCCATGAGCATTTAATAAGAGGCAATGGAGCTCGTGACGAAGGGCTTGGGGCCTTGAGTCTTGCAGCCCTGGGTTCAATCGCTGAAATGAAGCAAATGACTTAACCTTCTGGGACCTCCACTTTCCCATCTGTAAAATGGAGACAACGATGGTGCCGGCCTCCTCCGGGCGTTCCAAGGCTTGTGTGAAATAAATGCACAGCGCCCAGCAAATAAGCAGGTCTGTTCTTGTCCTAGCATTGCTGTTGACAAGGGGCTCAACATGCCAGTTCTGGCCTCCAGGACAAATTTTGCAGAGAGGCACCCAGCTACGAGGCCCGTTGAGGACTGGAACTCCCCTCTCCACAGACAACTGTTTTTTTGGTTAGGGATTTGGAGACTTTGTGGGTACAGAATAGGCCCCATCTCCCTTCTCTTTCTAAAGGGCCCATCCCACCTGAGGTGGACACTTTTGCTCGAGTTCGCTTTCAGTAGAGTCTGCCAGGCCCAGGCACTAAGCATCTCCTTTGGTTTTCGCCTCCAGACTCCGCCTCGCTGGGGCCCCTCTGGCCTCTGCGGATCTGTTTCCCTCCTGTTCTCTCCCTTCCCACCTCCCTCATCACAGTCCTTCCAGGGCACATTCAAGTCCCTCCTGGCATGAGAAGTCCTTGCTGGCCGCTGGAGGCCAGACAGATTGTCTCGATTTCCTTCACTCATCATTCATTCATACATTTGGGGGCCCACCCGACCTTCTTTAAACACTTCTCAAATGCCAGGTTCTGTGCCAGGCACTGGGAGTCCTTCAGGGAACAGGCCACGAGCAGACCCTGCTTCATAGAGGAGGAGCCCTTCCTTGAGCTCCCTTCTGGGATGAATTCACTCCGTGAGATTCCAGTTGGAATGGGATGTCATCCACATCAGACACCACAGGTGACATGCGCTCTGCCTCTCCCAGTGTCGGCACACAGCAGGTGCCAAAATGTGTGTGGTTAGTCATTGGGAGGAGCCTCTTGTGCCCAAAACACCCCTTTAGAAAACCAAGGGGAATATGGAACTTGGAACTCTGAAGTGCAAGGGGTGTGTGCTTAGCAGCTGCTGGCACACAGTAGGTACTTAATAAATATTTTTTAGATGGATGGATGGATGAATGCTTCTGCTTCAGCGAAGTTTCTAAGTAAACGGCGACTGCGAAAAAGAAAATTTCTCACCATGGTTCTCCTTTTGTCCTTGTGTGGTTAGACTGAGCAGCTCCTTAGGGCTTCAATCCTCCAGCCACCTTCTTGGGGTATGGGATGAGTGGGTGCTGGTGAGCCTCCTGCCACCAGCAGGGCCAGCCACAGCCCCACCCACCATCGCTGCATGCTGATTTGCCCAGGGAATGGCTTGAGGGCTGTATTAGCTTCTAGAGGCTGCTATAACAAATTGTCACAAACCTTGGTGGCTTAAAACCATAGAAATGTTTGTTTTCACAGTTCTGGAGGCCAGACCAACAAAATCAAAGTGTCGTCAGGGCCACATTCCCTGGAAGGCTCTAGGGACAATCCTCCCTGCCTCCTCCAGCTCCTGTGGGCTCCCGATGCTCCTTGGTTGTGGCCACATCGCTCTCATCTCTGCCTCTGTCTTCACATGGCTGTCTCCTCTGTGTCTTCTGTTGCTACTAAAGATGCTTGTGATTGGATTTAGGGCCCATCTGAATAATCTAGGATGATTTCATCTCGAGATCTTTAATTATATCTGCAAAGACCCTGTTTCCAAATAAGGCCACATTCTCAAGTTCTGGGGGTTAGTACATGGACCTATCTTTCTGGGAGTCATGGTTCAGCTCACTACAAGGGCCGAGGAGGAAGGAATGGACAGGGCTGAGAGGTGGTCTGCAGAGCTATACTCCCCTATGAAGAGCCATGGGCACCCAGAGAAGCAGAGAGAAGCAAGGTGGCTGCCAGGGACTTGGAAATGGGAGCTGCTATTCAAGGGGTATAGTTTCATTTACGCAAAATGAATACTCTCTAGAGACCTGCTGTACAACGCTGTGCCTAGAGTTAATAATAGTGCATATACAGCTGGGCGCTGTGGCTAACGCCTGTAATCCCAACACTTTGGGAGGCCGAGGCGGGTGGATCACCTGAGGTCAAGAGTTCCAGACCAGCCTGGCCAACAAGGAGAAACCCCGTTTCTACTAAAAATACAAAAAATTAGCCAGGCATGGTGGCAGGCGCCTGTAATTCCAGCTACTCGGGAGGCTGAGGCAGGAGAATTGCTTGAACCCGGGAGGTGGAGGTTGCAGTGAGCCGAGATCACACCATTGCACTCCAGCCTGGGCAACAAGAGTGAAACTCCGCCTCAAAAAAAAAAAAAAAAAAAATAGTGCGTATACTATACTGTGCACTTGAAAATGCTGCTAAGAGATCAGATCTCATGTTAAGGGTTCCCACCAAAAAAATCTCCAATAAACAAAACAGCAAAAAACCAACTGGGCATGAGGAAGCTTTGGAATAGATTTTTTTTTGGAGACAGAGTCTCTGTCCCATAGTCTGGAGTGCAGTGGCATGACAATGGCTCATTGCAGCCTCAACCTCCCAGGCTCAATCAATCCTCCCATCTCAGCCTCCCAAGTAGCTGGGACTATAGGCATGTGCCACCATGCCTGGCTAATTTTTGTATTATTTGTAGAGACAGGGTTTCACCATGCTGCCTAGGCTGGTCTCTAACTCCTGGGCTCAAGCAATCCACCTACCTTGGCCTCCGAAAGTGCTTGGATTACAGGTGTGAGTCACCTTGTCTGGCCGTTGATGGCTATTTTTGATTGTAGTGATGGTTTCAGGGCTATTTGCATATGCCCAAACTCATCAAATTTTACACATTAAATACAGGTTTTGCAGGTTAGGTAGATCAATCATACCTCAACAAGGCTGTTACAAATATCTTTCAGAAAAGTAAAATTAATTTTGGGAGGCCAAGGGAGGAGGATCACTTGAGGCTAGGGGTTCCAGACCACCCTCAACATATTGAGACCCTCCCCCCATCTCTACAAAAAATTACAGAAATTAGCTGGGCATGGTGGCGCACAGCTGTAGTCCTAGCTACCTGGAGGCAAGGCAGGAGGATCCCTTGAGCCCGAGAGTTTGAGGCTGCAGTGAGCCATGGTTGTGCCACTGCACTCCAGCCTGGGTGACAGAGTGAGAACCTGATGGGGGCGGAGGGTGGTAGGGGGGAAAAGGAAAATTCTTATAGTGACATTGTAACAACATGGATAGTTGTTTTCACATACTAAACATTTTGCAAAGCTGAATATAAATAGTTATTATTACTATTTGAAAAATATGCCTGTGTTCTAAAAAACAAATGAAAAGACACCATTGGTGACTGGCCACCAGAGACAGCACAATTGCCAATCTGGATGCCACTGAAGGCCAGGGGTGCCTCAGGTCCAAGCCGGCTGGACACCAGGGTGGCTGCATGCCCCCGAGACCCCAAGGTCTGATGCACCTGTCTTCCTAAGTGTCTCTAGCTGCCCTTTTTTTTTTTTTTTTTTTTTTTTTGAGACGGAATCTCGCTCTGTTGTCCAGGCTGGAGTGCAGTGGCACAATCTCGGCTCACTGCAACCTCCGCCTCCTGGGTTCAGGCGATTCTCCTGCCTTAGCCCTCCCTGTAGCTGGGACTACAGGCACCCACCACCACACCCAGCTAATTTTTGTATTTTTAGTAGGGATGGGGTCTCGCCATGTTGGCCAGGCTGGTCTCAAACTCCTGACAAGTGATCCGCCCACCTTGGCCTCCCAAAGCACTGGGATTACAAGTGTGAGCCACTGCTCCCAGCCTCTAGCTGCCTTTTAGGAGCCATGGGCCTCAGGAAGATCGTGTCACAGTGTAAACATCAGGCCACCACTTGCCAGAAGGTCACAAAGGTGTCACTAGAAGCCCTTTGTCCACAGACTATTTTCCTCCTGCACACTGTGCAAGGCCTTCTCTCTTCTCAGTGTGTCTTGTGAGGCTACTTGGACATTTTTCCGAAACATTGAGATTGAGCTGAGGGCACAATCATGGTTTGATTGATGGAGATCAGTTGCACAGCAGACATGCAGCCCTGGGTCCAGGTGGGCACTGGGTAACTATGCTACGCGCTCTGACCTGAGGGGCTCAGTAGCTTTTGGGCTGGGCTCAGGCCTCTCCCTTGGTTGCAAGAGCCCCAATGCGATTCTGAGGCAAAACCAAAAAATCTGAAACCCGAGGCTGGGGCTGGGACTACGACTGGTGCTGCGGCTGGGCTGAGGCTGGACAGCTCTGAGAAATGCTGCCATGGAGGGTCCCTAGAGGGACTTGCAAAGGGCCCTGAAACCTCCTAAATCACCTGCACTGTTTTTTATGTAAGCACTTGTGGGCATTTTTTTTTCCCAGAGGAAAAGGGCCCATGGCTTTCCAAAGAGCATCCCCAAGGGGTCCACATCCGCTAGAAGGTGAAGAACATGGTTATTCCTGGAAGAACGGAGTCTCTGGTCACCATTTGATTTTTATGGGTTTCTAACAACGCTCCACAGCCCCCTGCCTTCTTTCACCTCAGCAAGTGAGGTGTAGGCAGCACCCTAGACACAGCATGAGTGGCAGCTGTGACACAATATTCTAGAAAGAATCCAGAACTTAAGAGTCCAGAGGTTGGGGGTCACCAATTCCCTATGGGGGCAGCCCTGAACCACACTCTGCCCTAGGCCTCTGTTCCCTCGTCTGTGAAATGATAAACACAGTCCGAGGGGGATTCCACGTGGCCCCGAGCACAGAGACTTTCCCTACAAGCCCCTCCTTATCTTCCCTCTACCCCCTTTTAATATTTCATCCTCTCTCCCCACATTTTTCTTCTTCTGTCACCTTTCTTCACCCTAACCTGCAGCGCCGTGGGCTTAGCTAACCACTCCGGGGTGGTCAACCCTGGCCTGGATTCTCGACAAGCACCCTGTGGCTGTCCTAGGCATGGGTCCTGCTTTATCCTGAACCCACTGCAGAGCCTTTGGCTGCTCCTGCAAATCCAAACAGGACCTGCCCTGCCCACCCTCTACCTGGCCGCCGCATCCCCTCACAAAGTTGAGCTCTCTTGGACCCCAGGGCCAGCAGCCACGCTACCCCCCTTTGCCCTGGAATCCCAACCCATCCTTCGAGACCCCCTGTATGCATCTCTTCCCCAGGACCCACCCAATTTGTTCTCACTGCGCACTCCCCAGCCTTCTGTCCATTGTAATGAAATAGCTGTGTAGTTACTGCTGGATGTCTGCTCTCCCTCTAGAATAAAAGCTCCACGAGGGTAGAGCCGAGTCTCTCTGGTTTACTGCCATATCCCCCACATCTGACACAGAGTTGTGTTCAATAAACATGCATTTCACGAATTAACAGATGGATAGAAGCCCAGATGCAGGAATGAGCACGTGAGCCCAAACCCTTTCCACCCTGTGCCGCCCTTAGGTTATCCCAAAGGAGAAATGCTGAGGCAGGAGGATGTTGTGCTGTTAATGGGATGGATTTTGTAGCACTTGGAGGTGATGTAACAGACACAGTGGACACCAGGAGGCGAGGCGGGGTCTTCACCCACCACCATTTCTTGAGAAGAAAGGGCAGGCTGAGATACCGATTGCACAAAATCTTAACTGAAGAGGCTCCCACTCTTTGAATCTGTCTCCCTTGCATTTTTTTTTTTTTTTTCTGATTTATTCTTGAGCTCTGGTTCTGGTGATATTGAAGTTCAGCTCTTGACTCCTGTGGTGGCTGCCACCAGAGAGGAGGGAAGTGATCTAATTCCCAGCAAGGGAGTGCAGACAGGGTCAGGAGGTCCCCCTTGGAGAGGGTGGCTTGTTTGGGGTTTTTAATGGTGGAAAAGTAGTGCATGAAGGACACTGGCTACTAGGTCCCATTGCGTGGTCGTCTGGTCATGGCCTGGTGATTTTTGTTCTGCCTGTATCTTCCCCAGCAAGGAGCTGGACAGAAGGACGAACAGTTCCCCCAGGTAGCCCCTGCTCTCTGCCTCGTGGCTCAGCACCAGGAGGCTCACAGCACTTGCTGTGACTTCCTCCCTCTTACAGCTATTTTTATCATTATTCTAAGATTGAAGCAGGGGGCAGGCGAGGGGAGCAACTGGAATGAGCTACACTGAAGTCTCCCCTCACCCACCCACTCTTCCCTTCTATCCACAGGTGGGCCGCCACCTTGATACGTTCCCCACGGAGGCCGATCGCCAGAGAGCATTAAAAGCCCACCGGGAAGAGTGTGCCGTGCGCCAGGGGACCCTGCGGATGGGCAACTACACCCACCCCTAGCCCCTCCCTCCCCTGCCACAAGAAGCCATCTTGACATAGTGGAAAATTCCCAGAAGGACTCCCTATCTTGCCCCAACCCTGACATTCCCCCATTTTTATGCAGGTTCTGCTTCAAGGAGCTCAGATTCAAGTCTTAGGCTAATTGTTTTTGGTAAAAGTCCCCCCTTTTAGGTTAGCCAACATTAGTCTCCACTTAGCCCCAGTGACCCTCTACCTGGAGCCTCCTCCTCTCCTCCTCCTTCTCCTCCTAGGGCAGGCTCACCCTGCCTCTTCTCAAGCCCTCACCTGCCAAGACAAGCCCAAATTACAAGACAATTTTTTAGACTCCAGGCTAAGGGTCGATTCCATGGCTCTGCCCATTAAGTGTTAAGAACGACCTGTGTATTTGCTGCAGAAAGCATGACAGTGACGTGCTTTGAAAGCCCTCATTTTCTATTCCAAACATGAGTTTTAATTGCTCTTTTTGGGATGCCTGATGTCTCATCACGGCAGTATTATCTCTCTGGGACCTCTGACAGCAGGAAGAGCCAATGGTTCATTACTCGAGCCTGCCCCCGCCTCCTCAGTGCTGGGGCCCCGTCAATCAAGCAGGCCAAGTTGGACTCCTCCCCCAGGACTGACTTTGGAAGGTCAACCCACTCTGGAAAAAGCCTTCCAGGCCAGCGGGTAGACTGCTGAACACAGGCTGCTGAGCTTCTCAGCCGAATTCCTGGACACTTCCTCACTCGGTCTTTCCGTGTGTTCTTTGGATTCTCTCTGAAAATTTTATGCTGATCTATTTTAAATTAAAAATGCTATTTGTCATCCTCCTTTTGTGTCTCCATTTGAAAACCAGTGAGCAAATCAGCCTTAGAGACATCAAATGAGGGTGCTGCCACATAGAGACCTCTCAAGGTAAGCTAACCTCCAAAACATTCCAGCCACACCTTTTTTGAGGGAGGCAAATTTTCAAGTTTTAAATATCATTTCTAATCTAAGGGTTTTTTTTGTTTGTTTGCTTGTTTGTTTTTGAGACAGAGTCTCACTCTGTTGCCAGGCTGGAGTGCAGGGGCGCAATCTCAACTCACTGCAACCTCTGCCTCCTGGGTTCAAGCGATTCTCCTGCCTCAGCCTCCCGAGTTGCTGGGACTACAGGTGCGCACCACCACACCCAGCTAATTTTTGTATTTTTAGTAGAGATGGGGTTTCACCATGTTGGCCAGGATGGTCTTGATCTCTTGACCTCATGATCTGCCCCCCTCGGCTTCCCAAAGTGCTGGGATTACAGGCATGAGCCACCGCGCCCAGCCAAGGATTTCTTTCTTTTTTTTTTTTTTTTTAAACAGAGTCTTGCTCTGCCGCCCAGGCTGGAGTGCAGTGGTGCAATCTCGGCTCACTGCAAGCTCCACCTCCTGGGTTCACACCATTCTCCTGCCTCAGCCTCCTGAGTAGCTGGGACTACAGGTGCCCGCCACAACGCCCGGCTAATTTTTAAAAAATATTTTTAGCAGAGACGGGGTTTCACCATGTTAGCCAGGATGGTCTCGATCTCCTGACCTTGTGATCCACCCACCTCAGCCTCCCGAAGTGCTGGGATTACAGGCGCATGCCACCATGCCCAGCTAATTTTTGTATTTTTAGTAGAGATGGGGTTTCACCGTGTTGGGCAGGCTGGTCTCAAACTCCTGACTTCAGGTGATCCACCCGCCTCAGCCTCCCAAAGTGCTTGAATAACAGGCATGAGCCACCACGCCCAGCCCCCAGACTCATTTATCCAACTGCCCACTCAGCATCTCCCCTTGGGTGTCTGGCATTCATTGTTAACCACCATAGCCAAGGCAGACACTTGACTTTTTTTCTGCCAAACTTACTTCTCCCTCCGTCTTTCCCATCTCATAAGTAAGACCACCATCTACCCAGCTGTGGAAGCCAAAAGTCTTCAATACTCATTTTCCTTCATCCCTCCAATCTCCCAAGCAGGCAGAGTCTGAGTGGGCTGGCCCTGAGCAGGCGGTAGCACGCCATACCGCAAAAGAGTGCGAAGCACAGCTCTGCCCAGCAATTTCTGTGTGATCTTGAGCAACAGTCCTATCCTCTCTATGCCTCATCTCAGAGACAGGACCCCACGCATCACAGACTGTGTCTTCAAGCTAAATCAGGTGACCATTACATTAAAGAATGTGCATGACATGATTAGTACAGCAACTGGCACTTTTAAGCAATAGATTAATATGAATTATTATTTTTTTCTTATCACTGACTCACACTGCAGAGGCATCAACCAGAGCCCTGTGAGTGACTGAGGGACTGGGCAGGCCAGGACGCTCACGAGGACGGAGGGCTTTCATCCAGATACATCCAGAAGCTGAAGGATATTTTGAATCGAGCCCACTCTTTCGCTCTGAAATCCCCTACGGAAAGGGGAGGGGGCACATCAGGAGGCAGAAGAGTTTCCTGAAGAACCCAAAATTGGCCCCACTGTGGCAACAGAGATGCCCTCCCAGGCCTGCTTTTCCCCAGGACCTGGGCCGAGGCAGGCAGGACAGGCTCAGCTAGGAAATCTCTTTTGTTTCTCCAATCACTCCTTGCCCCATTTGCTGTGGGACCCGCTAGGGCTGTGGCAGATGCCCTGGAAGCATCACTCTGGGTGCTCTCTGGAGTCCTCCGGGTGCTCCCAGCCCAGGCCGGAAGCAGTGCTCACTGGAGAGACCCTCAGCTCCTTGTCCTACAGTGCCACCTGCTGGCGAGTCTGAGTCAGAGGCGGCGGAGATTCCCGGCCCTTCCCTCTCTCCTGGCGTCCTTCCCCCACCAAGCCTGGTTCTTCCCGCCTCATTGATTATCTGTGACTGCACAAAGCCCCGAGTCTGATTCTGGCCTGATTCTACTTTCTTGGGTATCCTGTCACCTCGGCCAAACCCCTGTCCTCACCTGAGCTGACCCTGGCTGGGGCAACTACCTGCCCTTTATGACCTGGATAGAGTCCCCACAGCGTCCAGCCTGGAAGGGCCTTGGGGATCATCTTGTTCGTCTCCCTCCACTGCCATTTCCTCAACTTCATAGGTGGAAAGTGGACGTGAAAGGAATCCTGAGTCCACTCACGAAGCCAGGGCAGTGAACTCTCCCAGGCCAGTGACGTCCACGACACGTTCCAGAGCCTGCCCCCCAAAACCCCTTCCCAATGAAAGATGGATGGAAATGGGGATAGCCTAGCTTTCCATCCCAAGTCCTCCCAGTCACGCACCAACAAATGCCGGGTGAGCGTGAGTGTCGTTGGAGGTATGACTTTGTGCCTCCGTTTTGGCTAATTTCCTCACTGGTTGGCAGTTAGGAACATTCTACCTCCTGGTTGACCTTCTTGGCAACACCTCATAGGAGGTTTAACCAAAGAGGTCCACAGGCACTGTTTCCACAGGCCTAGGGAGGCAGCTGGTCTGGGCCCTCACCTGGCCTGCTTGAAATTCTCTGAAGTCCCCTCCAAGGTAAGAGGGAGGCAGCACCACACTTATGTGCACCTGGCAAGGTGGACGGGGCAAGTGCAGGACTGGGTGCCAGAGCGTGGAGATGGAGCCGTTGGGAAGAGGACTCATGAAGATGGACAGGCTTAAGGACACCTGGAGACGAGGCTGAGTCTTCACCCACCACCATTTCTTGAGAAGAAAGGGCAGGCTGAGATACCGATTGCACAAAATCTTAACTGAAGAGGCTCCCACTCCTTGGATCTGTCTCCCTTGCATTTTTTTTTTTCTGATTTGTTCTTGAACTCTGGTTCTGGTGCTGTTGAGGTTCAGCTCTTGACTTCTATGGTGGCTGCCACTGGGCAGGAGGGAAGTGATCTACTTCCCAGCAAGGGACTGCAGACAGGGCCAGGAGGTCCCCCTTGGAACATCCAGGAGAAGATAAAGGGTGGTAGAGCTACTTAGCATCCATACAGTGGCAGGACAGACTTCCCGGATGAAAGGTCCAGCTCTCCTCCCACACTGACCCCCACTGGCTTCAGTCCATGGCCAGATTTTTAGAGCCCAAACTTCATTAATTCTGTCTCTCTCTCTAAGATATAACCATATAATTAATTAACAATTTCCTTGGTCAGAAGAGAGAAGGTGGTTCTGGAGTCTCACTGTTGTGGAGGAATGGTAGCCATGAGCTACCATAAGGCCAGCCATGTCTGCTGCCTGCCTAGCAGGGGGCTCCTGGAAGCACTGCTCATAGGCCACAGACCCAATTCTAGTCCCCAGGGAGGTCCCTGGATCCACACAGAGTTGGTTTGGCTTTTAATTCATCTATCCCAGTGCCCCAACTAAACCACAGATTTAGAAGTCCAGGGAAGGCACGTCTCTGCAGCAAGCTGATCCCAGCCTAGGTGCTGAGGTGTGCCCCCAATGGCAGCCAGACAGGTCTGTGTCTCCAACCAAGCACCTTCGCTTGCATTTATCCGTATGAACCCAATCATTCTTTTTGCTGTACTCATTTTTACTTGGGAAACCCTTTGATGCTTAAAATCATCACTAAGGAAAAATAAAACTAGGTTGGCTTTTTATGCAGGTTCCTAGAATTGAATGCAGGTAACTTATAAACTTGAATGTACAATGGGAGATTATCTATGAAGGGGATTTAGATCCATGGGCACCAATGCATTCTGTGGGCTCCATTCAAGTGGATCAGCTCTGTCCCACTCTCCATGACTCACCAGTATCTGGCATGATGCACAGGATGGAGGGTATGCTAGGAAGGAAGGGAGGAAGGAAGGAAGGAGGGAAGGGGAGGGGAGGGATGGAGAGAGGAAGGGAAGGAAGAAGGAAAGAATGGAGGGAGAAAAAAAGGAAGGGAGGGAAGAAGGAAAGAAGAAACAGGGAGGGAGTGAGTGGGGAGGGAAACAGGAAGAAAAGGAGGGTGAGAGGAAGAAGAGAGAGGAAGAGAGGAAGGAAGAAAGGGAGGGAAGGGGCAGGAAGGGAGGGAGGAGGAGCCAATGGGAAGGAAGGGAGAAAGGGAAGAGGGGAGGAAGACAGGAAGGAAGGGAGGGAGGAGAGGAGAAAGGAAGGGAGGGAGGTAGGAAGAGAGGGAAGGATGAAAAGAGGAAAAGAAAAAATATGTTCTTTTCCTGGTTTCAGGAGCTCTATGAGGTTTTAAGCTAAAACAAAACAAACAAACAAAAAAAAAACACATAAGAACAGCATGACCTTGAAGCCCACAAATTGCCCAAATCCTTGTCCAACTCCACTGTTTGCAGAGCAGAGAGATGACACCCAGGCCTGGCCTGTATCATTCGAATCCTCTGCTCACTTTGCCTTAAAAACTGGTTTTGGTAGGAAGACCCTGGGTAAAGGTGGGTGCTGACTTTTCTAGAGAGGGCTGAGGAGACAAGCCTGAGGACTCAAACCTGCCAGAGGAAAAAGGCTCTAGGTATTATTAACAGCAGTTGTACTATGAATTACATAATTGCTATTCTTCGAGCCTGCAGCCAAGTGCCAAGATTCCTCACACGAACCACGTGAAGAGGGCAACAATATCCCCACCTTACAGCTGGAAGAAAAAACAGCTCAGAAAGTGACCTGCTTTAAAAAAAGAAAGACGGCGATTTGCTGAAGGTCACAGAGTGCATCCTGGACTAGGATGAGACGGGAGAGGCACTCGCGTAAGGGGCAAAATCTAAGAGGCGCCAAAAAAACTCAGGAACCAAAACCAATGATATTTTAATACATTTTAAAAACCAAAATGTAAAAATTCATGATGGATAAAATATCAACATTTTAAATAACATCTTATGTGACCTGCCTCATCTCCTTCACCTTAGTCCCAGCCCTGGATTCTAGAGTCTAGAGAATTTGAACTCAAGTCTGACCAATTCCGAGTCTGTCCTCAACAACCCCTGCCCATATGCTACCACTAGACCCAGCTATTCAGAAGCTTGAACAGCTCTAGTAGGAGCCCTGAGTTTAAGCCACCATTCATAAGGGAGGAAAGACCACTTTGGGATCATTCTCAAAAAGCTTTGGGCAGATTGCTCTGTGTGATTCTGCCTGGGGACCTCGGTGAGCAAAACCAGCAGAAACAACCCATTCGCTAGCTCCAGGGCTGAGAGGTGTTACGTGGAGAAGGAGGTGGGGCTAGGAGAAAGTTGCTAAGAGCCATGACCTAGCCAGGGTCTCAGGCCTGCCCAAGTCATTCCTGACCCAAAGCCAAACCCAAGCCAAGAGCCCCAGGTGGCGAAGAAGGACATGGATTCTACAGCCAGGTGGCTTCTGAACAAGCAGGGGGACTCTCCCACCCGCATCTCTCACTGCCATGTTCCAATGTTAATGCCTTTGTACCCAAGGGAAAGCCGAGGTCTGGGCAAGAGAGATGAGTTGTCCAGAGTGTGGGCAGTGCCAGAGCCTTCTGGAGGCTTCTTCATGCACCTGCCTGCCCTGCCCCTGGAGAAGAGCAACTGTGGTCGGCTCTGTGGGTATGGGTGGGAGGTCTTGGACCTGCTAGGGCTCTGAGTCCATCAAGAGGCTAAAGGTCTAAAAGAAAGCAACACCAAAGGACTGGGCAGGCAAGGACTGGAATTGGAAGCAAGAGATTTCAAGAGGAAGTGGGAAGCTGGGGGATGAGAGGAGTTGGGGTCCTGAAAAGAGAGCACAGAGAACACAGAACTTGGACACTGGGGTGGCAGTTCTGGCTCTTGGTTAAGACTGAGTGATCCTGGGGACCCCGGCCCTTGATGTACCTTCATCACACTGATTTTATTTATTTATTTATTTTTTGAGGCCCCCAATGCACCCCTGCCAGTCCCTTGGGGAGGGGGCCAAGAATTGCTCAGGGTGGGGACCTGGGGCTGGGGAGAGGGGCCTGCCTCCTGCTGTGGGAACAGGGGCTCAGAGAAGTTGGGCATATTGCCGAGGCTCATCCCCAGCTCCTTTGGACCTGGAAGCCCTGATACCCCACGCAACCAACCAGGCCTCTTTCCCAAAGGTGGGAAAGTAGGGTGGACTCAGGGCCCCCTGGACGCTGAGTAAATTCCCAGCTAAACGAGAGCTCAGGTGAGCCCCCAAAAATCTCTTCCGCAGTGGACAGGGTGAGATGCAAGACCCACACCGATAATGGGAAAATCAGAGGAGGAGGCACCTGCATGGAGCTGGGAATCCCGAAATCGGAATAAAACGATGTTATTGAGAGAGGGCTAAATCCCAGAGTAAATTTCAAACGAAATAAATCGCACAGCACATTTTAGATGATAATAGACGGCGGTAACTCAATACTAATGATAGTGTACTGACAACCCGCTAATAGTCTTGGGCTCCAAGAAGCCCGGCAAAACCGGCTGGGGCGGCAGGAGGTCCGGCTTTGGTGTTCTTTCCCACCGGGAGAGGTTGGAGCCACCCTCACTCCCGGCCGCTCTCAATCGATCGCAGCTCCCTTCGCTCCCAAGCTTCGCTTTCGCTGGGTCCGGGATCCAAATCCCAACCCAAGAGCCAAAGGCCAGAAAAGGCCCTGGCGTTGCCAGCTGCTTGTCGCCCTGGGGAGGGGCGGCTCCGGACCCGCCCGGGGCAGAGGAGGACAGAGCGGACGCTCTGGGGACCAGGCGGTCCCGCGCATGCTTGGCCAGGGGCATCGCCGTGGCTAACAGGGGGGTTGTGTGGTGGCGGGGGCTCGCCGTCGATCTAAGTGAGGATCTCGGTGCTCCGAGGAAGATGAGATTCCTCAGGGGATGCGGGCGCAGGCCTGGGAGGAGTGGGTGATGGGGAGGGAAGTGGGGTCTCCAGAGACGCCCAGAGCAGGAGCAAGGCCAGGCTGGGGACTGGACTGGAAGAGCCAGGGCAGCCGGCTCTCCTCGTGATTTATGGGCCCCTCCTCATCCACCAAACTGAAATGAGCTGCCGGCCCGGACCGCCGCGGGAGGTGCCCACTGCAGTGGCCGCCGCCGATCCAGAGCCTGGGCCCCCGCCCTCCCGCCTCCCCGACAGCTTGCAGCCGAGCCGGGCCACTGTCCCCCGGGAGCCGCCCGTCCTCACCCCCAGCCCGGCCGGCGGCGGGGCCGCTTCCAATCTGCCGGCGGGCACAGGGGGAGAGCGCCGGGAGCCGGGCGCGGGGCCACCGCCGACCTAGCCCGAGGGAGGAGAAAGTTTTTGCTCCTCCCGACCACGCCAGGCTGCCCCCGGGAGAATTCTGCGTTTAGAGGGCATGCGGGTGCCTTACGATTTGCTGCGGTCTCGGTCGCTGAGCCCGACGTAGGAGCCGGGGTAGTTTCCTGGGGGCTGGGGGTGGTGGCAGGGGCGTGCAGGCCGGGCTGGAAAGGCCTGGCTTCCCGAGCCTGCGGGGGGTAAAAGGACGCCTCTGACCCGCCCGACCTCGATGAAGGCGTTTGGGCTCCGCTCTGTCCGCCCTTTCCGCCGCAGACCCGGGTTGCGATCCCTGGGGCTGTGCAGAGAGGATCCAGGCCCGGGACACAGTTCGGATCTGCCCGCGGTCCTGGGCCCCAACGCCGGGGGCTGACCCTAGAAAGGCGCTGGACTGGAGCCCGTGACGGGGTGGGAAGGGCGAGGGGGCGCATGATTCACAATGAAAAGGCCACGTTTCCAGAGTTGCCTTGAAAATGCATCCCTGGACGAGCTCTGGCTCTGCGTGGAATAAGAAGCCGTTAGCAGGCGTCTACACTCGCACTCGGAAGCTCTTGCGTGGGTCCTGTTCAGAGGTACAACAGCACCGGCCCCCCAAGAGGTGCCCATGGGAGAGGCCATAAGTGGGGGGTGGGCGGGTTACTGCCTTCTTTGTCCCTTGAGCTGCCTCCCTTGAGCCACACGGATTTCTCGAGGTCTCCCTAACGCCCCTGACAAGATCTTCCCAAGTCCTCCAACCTCGCCCTGAAGTGAAGCCATCGGTCTCGTCACTTCCCAGGAAGACACCTGGCTTTCCCCACTCCCGCCAGGCCCACAGGGTCCCAAGAGGCCAGAGAGACAGGACTGCAAATTGTCCTACATGGGAAACACCGAGAGCCCAACAGAAATGCCGCAAACAACATAACTTGAATTTTCTTCCCCACACTAGAAAAGGGGTTCTCGACGCGCGCGCGCACACACACACACACACACACACACACACACACACACACACACACCACACTTCTTCCTCCGCTGGTTTTAGTCCCTTTCTGCTGCTGGAGGAAGAAAAACGGGGGAAGGAAAAAGGATCTACAATAGACCTGCCGACGAATAATTTGAATAACTGTGGGAAAGGGTCGGGGAACGCTAAAAAAAAAAAAAAAAAGCCCAGCGCACATCCCAGCCCACCGCAGCGCAGTCGGCTCGGCCCCCTCCCCTCCAGCCGTACCCCCCTTGGCTAATCACCCTCATTAGGAGCTTCGTCACCGGCCTAATGAAAGCAAACCGTGTGGAAATCGCCGGTAAACAGTTGGGTCTGTGCTGTAATTAATTCGGTGTCTCTTTTAATCAAACTGAAAGGGAATCGGGCAGCGGCTTGCGGAGCCGTGACATCACCCCCAAAATCGGCCAGAGCCAATCAGCGTCATCACTCCGGGGACACGTGGGCGAGTCCCCTTAAAAAAACACACACAACACAACGAAAAAAAAGAAACAACAAAAAAAAACCCAGACCCAAAGTAAAAGTGACACAAGTTCATTTTTTAAAGGAAGGGGGGGAGGAGAAGGCGCGCGCGGACCGGCAGAGAGCTGCCGCCGAGGAGCAGGGAGGCGCTGTCCACGGTGCTGACGGGCCCCCGGAGCGGCGAGGGCGCGGAGAGAGGACCTCCCCGGCCAGGTGGAGAGTCATGAGCCGCGGGCAGCCGCCGCCGCTCTCCGCGGTGCTGATGCCGCCAGGTGCGCTCCTTTCCGCCCGCTGCTAGCGCGGCCCGGGCCCGCAGCTATCTGCGGTGCTGACCTGGCCACCCTCAGCCACCACTTGCCTGGAAGAAGCGTGCGGTTTGGATTTTTAAAACGCCATTCTTTATTTAGATTCCAACATCCTCGCGTTTCTTCTGTGCCAAGGGGGCCCTCGGGCCGTCCGTCTCCCCCTTTGCTCTCCCCAACTTGGCGCGCCCTCCCTCCCATTCCTCCCTGACACTCCCACCACCCCCCCTCGGCTCGGCGGCTCGGCGCGATGCTGCAGAAGACGCACTGAGCCCTTTTGGATCTAATGCGCAGAGGAGGTTGGCCCAGAGCTCCCGGGCTCCCCCAAGGCTGAACTCCGTCCAAGGTGCCCGCAGGCTCCCTGCCCGCCTTCCCCATGCCAGCCCGCAGCTAGGGGCAGGGGCAGCGGCGGCTGGGGTTGGGGGTGGGTGGGGAGCTTTTGGGGAGGACAGGTCGCAGCTTGGCTATGGAAGGCTCCAATGGCTTTGGGATCGACTCCATTCTCTCCCACCGCGCGGGCAGCCCCGCCCTTCCCAAGGGGGACCCCTTGCTCGGGGACTGCCGTTCGCCCCTGGAGCTGAGTCCACGCTCAGAGAGCAGCAGCGACTGCTCTTCGCCAGCCTCTCCAGGAAGGGACTGTTTGGAGACGGGGACCCCACGGCCTGGCGGGGCATCCGGCCCAGGTTTGGACTCCCACCTGCAGCCCGGGCAGCTCTCAGCCCCGGCCCAGTCGCGCACCGTCACCTCCTCCTTTCTGATCAGGGACATCCTTGCCGACTGCAAACCACTCGCGGCCTGTGCACCCTACTCTAGCAGCGGGCAGCCGGCAGCCCCTGAGCCTGGGGGCCGCCTTGCGGCCAAGGCCGCGGAGGACTTTAGAGACAAGCTGGACAAAAGTGGCAGCAACGCCTCATCGGACTCTGAGTATAAAGGTAAGAAAGCAGGAGGTGAAAACTTGGGGGGATGCTATGTATCTAAAAACTGACATTTAAAAGGAATACACATGGCGGGACATGCACTCGCTCACCTGGGGGCTCCCCCAGGGCTCAGGTTGAGCAGTGGTTCTCCTCAGAACATTTCAGCCAGTCCTGTGGTTATGCCTTTGAGCAACAAAGAGTCTGGTGGAGACAGTGTGGGCAGGGGAGGGATACTGCGTGCCCGAGAGGAGATTTCCCCAAAATGCACAAAGCAAACTTTCTAAACTTCGACTGGGACCCCTGCCCTTCCAGCAGTGCTGGTGGACAGGAGCAGGTCCCAATCAGGCCAGTGGCTCTCTAGGAAGAAACCGTGCAGAAGCAATGGAAGACTGAAAGGGTTCTGCTTTATAGAGTGAAAATACAGCAGAAAAATTTCAGCTGGAGCCCTGAGAACCGTCAGAATTTTCTGCCTTTTAATCTACATTTCCAGACAGGAAGAAAAACAGGGCTTTTCCTCCCAATGGGCCCAGTGTGATCCGGGTTCTGTGAGTCATGAAAAGAGGCACTCACTTCAAAGCAGAAACCTCAGCCAGGAAGCTGCCTGGGAGCAGGTCAGGGGGCTAGTGCAGAGGGCAGTACCCTGCACCCACCCCCCAATGGCTCTCATTGAATTTGATTTTAAGTGCCTTGAGCAACCAACTCCGGGTTTTATGCAAGTTCCAGGGATTCCTGAGTAACCAGCCTTTTCTCCCGCTACACTGGGGTTGTTGCCCCTCCACTTTTCTTTTTACCTCTATGAATCTTCGTTGTTGTTTGTTCCATTTTCATCCCATCGTAACCAAGGAGATGAGATCAGGGTTAAAAGGAAAGGGAGAAGGAAGGAAGGAAGGAAGGAAGGAAGGAAGGAAGGAAGGAAGGAAGGGAAAGGGAAGAAGAAAAAAAAAGAATTCCCTAATTTTGTTTCTGACCCCCAGTCACTACCTCGACTTTAGCTGTTTTTCAAAGCCAGAGGCACAAAGTTCTTTCTAAGGGAGAAGTCAAGGGGCAGAAGGTGAAGAGGAGTATGAGGGCTTCATGGGAGACAGCCCCACGTCCCCATCTAGCAGATCACTGGGAGTGGGCAGAGGCTGTTCAGAGCTCTTTCAAGCACATAATTGATTCCCAGAAATCTTTTCAAGAGACAAAATTTCCCTGTAAGGGCAACTTCTTTATTGTCTTGCCCCCTCCCCCAACACCCCCACCCCACCCCCAGCGCCATACTTCCTGGTCCCTATTTGGACCAAGTCTTCCCAAAATTTTAGGAAGGCTCATTTAACACTCTCCTCCCAACCAAGAATTCGTTTGTGGATATGTCCTGACTCCAAACCGAAATTCATCGGTCCGACTGCACATCCCATTTTCTTGATTTCCCCCACACAAATGGCCGAGCCTCCTTCAGCCAGGCTGTGCCGACCATGCCTGGAAAGTAGGCAGGTTTAACGGAGCGGCCAGGAGGAGATCCAGAGGCATGCGGGTGTCCCCAGGCCCGGGCCCAGTGGTCCTTGCTCCTCCCCCGGGGGGCCTGCTTAGAGAGGCAAAGAAAACTTGCGCTGGAGAGAGACTGGCATGGAGAAGGGGGAGGAGGAAGGAGGGGGAAGTCAATGTAAATATATATTCATAACATCATGGTTATTATTTACCATTTGCAACAAGAACGGCCCCGCTTTAGTTAGAGCAAAGAGCACGAATCTTCCACCGCCCATGCTAATGGCTGGAACTGGAGATAGTGAGGCCCTTGCCTCCTTTTATTTATTTGCCCCCAGGAAGGATTTTGAGGACAGGTTTCGTTTAAGATAATTAGAATATCAATTTTCTTCTCCTGTCTCTGAGGATATCTGATCGGGAGGTGACGAGGGCCGGCTGTCTACATATCGCTTAAATAGGTTTGGAGCGAAGGGGGTAGAAGGTCTTGCCCAACCCCCACCCCAGGTGTTGCTGCCTTTGCCCCTAGTGAAAAAAGGAGCAGGGTCAGGCAGCGAGGCCTTGTCTGGAGCGTTTCTCAAACGTGGAGGGGACCTTTTCAGAGCTGAGAAACAGACACCCTGAGCCAGTCCGTGGAGCATTTAAGCTGGTCTACTCTCCAGCCGCCTTCCAAGCTGAGTCATTTCCTCCAAGGAGGGCATGGGGGAAGGTCAGCCTCATCCCAAGTTTCTGCTATCAAAGGCTCTTCAAACAATATTTATTTGATAATATTTAAAGAAGCCAAAACTCGGCTTTGAAGTAAGGTGGTCGGCGACACTAGCGGCTGGATCCAAGGTCCAGGGAGAACCCAAACCAGAGTTTTGTTCCCAGCAGGCAGGGTCGGTGAATGGGCCTGGAACTCGGGGACACTGAGATGTAGCCTCTAGAATCAGAGTCTGGGAAGCCAGTACCCCCTGGGCTGAGCCTATCCAAGAGGAGGCCAAGGCAGAGTGGGCACAGAACCTGCATTCAAAGGCTCCAGTCCACGCTGGAGGGGGAACAGAAGAAAAGCCCCAGTAGCTGACCCATTCTTCCTGACACCACAAACTGAATACCTCCCGACCTCCAACGCAGACCTCGTCCCTGAGAAGCGGGGGATTTTCATTAAGTAGCCCAGGCAATTTGGTCAAAAAGTAAGAGTTCTATGATATCAAGTTTGAGATTTGGATGATCGTTTCCTCAAACTTATTTAAACTATCTGTCTGCACAGACAGAACTCAAGTCCCCCTATTCCAACACATATCCTTCTCCATGCCCAAATATGGGGAGCCCACAGGGCAGGGAGAGCCTGGTGCCAGCCTGGAGGAGGCAGGTGGAAAGCCTTAGCGGGCTGCCGTTTCTCCTCTGCACTCTCCTGGCTCACCAGGCTGGATGCCAGGCCCTCCTTGCAGCGAAGCGCTGCCTTTTCAGTTGAAAAGTCTCGATCCCTAACGGCTCAATTAACCGGATTATTGTTTCCTACAGAGAGAAATCACCTTGCATTCAGCTGAACCCCGTCACTGCAAACGCCACGCACAATGAAACTCCACCATAAAAGAAAACAGAGAAAAAAGGGAGTAGGTTGGGGGAAAGCCCCAGTCTGAGCCGCCAATTTTGGGGAAGTGGTCTAGCTGGTTATATAATCGCTTTAGAGGGAGAAGGAGGGTGAGCATTGAGCTTGTTCGATTAAGTGTTTTCTGTGCAGTCAAAGCCGAACGAAAGTGTCTGGGATAAAGAAACTACCTGTGCCAGGTCTATCCTTCGACCTCAGGAGCTGGGCCCCCGGTGTAATTCTGTCCCGACTGTGGGGTGTAAACACACGATGCCACGCAGGTGTAGCAGGAGCCATCGTTAGCGGGCAATGTAATGACAACGGAACGCAGACCTGGGCAATGCGCGCTGCGCCCAAGGGGCAAGCGAGTGGCAGGGTCGCTTATTCTCCCAGTGCTCGGCGCTCGCAGACCCGGAGCCTTCCGCCCAGCGCCCTGTGTAGGTAGCGAGTGTCGGGAGAAATCATCACTACGAATTCGTTTCCATATAGGGGCAACGCCAGGCGGGGCACAATGATCTGTCCTTGAGGACAAAGAGTGATTCCGGAGAGAGCAGGTTTTTGTCCCTCCACGCAGGTTTCTCTCCCCAGACCCCAGCCTTCGGCTTCCTCCCTTCCTGTCACGGACGCAGCCGGAGAAACTGGGGCCCAGACGCGGAGCTCACTCCGCCAGAAACCCTGGGTCCCTTCCCCTACGCTGGCAGGCTGGGTCCGGTTCCATCGTCGCGGCTCCGTTTATCCCTCCAGGGAGCGCGGGCAGAGCGCCGAGCGCGGCGCAGGGACTGGAGTTCTCGCCAGCTTCGGGTTCTTTCTCCCCGGAGCTGCCCGGGGGGTCTCGGCCTCGGGCGCTCCCGCCGCCGTCCTGTTCCCCTCAGGGTTCATGTCCTGTTCCCGGGGCCCCAGAGGTCCCGTCTGAGAGCGGCCCCCGCGAGCTTGGGTGTCGCGGAACCACCGCTGTCGGAAGCCGAGGTTACACAAACGCCACGGGCAGGAGCGGGAGGGCACCGGCGGCGGCTGCGAGGCCGGGCCCTGACATGCCGCTGTGTCCGCAGTGAAGGAGGAGGGCGACCGCGAGATCTCCAGCTCCAGGGACAGTCCCCCGGTGCGCCTGAAAAAGCCACGCAAGGCGCGCACGGCCTTCACCGACCATCAGCTGGCGCAGCTGGAGCGCAGCTTCGAGCGGCAGAAGTACCTGAGCGTGCAGGACCGCATGGAGCTCGCCGCCTCGCTCAACCTCACCGACACGCAGGTCAAGACCTGGTACCAGAACCGCAGGTGAGGCCTGGCTGCGGGGGTAGAGGCAGAAAGGGAACTTCCCCTTTCCTCACAGCTCCTGGAGGGGACCAGGAGTCTACAGGTTGGTGCTAAGGGAGGGCCCCAGAGCCTCCCCCATTCTGTAAAAGTGGGAAACTGAGTCCCTAAGGGGACAAGGCCTTGCCCAAAGTCCCCACAGCGAGGGACAGAGATGAGACTAGACTTGGTGTCCAGCGTCCAGTCAGCCCTCCCCCGGATGGGTGGACAGACACATAGGCCACTGAAAATCCAAGTCCTGCCCCAGCTCAGCCGGAGTGGGGGGAGGTCTGCCTGGAGCCCCCACCTGAGCCAGCGTGGGTCTTGGAAGCCCCAGGCCCTTGGAGGGGTGACAGTCTTGATGCCCAGGAAGCCTGTGAAGAGGACGGCCAGGCAGTGGCCCTTGGGGTGTTGAAGCCTGGCCCAGACCGGGCAGCTGCCGCAGGGGCCTCAGAGTTTCTGTGAGGCTCTTCAGGCCTCCCCAGCCTTTCTGGTCCCAAAACCCGAGGGGGGAACTGGCCAAGCCCTTGTTCCTTGGGGACAGGGTGACTGGGAAGTGGGTGTTGGGGCACCGGACTTGAACTCGTTTCCTAATTTCCCTCCCGAACACACTCACCAGACGTAGATGCAAATGTACAAACACAGAGGCATCCACACACTCAACCCAAATAGCCACACACCGACACACACATCAATACAACTTGCAGTCACACACGCACGCACGCTCAGCCCCACAGTCACTCGCACGCTCTTAGCAGAGGCAGGAATGGTGCTTTTCATAAACAAGCCTCAGAACACATCGCCCCATTAATAATAAATACTGATTACTGCTCCGGGCATCAATAATTAAGGCCTGTTACAGTAATTACACAATTATGATGATGATGAATAATTCAGGGAGGGAAACAGGGCTGGTGTGGCTGAGCCCACCTTAGTGGGACCCTGGCTGGTCCGCCTAGCCTCACCTGCAGGTGAGCCTAGGGTCCAGGCCTGACTTCTCCAAACCCCAGGCCGTTGGCTGGCCAAGGCCTCTGGACTTTGGGGCCAGACAGTGCGCAGGGCTCGCAGTGCGAGCCCTGGAGGATGGCAGGTGCAGCCTGCTCCAGCCGGCAGGGCGTGCGAGCCGGGAGCGGGTCCTCTCCGGTTGCCATTTCAGGCCTGCTCGCTTCTGCTAGCTTGCAGCCCGGCCAGCCTGCAGAGGAATCAATCGCATTCCCTTCCCTGAAGAGCACCCCCCCATCCCCTCAGGCCTCTCCAGGGTGATCCTACCTTCATAAAGAGGCACGCGCAGGGAGGAGCACCCCCTACCCAGCTCCAAGGGTTCGTTCTGCGATCTCCTGGGCAGGGTAAGGCGCAGTTAGAGCCGGGCTTTGGGGTCAGACAGCAGGGCTTAAAACCCAGGCTCCTTTTTGAAAACCGGCCCAGACCTCAGTTTTCCTCTCTGTAAAGTGGGGTAAGAGCCACGGAAGGCCGGTGGAAGATAAAAGGAGAGGATGCACGTAAGGCGTGCGATGGTGCCTGGCACTCGGTTATTTATTAACAAATGAGTACGATCCCTCTTGGCCTCCCTACAGGCTCTCTGGGCCAAGCAGTGGGGAGGGGCTGGGGTCGCTGGATGCCCTAGCCCTGATCCCGCCATACGCGTTTATTTCGGCCCCCAGGACTAAATGGAAGCGACAGACGGCCGTCGGGTTGGAGCTGCTGGCGGAGGCAGGCAATTACTCAGCGCTCCAGCGGATGTTCCCGTCGCCTTATTTCTACCCGCAGAGTCTGGTTTCCAACCTGGACCCCGGCGCGGCGCTCTACCTGTACCGCGGCCCCAGCGCGCCGCCGCCTGCTCTCCAGAGACCTCTGGTGCCCCGCATCCTCATCCACGGACTCCAGGGCGCCAGCGAGCCGCCCCCGCCGCTGCCCCCCCTGGCCGGCGTCCTCCCACGCGCCGCGCAGCCTCGGTGAGGCGCCCGTCGGCTCCGGGGCCTCCTCCCGCGGGCTCGGCGTGGCCCCTTCCGCCCGCCTTTCTGAGGGCGCAGGTTCGACGCCCTTTCCCGGGAGGGGGCCCTGCCCGGCCCTCCCTGGCGCCCCAGCCCAGTGCCCCCCGAAGGGCCAAATGCCAAGTCCACTGAGGCCCGGACCCCGGACTGCGTCTCCCCAGCCCCCCTCGGCGTCCTCTCTCGCGGCCGCTCTGTCCGGGAGCCATCCCCACCCGCCGGGTGTACATACGCGTCTCTGCCACTCCCCACCCCCAGCCTCTGCCGGCTCCCCTAGGCAACCCCTTTCTCCCCAGGAGCGGGTGCGGCTGATTCCCAGGCTTCGCTCTCTCCCACGCCCCTTCTACGCTCCAGGTGGAGAACAGCCCCTCTCCCCGCGCCCCCGCCAGGGAGAGAAGGGGAGTGCGGAGCCCCGTCTCCCTACCCCTCGAGCACCTGGGCCAGCGGCTGAGCTGTACATACCGTGTGCAAAGTGTATATGAAGTTATTTATTCGTGACCCATGAGCCCGTGACCGTGTCCGTGGATTAGTGAGTCTGTGGCCTGTGCCCTCCCCACTCCCAGGCGGGGCAGGAAGGGGCCAAGGGGGCTTGCCCACCCACCCCGACCCCAGCCCCCAGCCTCAGCCCCGGTCCGGGGGCAGCCAGGCCTCTCGGGTTCTCTCTTTTTTAAATGTCGAAATAAACTTCTTACAAATGACCAGGCGCCTGTCCGCGCTCGCGTCGCTGGGTCCGCACTCAACCCCTCTCCCATCCCTCTCCTGGGGACTCGGTTTCCTTCCATCCTCAATAACGAAACATTTTTGTCCCCCTTCTCTTCCCCGGTGCTGTGGACATGCGCGGGGGCCCCGACGGGACTCGCTGGGGCCCGGGTCTCCCCTCCCTGGCCTCAGTCTTCCCATCTCTACAGCGAGGCCAGCTCGTTGTTCCCCTCCTCCTCCTCTGTCTCCATCTGGTTCCTAGCGGCTCCCAGACGGTCCCGAGGGCCGGGGCGGGGGTCCGTGCCGGAACAGGCGGGGGTCAGCGCGGGGCCTCGGTCGGCTGCGGGCCGGGCTGCGGGGCCCTCGCCGAGCCGACTCATCTGGCCGCGACAAGGGCCCCGGCAGCTGGTGACCGGCCCGCCGGGCGCGGGCCGACAGATGGGCTCCGAGGCTGCTCCCCCCATCACTCCCACCCTCCGCCCAGCGTCCGGCCGCGCTCGGGCTCCCGACGCTCGCGGGCGCCAAGGCGGCCCGGGCCTCCCGGCCTCCCGCACCAGGCAGGACTCCGCGCGCCTTCGCTGCGAACCAGACGCCACATCGGGTAAACCCCCACTCCCACATCTTCTCACCTCCCCTTTACCCCGGGAGGAGGTTGGAAATGAGACCCAGAGGGGAGCCAAATCCCAGCGTCTGCCCCATCTCTTCTGGCTGCCCCAGACCGCAGCTCTAGCATCTCAGGGGAGAGGGGTTTAAGTCCCGAGTCAGACTCGAGGCTTCCAGTTCACGTCCAAAGGGCCACGGTCACCTGAGACTGCTCCCTCTCTGGGGAGGTGGGCGCAGGTGCTCCCTTCCCACACACCACCTGCAGCTCGCTAACCCTCAGCGCTGGGAAGTTTTGGGGGCCGGCAAGCCGTGGCCCCTCTAGTTTGGGGGCAGGGTTTCTCTGAAGACGGGGGCTGTGTTCAGACTATAACCCCTCTCGAAAACCATACCCACAGCCAGGTCCGCTACTGTTTCCTCCCTGCCCCGAAACACCCTCGCACAGCAGCTTTCTTTCCTGGGATGGCGAGGGTATTATTCTAATTTTGCAAAATGCACAGCAGCTAATTAAGTCAAGGAGCCCCTCGGCTTTCGAGTTCTTTTGCATGTGAATGGGGGTTGGTAAATCCCCAGCTCTGGCTCTGGTGGGGGGTGAGGAGAGACTGTCCCCAACTCAGGGTTAATGAAGTGGGAAAGGAGTCTCTCATAGCCTCCTGCAAACAAAACCCCCCATGCAACAAACCCTGCCCAAATCCTACATGGATTGACTTAAACCCAGGGGATAAGTGCTTTAAATTAATCTCATTGAATAAGAATGAGACCAAACAAAACTCTTTAAAATCATATTAAAAATCTATCAAAGGACAACTTGCACTGGTGTGCTTTTCATTTTGTGAAAGTGAAGGAGATAGACCGTAGCAACCACCCTCACATTTACACAGTGGCAGCGCAAACCACAGACACATTCTCAACTATGTAATTGTCCTTGTACCTCAGAGGCGATTTCATATCCTACATTAATGAAGAACAAGGCTTCCCTACAAGTTTATAATTAGAATATTTTAAATTGTCCTGCACATCCCATCTGTAATAATAACTTCACAACCTTTGCAGTGAGGTGGGCTCCTGCCTTCCATCCACTTAGAAGGCTAAATTGGTTTCTGTTCCCAACCCTGAGGTTGGGCGAGCTCTCGTGTAAGAAAAAAAGAATGAATGTGGGACCCCAACAGGCCTGACAATAGGAGAGGGCTGAGAAGCCATCTTCCCCCGCTCTGCCACTGACCCATCCCCCCTCATAAACGCCGACTCAACAGGGAGGGGGCAACAAAGTTGAAAAGAAGTTTAGAGCTCCCTGCTGGCCCTCGGTCGCAAGGGAAATTGAGGACTGGGGCAAGTTGAGAACCTGAGCTGATTTTCAGGGTGCCCCACTCCCCCCACAGCGACAGGCCTGGCTCTGGATTCTTCCTAGTGTGGAGCAGATTAAGAGATAATGTCTAATGATCAAGGGGGAGGTTTAACAAGACCAGTTAAGAAGCCTTTTCAAGCAGGGCAACTTCTCCCGTGGAAAAGCCTCCAACTTGCGTCTCTACAAAGCAACGCCCGGATTTTAATGGCTTCCACTGACTGTGGCCTGAAGGGCTAAGCGGGGAGGCCCCTGGCAGTTTGGGAGATACCTGCTCCGAAAGGTCTCATTTACTCCCCTCTTCCCTAAAGTTCTCCTCCCTTCACCCCAGGGGGAAAAGAAAAAAATCAAAATAACCCACTGGGCTTCGTTAAAAAAAAAAAAAAAGTCCTTTACTGAGATTTGGTTGGTTCGTTGCTTCTCTAGAGTGCAAGGGGCTGTCTGCACATCAGCACGGACTTCATCTCTCAGCAAGGGGTCTCTGCCCTTCAGTGCGTGAGAATGAGGCCCGTCAACTGCTAAGGCTGTGGCAAACATGAGGATGTTTTGGTTTCCAAAAAAACATTCTACAAGCCCACTCGGGGGAAACGCTTTTAGGCTGCAACATTCTATTAAATGTCCAAATTCTGTGTGACTCTAAATATGGGAACCAGGCTTATGATATAGAGACATGAGTAAGTTTGGGAAATTTTAAAAAGAGGCATGATTAAACATACACAAAAATTAGAATATGTACAGTGGAATTAGGCTAAAGCTTTGCCTAATTGGTGCCTGAAATGTATAATCTGTCAAGAGCCATAATAGAAGAGAAAGAGATTTATTTTAAGGTTATTTAAATTTAAACAATATTAACCTTAAATCTGCTAAATCCATGTTTCTTTATTAACTGGGGTAATATAGTGATTCTACTTAGAAACAGACCCACATAGCATCTATGGCAAGAAACCCTCACCATAAGAGTTAGCAGATTAAGTGTGTAAGTTTTGATCTTGGAATTATCGTCACTCACACGTTGCATGATTCTAGCACTTCTCTTTCCCCCCAGGGATGCCGAACTCTGCCAATTCGCCCTTTAGTGGAATGAGTACTGGGGGAGAAAAAGTAAGGTTTCTCTTTGATCATCCCCAATCACTGGCATTAATCCTGTTTTTCACACAGCTGGGTTTTGTCTATAAAGTTTGATCCCTCCTTTTCTCATCCAAATCATGTGAACCATTACACATCGAAATAAAAGAAAGGTGGCAGACTTGCCCAACGCCAGGCTGACATGTGCTGCAGGGTTGTTGTTTTTTAATTATTATTGTTAGAAACGTCACCCACAGTCCCTGTTAATTTGTATGTGACAGCCAACTCTGAGAAGGTCCTATTTTTCCACCTGCAGAGGATCCAGTCTCACTAGGCTCCTCCTTGCCCTCACACTGGAGTCTCCGCCAGTGTGGGTGCCCACTGACATTCACCTGTGTCTAGAACGGAGGCAAGGATGCTGACCCCCCGTGGTCCCTGCAGGAAGGCCCACCTTGCCAACTCTCACCACCCTCTCGTGGCCACTCAGACCTTCCAAGGATCTGGGGGGATCTACTGAAGTGGTGCCTCAACACTGGTCCTGGGGAGACCACAGAGGGCGGCACAGTCACTGCAGAGGAGAAGGAAACTGAGAAGGCAAGACACAGTGGAGAGGACAGGAGCGGTGCCCACAGGTGTGGAGGCCTCCAACCCTTTCTCTTCTGGACCCCTCTGCAAGTGCCCAAATCTTACATTTATTGGGAAATCAATATGCTCCAGGGGGCCTCTTTCAAACCTCCCAGAAAACACAATGCAGGGGCAGGGCGGGGTGGGTCGGGGGCGGGGGGCGGGCAGCTGTGGCCTGGGTCACAATACAAAGACCCCCAGACCTTTCTTGAAGACAAGACAGGATTCGATAGGGAAAAAAAGCTTGGGATACTGGTGCCTTTTGACTTCAAAGGCAAATAATAAAAAGCCAACAGTAAATCAATTAGCCCTGAGAGAGTGAGTTTTCAGTGGACATGAAAGAGGGAGCAATGCATGTAAATGCAACCTCGTGTTTCCAGAAGAAAATAAGAGGGACCACGAGCCTGAGAACACATTCGTATTTTTTGACCCAGACCAAAAACTTTTGGTCCTTTTTAACGGTACATTCCTACATTAAGAAAATAATTAGTGATAAATATATTCTCTTTTTGTACAAATTCAATTCCAGTTTTTAACACCCTAATTCACAAAATTCATGCCAATGTATGCGCTGATAGGCTGAAGCCAAGCTGTGAAACTTCAGAACACAGTTAAGGGCAGCAATCAAGCCCGTTCCAGGCTGACGCGCAGGGCGTTCTTACATCACATCCCGGGGTGCCAGCTCAACCCCGGCACGTCAGCACCTGGGTGAAGGGAGTGCCGGGCACTGATGGGATCAATACAAGACACAGACCCCTTCCGTCGGGAGCTGGCTAGTCTCTACAGTGCCCCACACCACTGATTTCTATCAGGCTCCAGGGCCTCCCATGGAGGAGAAGGGCTGTGGCCCCTCTGATTCTTGGGGACGTGGTATTCAGGCAAAGGCGCAGTTATTTTTCACAAGCCTCCTCTGACAAGAACTGGACATCAATCCACTGCCACCCGGGGCTTCCAGGTTCCACTCGAAGACCCAGAGAGATTTTAAACTTTCTGGGAAGTCTTGCTGTCCCGCTGTACACCTTTTTGGGTTTTTCTCCATTTTAATGTTTTCCCACGGCCAAAGCAGGGTGTCGGCTGCAGACTGTGCTGCAGGGGCCGGCCACCAGGCTCTCCAGGTGCGTTTTGCTTTTTGACCTTGGCGATGTCGGCCTCCATGCCGCTTGAGTATTCCGAACGTAGGATTTCAGCGAGGCTGTGTTTACTCTGGGTCTTCTTATGAAGGTCAGGCCTGAAGAACAGTAACAGCAGAGAGGGAAAAGAAACTTTATTATTTTTCTTTCCCATTTGGAAAGAGGCTGATAGCAGCTGGTTCTGAGACTGTGAAGCTGACATTTTTGTATTAACAGAAGTACAATCCCTTCAATAGTACTTGTTTTGATATTCGATGCACCAGAAGATTAGATACGGCGCTGACAGATTTTCATAACAGCGGCAAAATATCATGGCATTTTTAAAAGTGAGGCTTTGTTCTGTGTTGTTTTCATGGGGAAAAAAAGAACTATACACCCTCATGCTCTGATGGCAAATGAGGTGTATGATACAGCGGTTTGCCAAAGGACAGGGAAAAACCCACCGTCACACTCAACAACATGAAGCAGTGAAAGCTCACGGCAGCTTCCCAGTAACCCCTAAGCAGCTTAAAGCAACTGGCCTCCTCATGGGCTCCTGAGGGCTTCAGGACTCAGCCCTGCGGGAGCAGAGTCCAGCAAGTTCCACGCAGCCCTCCAGGGTTCCACAGTGAAGGCTGGGATGACAGCCAGATAGCTCTTTATGAACGGAAAAAACTCTTAAACATATTTCTGACCCTACAAAACCCAAACCCAGGGCACAGCCTGGTCAATGTCTGCATCTAGGATTAGACCAGCAGCTTTCTGCAGCCCACACAAACCCGGGTGTTAGAGGGAGGTCTCTCCCTACCCTAAGTCACTCAGAAAATGCCAAAGGTTGAAAATCAATTTCCGATGTCGAATCCTGATAACTGTTCTGAAAAGATGGCAATTTTACCATTTGATCGGAAGATCAGAGGAGGAAATTTGTAGATGTTCAATCATACATAAGAAGAATGATTATGAAAACTGAAGAGTAAAACAATGTTTCTTAAGACAGGATTTTAACCAAAGCAACAACAATAAAACAATTACCAATAAATCCACACTTCCTTGCTGGCAACTCCTTCAATACCAAAACGGCAATGTCTTAGGATACTATAGTGTCATGGAGTTCTCACAAAGACATATGTTACGTTCTGCTACTACATTTAGAGCATTTTCTTTGCTGTAATCAGAGAATAAACTGAACTGAAACTGTGGTCAAAATAAATGTAACAATGCCTTTAAAACCCAAGAATTAGAAATAAGACTAATAGTGTGTTGTTAACCTGACTGTGAAAGCTTGTAGAAACCCATTATAAACGAGCTAAAGCAATAATACCTGTTTCTAATCACACTCCAGAGGACAGGGTGACAGTCATACAATGGTGTTTTCTATTGCAACATACAGGAAGACACATTCAAGCCAACCTCTGCAGGAAAAGAAGATCTGAAACAAGGGGACAATGAACAGATAACATTTAAAGGCCAGGAGTTTATGGGGTGAGCACATCAGGGCAGGATGTAGTGAGAAGATTAGAAGTATACAGGGAAGACTTCCTGGGGTCTGTGGGAAATGATTCACATACACAATCTCTTACAATCCTCGCTCAACAAGGTGGGTACGGTTATTATCCTCATTTACAGACAAGGACACAAAGACTCAAGGAGGGTAACCTGCCCCAGGACCACATGGCTGGTAAGTGGAGAAGCCAAGAGGCAAACTCAGGGCAGAGAACGATTTGCCGGGTCAGCGGGGGCAGGACTCAGCTGGACCAAGGGTGGAAAATGGTGAGATGTGATGGGAGGGGTCCTCTGTGGTCTCCTAAGGACTACTTCAGCAGGACAGTGGGGCAGGAGCCAGGCAAGTGAGTAGGGAGTGGTGAGGGGAGACAGCAGAGCTGCAGGGTGGAGGAGGGAGAAGCCAGGGTTGGAACTTGACTATCACTCATCAGCTGAGGACACAGAATGAGTGACTCAGGCTCTGTGCCTCAGTTTCCTCACTGAGAATGGCACTCAGGTGTGAGGATTAGAAAAAATCAAGACATATAAGGGGGTAGCTGGTGGTTGGCATGTGGATCGCAGTCACAGTTAAACATTAGGAAACTGAGGTCTGGAGATGCCACGCACCTCCCCCAGAGCCACACAGGAGCCAGGACTGGTGCTACGGCCCCTGACAGCTGGGCTGGGGCTCTTCTGAGAGCATCCACCACTTCCCTAAGAGCAGCGAGTCTCATCATGGGTCACCCGCCCAGTGCGGACCATGTGCACCAGTGTCCCTGGAGGAGGTCCAAGCTGCTGGGGGCTGACCTGTGGTTGGGAAGTGGCGGGAGACAGGGCCTGCGGTTGGGCGCACTCAACTTGTTCCAAACTGAAGGCTGCCAGTTCCTGTGCCTGTAGTTTATTTTTAGTCAGGTTATGTGACAGAGTGAAAAGGGTCTGACAGGAAGGAATGCTTTTTCTTCCCTCTTGTTTGAAGCCAGGTTCACAATGTGTATAATTTTAAATGTAACAACCTAAGTTTCAAAATATGCAAAATTTCAGTCAAAATATGCTCCCCAGCATAAGCTCCAGCACTTCAACGATGGCTCCTGCTACCGCTAAGGCAAAATAAAGAACCAGCATCTTACTGGAGTGACTGATACACTAATTGCCTACAGAAGCGGTGCGGGCTGCGGGAGCATCTTCCAGGCACCAGCGCTCAGGCAGTGCGCCCGTGCTCCCAGGCTGCCATCCACCCAACAGAGCAGAAGCCCACACCCACAAATGCAGCCTACACAACAGGCAGACACCCAGACACCACCGGGGCCACTTCTACAGCTCCTCCAGACCTGTCCCTTCACAAACACCGTGGGTCTGGGGTGGAGGAAGGCAACCACTGGTGCGTACATTGCGCCACTGAATAGGAACAGGAGGGCCCACGTGGTGGAAGAGGACGCCGTTCGAAAGCACCTTTTGGAGATGGGTCCTACGTGCCTTCAGTTATCATCACCACCTTTCCTGGCTATTTCATCATGTTAGTCAATGTCCTTTTGACCTGGGATGCAAAGCCAGCAGTCCACTCACTCAGAGGTTCCGGTGGTCAGCAAGCAGGCAGAGGGTGGCATTTTCTAGCCCAGACCTCTTCCTTAGGTGGGAGAAGCTCAGGCCAACCCTGCAGGGGTTTCACCTGCTGTCATGACAGCCACCTCAACAAAACCCATTCATCCCTTGGCCAGCTCCCTGTCTCCTTTTCCTTTGTTCCAAGGCCCAATGCTGAAAAGGCGAAGTACAGATGGGAAGATGAAATGCTCTAAACCCAAGCATGCGATGGGCACTCAATTTCTCCTTCTGCCAAGCTGCAGTGCTCCCAGGAACCTGCCAACTTTCTCGCCCTCCTTGCCCTCCAAATACCCGCACCCCTCTCCAATGGCCTTCCTGAGCATCCACCATAGTAATCCTGTAGTTACCAAGCAACAGATCAGTTTATCTAACCACAGGGAACTCCCTTGTAGTGAAGGCTGAATAAACCCCCCCTCAGTTACCAGGCTGGATTACTCAGCAAGACAGGCAGATGCCACTTGCACCACCAATAAGGTGAAATCACAGCCTAATTAGTAAATCAATATACCCCGTTACAATGACCACTGGAGAAGAGAGATCGCAGGGCCTTCTCCCAACTTTATCATTACATTCTCACAATGATCTTCCTAGGTAAAAACCCATTCTAATTCAGGCTTTTGCTAATGGCACTCTTTTATAGGACAGAAGTTTAAATTTTATTTATGTACCGTTAAGGCTATCAATAGTTTCTTCCATGTTTTATGGCTTTAGGGTCATGTTTGGGAAAGTCTTCATTCTAGGATTTCAAAAATATTAAAGTATATTTTCATCTAGCTTGCTACTGCTTTAATTCCATCTAAGTTTTATTTTGATTAATAGAAAAATGAACTGTTTCTTCCTAAGAGTTATCCAGTTATCCACAACGGTCACTGAACAGTAACTCTTTTCCCCAAGGTCTTGAAACGCTCCTCTAGAGCACTTCCTGCAGGCTCTGTGTGAAAAGCAGTGATGACCACAATGGCGCCCTTCATGGGCTCTACAAATAGATGAAAACATTGAAGCGAATACCAATTACATGGGTTGTTAATGGATTTAAATGTAAAACAGGTAAAATCAAAGCCATCCAAACCGACTACATGACATAGGCATTTAACTTACTCACTTTTCCAACCACCGCCTGAAACAGGTACTACTAGTATCCCCACTTCCTGGTAAGGAAACTGAGGCACAGAGAGATTAGGTCATTTGTCCAGGGCCAAAAATCAGTAATGCAAGAGCTGGAATTTGAACTCAGGAAATCTGACTTCACAGAGTTTAACCATAGCAGTCTGTCACCATGCTACAGTTTTCAAAACAAGGGGCAAGTTCCTGGCATAAAATGTTTTTAATATACATAAATCTGTATGCCTGTATGTATACGTGCAAAGTCTGAAGGATATAGGAAATGTATCAGGGTTAACCTGAATGTAGGCTTATGGTTAATTTTTGAGCTTTTCCCTATGTCCTGTAGTTTTACAATGAGCATGCATTATTTTTATAATTAGAAAATAACAGTATATTCACTCTAAGGGGAAACAAAAGCAAATGGTAGAATTTTGTCCTATAGTGAAATGCCAGAGTATTTTAATTTCTACTCATCAGAAACCTGTCTGCCTTTTGGCTTTGAGTTGGTTTGATTTTGCGAGGGTGTAGTACAATTAAAACATAGACAGACAGACAGACAGGGGTTCTTCAGAATGAGGACTAGTCAAGTGCACTCCTCTAATCTGAACGAGGCTGCTTATAAGCACATGTTCCAGGGCCACGGCTAGGCCCTGAAGGTCTCTGCTGACGACGCAAGTCCCCCACATGGGAAGAAAAGCCTGGGCTCTCAGTGAACGCAGGAGACCGTGAGGACTTCAGGTGGCCCGGGACTGACTATAAGTCTCTACACTTGTGCCTGACTCTATGGAGGACAAAAAGGCAGCAATGTCTGGGTAGGGTTTTGGTGGCTCTCAGGTCACAGTGAGGGTAACAGGCAACTCCAGGGGAATGTGACAAGCGGGCCCTCCGTATGCTTGTACACAGAGGAGCTGAGGGAAAGAATAAGCTGGTGTGGGATGTCATGACAACTTGACCTTGGCATGGGCCAACCCAAGGAGGATGCTACCCTACCTTTTATGGTCAGTGAGGAAAAGGAACTGTATCTAGACTCTTTCAACCTCTGGGTTCTGTTCTGGTAGAGAAGTATGCTGGCAGACCAGCTGTTTTAGGGATGCCTTCTTTGTGATTTCTTAGGATCCAATCAAGTCTAGCTTTTGTAAAACTACCAGAGCCCCAGAAGACACTCGGCTCCAGTTGAGTCCTGCTGTGGCAGTGGGAATCATGGGAATCACAGCAGCATTCCTAGGAGGGGTTCTGTGGACACAGAGGCTGGTGAAAAGTGGACTTCAGCTTTGTGCCAAAGATCAAGATCTAGTGAAGCTCAGAACTCCGAGCCCTGGGCCAAGGACAGGCACAGTGGCAGGCAGCACAGACCACAACTGAGAAAAACCGCGGATGGCCCGGCACACTTGCTGCCTGGAAGGCCATGCACATGATGGGAAAGAGGAGAGATCATATTTAGATATGGCCGATGTTTGAAAATGAAGGGCTTCACCAGAGCCCCAGAAATGGATGGGAACTTTGAGACTATTTAGCCCAGGTGACCAAAACTCTTAGGAAGTTCTGTCAGAACATAAGCAGGAACTTCAGATGGCAGGTGGCAGTGCTGGGGACGGGCAGAGGACCAGAATTTGATGACCTTGGTTGGAATCCCAGTTCTGCCACTCGCCTAGCTGATGACCTTGTAGAGTCACAGCAGCTTTCTCCAAGCTTCGTTTCCCGGTACATCAGAAAGGACCTATGCACAGGCACATGGCCAGTATGAAGGTAAAACAGCCTACAGTGCGTTAGAGAGCTCGGTACATTTTAATTCTGTGAAAGCCTTATGAATTACTGTTAAGATGGAGAATACAGGGTGAACATGGCAGCAGTGAGTTGTGCTTGGAACTGTTATGATTACACACTGAAAATACTGACTGAGAAGGACCAGCTTGAGGCAGAATCCCAGCCCCACACCCCAGAGCGCAGCCCTCTGGGCCTGTCCTGTTTGACACTGTGGGTGAACTGGATGAAATCATGAGGCATGTCTACCACATCTGCAGGAACAGCTAATACACTGGCTGACAAAATAACAACAGTCTAGGAGACCAAAGGGATGGGCCTACGCTGGCAAGGTGAGCTTGAACTGGGACAGATGTCAGGTCTTGCTGTTAGAAGGTAGGGTGGCATAACTGTCACATATGCAAATGGACAGGGATTCAGTTGGCAAGTTTCAACCTGAAACCAGAGGTCTGGGTTCGAATCGCGGCTCTGCCCAGTGGACAGTGGTGCCATCATGGGCAGTTTCCTCCTCTGTAAAACAGGGATAACATCATGATTGAAGTGAGGACCACAATGGCCATCCATCATGGGGGCCAGTGCCTGGCCACTGCTGAGCATCCATCAGTGGAGCCGCCATCCCTGCCATTATCATCCCCTGCACTAACAGACGTGATTGCCCCATACTTCTTGCTGGGCAGTTTCCATTGTAAGTCTGGATACTTTCACGAACCAGACTTTGAAAAGAACCTGGGCAGATAGGATGGGTGGAGCCGAGCCATCCAGAGGACAGGCTGCAACAGTACAGACCAAAATGCAGCTGGGCCTTCGTACAGCCTGAGACAGGCACACCAGAAACAAGCCCCTCTGAGCAGGGGTCCTGGCACAACCTCATACAGGCTGTAGAACTGATTCTGGAAGTTCGGCCAAGGTACTTATTTCTCTAAGTCCCACGTTATTCACTTACAACGATTAATGAGCTAACACTCTATTCAGCACACAGCCTGTTAGGAAAGTACTCAGTAAATGCTGACTAGTGTTATTATTAACAGCACGAAAAAGAGAAAAGGGGAGGAGACAGGAGTCATCCTCAGATATGTGGCATATTGTCATGTGAACTAAGGCCTGGTCTGATCAATAACATCACTTCTATGTTTGCAAATCATGTACACACAGCGTTTGAATCTCACAGAGGCCAAACAATGGAAATAAGACCAAAGGGTGGAAAATGAAAGTAGTGAATTCTGGCTCATTCTCAGAAGCTCTAATGGCAAGCCAGGTCCATGAATGGACAGCCCTGGGGGCTGCAAGGCACTGGGACGCCAGGGGTGCTGAAGCACAGGCCACAGCAACCATGGGAAGTGCAGTGGGACCCACAGGACCAGGTTGGGCCAGGCTGGGCAGACTCAGGGAAGACTCTATGTAGTTTCCATCTTTTATTTACAGATCAAAGAGAGGAAGTGAGACAGGGCAGACAGCTGTTTATCAAACACCCACTCTGAGATCAGCACTGAGCTAAGGCTGCACATTCCTTACCCTTCCCCACACCCTACACAACAACCCTACAGCACCTCCATTTTACAGCTAAGCTGCTGAGTTGGAATCAAACTCAGGAATGTTGGCTTCAAAACCCACGCTCCTAGCACTGTACCGTTCTGCTTCCAGACCTAGAGGAAACTGGAAAAAAAGTTAGATCCAAATCTTGCTTATAATCATCTCTTCTCAAAGTTGTTCCAATGATTTCCCCAAAGAATAGAAAACATCTACGACCCACTCTTGGAAGTTTGGCCAAGGTACTCATCTCTCTAAGTCCCAGTTTATTCACTTACAAAAGCTAATGTACTAAAAGCATTCACATGCTGCCCATTACGAAGATACTCTGACAGTTTCAAACCAAATTCTTCCACACACACTACCAAAACATCTCCTACTTTAAGGCCATTTCTTTGGTTACACGAGTAGTTATCTCCTTGTGTTCATATACTTGCTATTTCACCCAATACAGATTCTAGAAACCAGCAGCTTCCAGACGGGGCAGGCGAGAAAGCGGACACGGCCCTTGGCTGAGAGTTTGGGCTTCAGGATCTCTAAGACTCAGAATCACATGACCGGGCTCCGAGTTCTACACTGGCCACTGCGGATCCTGCCTTGGTCACAGGGACTGGATGAGGCCTCAGTGAGATAATGTGCATGGAGGACTCAGCTCAGCAGAGAACACACGTAAGCCCTCAAAAGAGATGCTGCTGCCACCGCCACGAGCACTTAAAACTGACATGCACAAAGTGTCACATGCTGTCGCTCTGGGATGCTGGTTCTCAACTGTATCCCTCATTTTGACTATTAAGTAGTTAACAAATTACTCTGCATTTTGGACCGTAGCTATAACATTGGGACCAACGTGGAGATATCTGAAAAAGACTTGAAGTCATTTCGTACAGGTTATAACAAGATGGAAAGGCTCTGACATCATGAAGAAGAGTGTGGAGGGGTCCGGGATACACACCTTCCTGTTGCAGAAAGCAACTTAATGAAAGTAGAGTTAGATTAGAAGAGGAGAGGAGGTAGTCGGCTGTAATACAGGAGGGGTTTGGGATGACTAAAACTATCCTGCGTGCAGAAGGGGAGACCTGGGGGACTGTCATGTTCTTTCTTGATCTCTCAAATGATATGAACTAGAAGAGCTCTGAGCAAGGACGAGCTAATGAAGAGCTGGTACTCTCCTGTTGCACACGGCCGCATCTGGACCTAGCGGTTTGTGCTAGGCCAGCCACATCTACTAATTCCAGTGCTTGGGCAGCTCCAGCAGTGAATGTGCCCGTCTCCAGCATCGTCCCGGGAGAGGCTGGCTGGGTTCCTGTTCTTTGTTGTCAGCCCTGACTGCATGACTGAAAGCACGCCCTGTGGTTCCCGCTGTCTGCAGGTGACCCAGGTGTGGAGGAAGCTCAGGGTCACTGTGAAATCCTCTAATCGCCTCATTAGCAGGGTGGGGAGGAGGGTGCGTTTGTTCCACGAGGAAGCAGAAAGCTGGTAATTGCATGGTGTCACATAGAAAAAAACCATGGTGGAAGCAAAAGGCCAAATGTAAAAAGCTGTGTGTGCACAGCTGTAATTAAACCAGAGCCCGAAAAGCAAGGCCCACAGCACCTGACCGTAGAAGGAAGGTAAAGCAGTGGAAACTGGTTTTGCATGGGGTGTGCTGAGAGGGGAAGGGCAGAACCCCCACTGGAGCATGTGCCCACACTGTGCAACCCATTTGGAGTTGCCTGTGAACATGAGGTGCATGAACTCTATAACAGATGGATTCATTTGACAAATGGTCCCTGAGACTACAGGCCAGTGTTCCCCACTCAGAAGAAACGCAGTCACCTTCCACAGTAGTGCTCCGATCTCTTGCTCCAGGCTGGACAAGAGTTTATTCTTAAGAGAAATGCCCTAAAGACACGATCCAGCATGGACCCCAGAGGTGCCAGCCTGCCTCCCCTGACAGAGGCCATGAGAGCATGTTCTTGGCTATCATCTGTGCAGCTGGCCCAGGTTCTACATAAAAAACTACTGATTAATCCTAACTTATCTTTAAACTACGGATATATTCAGCAGCACCTTGCTGCCCTGCCATGTGAAGAAGAGCATCTCATCATCTGCTCTGAGGACCACATTCTTTCAAGTTCCCAGGGACTGTCCCTGGGTCAAGTTCACGGTCACTTCTATCTCACTCTTCATAATTTTAGATTTTACTGAAACACGGTCTCCTGGGTTGGAGCCTGGGCAGAGCATTTTCATACGATTCCCCAGCAGACTTCCAGAGCACATTCTGTTTCCCCATATACTGCCACATCTGTCCTCGTGGCTACTTCTGGTGGTCCTAACTGTTTTGCTCTGGTCTTCCAGCAAGGCCTAGCAACCTCTCTCTGCCTGGGTGCCTGCTCTGGCCTTGTCTAGGTGGGGTGGAGGCCCCACTCCTGAGCCTGCTCATTTCTGTGTTCTGTGGGCTGATCCCAGGCCTCCTTCACCAGGGAACAGAACCAGCGGCTGGACCACGAGGGGCATGGGGAATGCTGTCCTTCCTGAGGATGCCTTTATGTGGGGAAGGAGATCCCAACCCCAGGCCTGTTCTCTTAGGACAGAATGACTGACAAGCAGCCCCTAGAGTTCTGAAAGACGACTTTCCCACCAGGCAGGGTTTGCTGTTTTCCAAATTCACTACACAATAAAAAGGGATTTACCTCCTTTTCAAGTCAGAACAATTCCTTCTTCCTTTCTTTTCCTTTGTGCACTTCCTCTCAGAATTATAGGACATTTTGGTTTCTACTCATCTATTACAAAAAATTTACCGAGCACCTACTGCGTGCCAGGTTCTGTGACAGGTGCTGGGCATTCGGGTTGAGCATCTCAAATCTGAAAACTAATATGCTCCAAAACCCAAAGCTTTCTGAGCACCAGCATGATGCATGATATGTGGCACTAAAAGGAAATGCTCACTGCAGCACTGCAGAGTTCAGGGTTTGGGTGCTCAAAAAACCTGTACAACGCAAACACCACAAAACCTGAAAACACTGAAACCTGACACACTTGTGGTCCCCAAGCATTCTGGATGAGAAATACGCAACCTGCACGATGAGCAAACACCAGGCAGGGGCTGTTCTCTAAGCTATACTTTCGAGGAGGGGCAGACGCTGACCACACATACAAATACCACAAGCAGATGCAAAGCTGCCACCACAACAGACCAGGGCCAGGGCAGAGACGTGAGGGTGTCTGCCTGGCTGGAGAGGGCACAGCATGGAGGGGAGAGGTCCAGGCCCAGGACATGTTCAGGCAAAGGCCCTGAGGAAAGGATAAGAAACAGGGGTGTGGGATGAGGCTGAACAATCAGCAAAGGCTGGGGGCCTTTGTGAGGAGGGGGGTTTGTTGTGGCTTGCTCTAATCACAGCCTAACGGGATGCCACTGAAAGGCGCTAAGCCAGGGCAAGATGCGGTGAGGGCTGTGGAGGTGCTAGCTGACTGCGGTGCCGTGGCCACAGGAAGACTCGGTGGGAGACTGTTTCAGAGGTTCGGATGGAGCGCCGGGGCTGAGGGCTGCTATTCATAAAGACAGCGTTTGGGAAGCGGAGGGAAGAGACAGATTTAAGGAGGCCGGAGGGATCAACAGTGTTGGATGCGGCTGAGATGGAGTAGATAAGCACTGACTCAGGTGCAGTGGATTTACACGGAGAAATCCTCATGTCTCCAAGTGTGGTTTCGTCCAGCCTCTCATCTCATGTTTGGCCAATCTGTCTTTTTACAGAATGCTAACTGGCTCAATGAAATCGAGAAAGTTTTCACAGTGGGCAAGATTCCAGGTTTGCCTTCAGCTAATTAAGTGATATTAGGGAGGTTGTAAATGCCACATAAAAATTGGCAGGCAAGCTGCTCTAATGATGAGAATATTGCTTTACAGGGAGATGCAGCTGCAGCTTCTTAATGCTCGTCTTTGAGGGACTCGGTTCCATGTTTCCAAGGTTGTTCCTGATAAGAAAAGTTCAAGGGTGCTAAAAGGTTGAAGTTCACTTTTCGTACTCTCGGTTCCGCGGGTACTCGCGACAATGATGGAGGCTGGGGGAAGAAGCAATGCGACAATATGGTCGTTGTGATGATCACCAGATGCTCCCGCTTATTCCCGTGCCGGACACCACGATGTTTCCACTCATGATCTGGCTTAACCCCCACAATCAAAGGGCGACTTGAGTACCTCCCTTTGAGGCCAGAGGACCCAGGCACAGAGACGCTGAGTGACTTGTCCAGAGGCACACAGACTGTAAGTGGCCCGGCCAGGATTCAATCCTGGTGTCTGTGTGATTCAATCCCAGATGTAATCACTGTGATTCTCCCAGAGTCGGCATGTAAGAAACCAGAGAGGGGCAAGGGAGAGGGCTAACGGGGGTACAGACTCCTCAAGCTAGAGCTCTATTCTGCACAGTTAGCTCTTCCCAGGTATTAAACAATTGCTGAATGAGCAAGGGTGAGAACCAGAGAACAACACAGCACAGGCCTTCAAAGATGAAAACCACCCCAGAGCTTTGCAAAATTTCCAATTGGAAGCATTTCTGATAATTCAGACAGGAAAAATCTATGAACCTGTCCTATCTATGAAGAAGGGGCGACTGGTGTGTATGATTTCCACGAGGATGTTTATTTTAGAAAGTAAATGACTTCTAGAACTTCAGAAGTGTGGGAGGTTAAGGAAATCCTCTGCAAGGCCTGGCACACAAGCCACAGGGTGCGCTGGTTCTGGTCCCACTTCCCCTCTTCCTACTGATCAGTGCCTGCTGAGCACTGACTTAGCATGCCCAGATCTACTAGGTACTAAGGGGTAAGAGAGCCCCAGCTTAGACTCCATGCCTTATTTGATAAAATCAGGAGCTACCAGCTAACATTTGGGCTAGGCTGACTTGAGAAAATTTATACAAATAAAACTTTTCTTTCCAACAATTCAGATTGCTGTTTAGTAATTTTAAAGAGGAAGCTAGGAGCAACAGGGGGACAAAATTATTGCATTACTGATAATGAAGATGTCCCAGATGTTTCTAAGCTCTAAGAACAACACTAGAAAGGCAGGTGGCAGAAGTCAGGGGTAAAACCAGTCTTAGGTACTATAAACTGAATCGTCTGGGCAAAAACTACTGTGTGAGCACAGCATATAATTCACATAAAATAGGGTGGTTTAGAAACAGCAGACTTGCTCTTTCGTACTGTCACAGTACCAAGATCTTTAAACATTTTTAAATTTTATTTTTATTTTTTAGAGATGGTGTCTCACTCTGTCACCCACGCTGGAGAACAGTGGTACAGTGATCATAGTTTGCTGCAGCCTTGACCTCCTGGGCTTGGCCTCCCAAAGCACTGGGATTATAGGTGTGAGCCACTGTGCCCAGCCTAACACTAAGAACTTAAGGCACATCGTTTCTATATTATTGAGCCATTTTCCACAGAGTGGCAGCGAAATGAGAGAGAATCGTGGCCCTATTGAGCGTGCCTGCTCACTGTTCTGACACGTTCTACTTGTGTGACGACCTAGACAGATAGACACCTGGCAAACAACACAATTCTGCCTCTCCCAGCAGACAGTGCTGGGTCTCAGCATCTCCTGGAAAGATGGGGACTTTGGAAGGATATGTTACCTTTGCTTCTCAGAAACTGCTGAATCTACTATAGCTTCAAAATAAGAACTGCATTTCACGGAAGGGAAAATGCTGTTTTCGTGATGGATGTTGCTAAGGGGCCATTCAATATTTTACCGACAGCACCAACTATCTGTGTATATGTCTATGTCGGTGTTTGGGGTGGGGGCTGTTTTGACAGGTTTGCGTGTAGGTGTCAGAAGAGTTTTTGTGACTATGACTGTATTTCTATGTGTAGGGGAAGATATTTACTGTTCCCTTGCAGAACTGAGCACTGGAAAAGTCGACAGAAACCTAGTTATTAAGATCTCATTTGGGGCCACGAACTATTTATTTTTCTTTTCTGAAAAGTGGTCGAGTGAAGGACTAAAGGCAATGTAAGAGACGAAGGGTCCCTCTCCCATCGCATGGACCAGCCGAACAGCCTCCTCACTAACCTGCTCCCGATCCCCATTCTAATACCCGCCTGAGCTCCCGCTTGGCATATGACAGGTGAGACAGGCTTCTGTTAGTCTGATGGATTTGGTTTGCAGATATCACAGGTTTGCACATAATATATAATTATTCTAGGCAGTAAACACCGTAAAATGGAATGCAGAATAGTTTAGAGAATTTAGTGCCATTATTTTATTCACCCATACAAAACATAAGGAACCCATTCTCTTTCTTGACAGACGGATTTCAGAGGAGACGTTTCAGCTCAGAACAGTAATTGTGACCACAGCATAACTCAAGCACTTTGTGGGGTTTAATGGACTTTTCTTTCCAGTCCTCAAAAAGCAGCAACTGGCATTTGCTCAAACCCTGACTGAGGTGTGGAAAATCTGTCAAGTTTTCTCTGCCGCTTACCCTGACCACAATTATACGGTCCATGTGCAGATTAGCTGCAAAGTCATTCCTCCTCCAGGAGTGACAAGATTTCCCCAAATAAAAAAAGGTAACTACTGTATCCTCGAGTGCCCGTCTGCCTTCGAAAGGCAGGGGTGGGGGGAGGATCTAAGGAGTGTGAAGAGAAATGCCTTCAAAAGAAGGGCATAGCAACGGAAAAAGTAGCTGTAACAGAGTGGGGACATGGCAAGAACAGAGAGCGGCATTGTCACGGGCGGAGTAATCCTGTGACACACTGCTGTCACTCACCACCCGGCTCCCTGCCGCGCCAGCCAGACATCAAAGGCTGCCCCATACCATCTTACATGCTCTTTATCAGCTAATCAGCCCATTCTTCCCTAAATAAAGCCCTGTTAAATCCCCTGCTCACAGGGGTATCGTGGTCTTGGTGCCCATCTGCTAGCGAGGGTCAGCTGGGGCAGGAGGCGGCAGGCTGCTCTCTCCCTAGCGGCTTCTCAAGGTAAGGACAATGCTGCCTCCAATTCCCCCGCCCACAGGCCTCCCTCTCTGCTTTCCAAGATCTGGGCCGGTCTGAGGAGCTGCTATCTGGATTAACACTTGCTAATGAAATCTCCAGTCATAAAGGGAGATCATCTGCTAACTATGAAATCTTGGGATTGCATTTATTTTCAGGGATCGGAATAAACAAAGATGTGTGTTTCTTTTTTTTTTCTTCTTTGAGACAGCGTCTCACTCTGTCGCCCAGGCTGGAGTGCAGTGGCGCGATCTCGGCTCACCGCAACCTCTGCCGCCCAGGTTCAAGCGATTCTCCTGCCTCAGCCTCCCAAGTAGCTGGAATTACAGGCGCCTGTCACCACGCCTGGCTGATTTTTGTAGTTTTGGTAGAGATGGGGTTTCACCATCTTGGCCAGGCTGGTCTTGAACTCCTGACCTTGTGATCCACCCGCCTCGGCCTCCCAAAGTGCTAGGATTATAAGAGTGAGTCACCGCGCCTGGCCACATGTGTGTTTCTTAACAGTAATCATTTGGCAGATCTCTTCCTCTGCTCTCAAAGTGTCACCATTGCCGAGATGGTAACAAAATGATCAGGCTTCTGATGATGAGGCTACTCTTAGTCATCAGCTGGGAAGCCTCATGGTTTCATTCCGCACTCAAATCAAAGTTAACATGCATGAGTACTGGGGAGAGCAGATCCTAAGACAGGATCTGGGAACCCAGTTCCCAGGCCCCGCAGCCTAGAATCCTGGCACAGCCAAGAGGGCCTGGGAGTAGAGCTGAGGCATCATGGCCCTCTGGGAGGACAGCCTGGCTCGAGCAGAGGATGAGCAGAAACATCTTTGGGCTGCAGCCCTGCTCTGCACTCCTGAACCTCAAAATGGCCTAGAAGGAACCAGCAAAGGACACGTCCACACTCATCTAGGCACTGCAGTAGAGCAGCACATAGAAACAGTTTCTGTTTGTTTTTCCTCAAAGAATTACTGGAGCATTGTCCTATGTGAGAGTTATTAGTATCAGAAAAGAATCAAGCATCTTAAAAATTCCAAAACTGGGAAGAGAATTAGGCAACACTGTATCCATTCCAATGAGACTTGGAGGTGCCAAGTCCCCCAGAGAGGTCAAGTTGGATGTCCCCGAATCTGCTTTTTAGCTTGTAAGAACCTTCATCTGCAGGGCCCTATATGGTTCAAAAAGCATATTCACAAGTCACCTCATCTTTTTTTTTTTCTGTAGAGACAGGGTCTCGCTATGTTGCCCAGGCTAGTCTCTAACTCCTGGCCTCAAGCAATCTGCCTGCCTGGGCCTCCCAAGGTGCTGGGATTACAGGAATCACCTGATTTTGATTCTCAAGACAATCTCGTGAAGTAACTAAAAATATGGATTTTCCTCCCCCTAGTGTAGTTGAGATCGAGGCTCGGAGACGTTAAGAAAAGGGAAGGCCCCAAACTCACATCAGAACGGAGCCGACTTCAATCCAACTTCCCTGACTGCAAGACCAATGGTCACTTCCCTCCACTGGGTGGTCCCTCTGTCTTTGCCGTGACAGGCTAGAGAAACGGGGCCCTGACAAGACTGATGGAATAACTGACACTTCCCGGTGAACGGAGAAGCCAGACATCGTGTGGGAACAGGAAGCACAGAGTGGTCCTTCCCGGTGAACAGGCAAGCTGGACACTGGGCAGGAACAGGCAGCTCAGAGTGGTTCTGCCTGCAGATTCCCAGAGTCAGTGGGGGAGCCTGCGGCGTTTGTAAATTAACGTGGAAAAGGGAGGATAAACAATGCAAACTAACCATCCACAACGTTCTGGGATTGAACCCAGAAATCAGGACAGGTGAGAAAAAAAGTCTCTGTGCCCCAAACATTTGTTCAACGGACCGTTCCCACATAAACAATGAGACCATCCGCCCCAAAGTTCTGACATGAGTGGCTCACAGGGCCTCACGCGCTCTGGCTCCTGTGAGGGCTGAGGCTGGTACTAAAAGAACGTCTTTGAGGAGAGGAAGAAGGCCTTTTACAAATGTAGCATGCTGAGGGAAATCATCTCAGCACTGGGAAAACAGACTCAGAGCCCAGCCTCGAACAGGGCAATACCCCTCCCTCTCCTTCCTCTCCCCAGGACCTCTGGACAAGTCCTGAACATGCTCTTTTTGGGAGGAAAGGGCTCTTTTTGGGAGGAAAGGGGAAGGGCTCACCGCTCTTGCCTTGATGAGCGCTCACCACTGGAGGTGCAACTCAGCAGCAAGGAGCCCAGCACTGACCCCAAAGCCAGCCTGTTAGAGATCTGGGCTTCAGCAGCTCCTGGAATCTGAGGCTGGGCACTCAGCCCTTCCATCTCACTGGAACAAGGTATGCTCCCAGGCCTCGTCACACAGAACACACCAGAATGTGTCATACACATCTCGGATGCTTTCCAGGGCGGACCGCAGCACAACTGAAGCTCCGACTACGTTTGGGCCCTATGAACCCCACCACATTTGGGCCCAAAAGGAGGCACCCCTGAATTTCTGCAAGATGAGGTGGCTTTCTTCTCATTCCAAGTGCTTGTTTATTGGGAGAAGGGCAGGTATGAGTGAGAAGAGAGTTGCGGTGAGCATGGCAGCTAGCACATCACATCATGTGAACGGAGCTCTCTAGCCCCGTCACGGGACGAATTCAGCTCATCTTACCTTTTCACGTGTGCTTTCCTCTTCTTTCTAGTCAAGGCACTAAGATTCCTGGGGGCATCTCTTAGTCCGAAGCTCTTCGCCACATGCCCAAGGTGGAGGGATCGGACGTGGAAGATGTGCTTCAGCTCCCTGGGGTAGGTGGCGTAGGCTTGGATGAAGGACTGCAGAGCTGAAAGAAAAGAGAGCGGGGAGGGAAGCTGTCAGGACCGGGGTCTCCAAGCTCCAAAGTGCCCGGCCTAATGGTTATCTTCTGTACTTTATCTTGCCAGGCAACGAAACATGAGCAGGACAATTACAACATATACAAACAACTAAAATCTAGACTTCTGTGTATTTCTTCAATTCCTAAACAACAAAAAGAAAAAAACTACAGGGGGCCACAATTATTACTTGAATATGCCCGATAAAATATCAGATTTGACCACACAGCTCCTAACAATCCCACAGGGTGGGGCCCAGCACAGCACCTGGTACCAGCAGGCACTCGGTAGATGTCTGTTGTGTAAATGAGTGAAAAGAGAGAATAGGTGAAGAAACTAAGAAATGATCAACACAGGACATCGTTTTCTTATGAAAATGAGAAAATCATTAGACATTTATATTAACACATTTTTCCTAATTAAATTTTACTTACTTTTGAATAGTTAATGCATGCTAGTCTGTTACAAAATTTACAAAGTTCAAAAGGCTGTCTTATGACTGTCATGTTTACTATGAATGAATGACATTACCACCAATGCCCCCTTCACCACAAGCCCCACCTCCAGCTCCCTTATCCATAGGCAATCCCTGATACCAGTTTTTTGTGTACTCACTGGACTTTTTAAATTTAAAATTTTTTAAAGAGATGGGGTCTCACTATGTTGTCCAGACTAGAGTGCAGTGACGTGATCATACCTCACTGTAGCCTCAAGCTCCTGGGTTCAAGTAATCCTTGTGCCTCAGACTACAGGCTAATTTTTAAATTTTTATTTTTGTAGAGACAGGGTTTCACTATGTTGCCCAGGCTGGTCTTGAACTCCTGACCTCAGGTGGTCCTCCCGCCTCAGCCTCTCAAAGTGCTTGGGAATACAAGTGTGAGCAACCTCACCCAGCCTTCCTCATGGGATTTTAAAACCAAGTTCATTCTAAAAGTATCCAGGATTAACCAATACAGAGCTTCTTGCTCAAAGAATGTGTAAAAAAGGGAATGAAACAAATGTTTAAAGGAGAAAGAAAACTACTAAGTCTCTAAAATAGTCCCTTGAGGACTGACAACAATTTAGGGACATTCATCAAACACTACGTCAGGAAAGTTTCAGTGCCGTTTTAAAATTAAGAAGAGCGGCCGGGCGCGGTGGCTCAAGCCTGTAATCCCAGCACTTTGGGAGGCCAAGTCGGGGGGATCACCTGAGGTCAGGAGTTTGAGACCAGACTGGCCAACATGGTGAAACCCTGTCTCTACTAAAAATGCAAAAATTAGCCGGATGTGGTGGCAGGTGCCTGTAATCCCGGCTACTCAGGAGGCTGAGGCAGGAGAATCACTTGAACCTGGAAGGCTGAGGATGGAGTTAGCAGAGATGGTGCCACCGCACTCCAGCCTGGGCAACAAGAGCAAAACTCTGTCTCAAGGAAAACTAAATTAAATTAAATTCAGAAAAGGGGGTCCTTGTTGTAGGTCCCTCCTCCCTGAGAAAAAGGCCAGACTCATTCCCAGGAGGGTGGAGCTTTGGTCTACTTAACTAGGCATTCCCTTGAGGAAAGATTCTCGTAGATTGAATATCTGGAAGTAACAATGAAAATCAAGTGTCCACCCGCTTCTCACTCCAACAAGGAAGGAGGGGGACATCCTGCAAACACTCCCCGCCATCCCTGTCACTGCTCTCTTCACCTCCAATCCTGCTCTTCTGCCAGCTGAGCCAGAGCCCAGCCGATGG